>NC_000006.12:36423636-36726666 GCF_000001405.40 Homo sapiens
GTTCGTGCCCCCTCACACCGCCCCCTCATTCCGCACATCCCTCATTTCTTCAGTGGTATCATAAAGATGAAGGGGAGAAACGCGCTGCTGCCTGAACAGAAAGGCAACCCAGGTGTCCTGGGCCAGAAGTGGGAGGACATGGGAGACAGCACTTTATTGGAAGATCCCTGGTTTCTAATTGTTTGGCAGGCGTTGAAAGCACATTGGTGGCCCACCAGACTACCAGTCACTAATGAGATTTGACATATAACTCGCGTATGGTAAAACGGGAGTTCTAGGCATGAAAACAAGCATGTACGTTAGCTAGTGGGTTGTTAACTCTAAATCAAGGGCAGCAGCGTTAGTAACTTCACCTGCCTCTTCTTTTGAAGTGAAACTGTAATTAGGAAAGCATTTGAGGCAAAAGTAGCAACGCCCACAGAACGCCTCGGAAGACAGCGATCAGCTTCACAAGGAATCTGAGGATCAGGAGGTAGAGTGTGAAAACATACTGGAAAGAGTTTACAATAAAACATAAAATCTTAGAATAGTGGCGACGATTGCACAACGTTGTGAGTATACTAAAACCCTCTGTCCGTACACTTTAAAAGGGTGAACTTTATGTTAAGTGAATTACGTCTCTTAAAAAAAATTACAAGTTCCTAGAAGGTGTTCATAGGTGACACAATCTCAGACTTTGGGGAATAATTGTTGTTGACAACGGAATTAACAAATGAAGATTCAGGCGGAGCGCGGTGGCTCACGCCTGTAATCCCAGCACTTTGGGAGACCGAGGCGGGCAGATCACGAGGTCAGGAGATCAAGACCATCCTGGCTAACACGGTGAAACCCCGTCTCTACTAAAAATACAAAAATGAGCCGGGCGTGGTGGCGGGCGCCTGTAGTCCCAGCTACTCGGGAGGCTGAGGCAGGAGAATGGCGTGAACCTGGGAGGCGGAGCTACAGTGAGCCGAGATCGCGCCACTGCACTCCAGCCTGGGTGACAGTGCGAGACTCCGTCTCAAAAAAACAAAAACAAATACAAAAACAGATGAAGATTCAAAATTTCAGTCAATTCAGTGCTTTCTAAAAAATGGATACCAGGCCGGTCGCGGTGGCTCACACCTGTAATCCCAGTACTTTGGGAGGCCGAGGCGGGCGGATGACTTGAGGTCAGGAGTCCAGCCTGGCCAACACGGTGAAACCCCCGGCTCTACTAAAAATACAAAAATTAGCCGGGCATGCAGTGAACCGAGACTGTACCACTGCACTCCAACCTGGGCGACAAAGTGAGACTCTATCTCAAAAAAAAAATCTGGTGTGGTGGCAAGCAACTATCAGGATGCTTGAAATTTCCCTTTCTCAAGTGGCATGTAATTCTTTTAAAATTAGATATTAGGTTGAAGTTAATGTTCATAATCCCTCTCAGGTATCTAGCATATTTTTTATCTAAAAGCCTAAAACCTCATAAATTTACCTAACACTGTCCTTTAATGCTCTTCAAAACATAAAACTTTAATTTTCCAGCATTCTGGGGCATTTAGGAATCACACATTTTTGCAAAGCAAAATTCCAAATGTATCTTTCCTTCATGTTCTCTCCTCTAGTGGCAAAATCGAGAAGAAATCTAATCTGAATGTTCCCTACCTTAACAATACTGACACTGTCAGGTCCAATTTAAAGACTAATTTTTATTAAAAGATAAATTTGATCTATTTTAGCCCATTTGGGATTACCTTAATTGGTCGTCACAGCAATGATTCAGGGCTAATGGAAACTAAAGAGATTTAGTACCATGAAGCAAAGTCACTTTTAGATTTTTGCCACCTAAGAACTGGGATGAATAGATTTTCTTATAGTTCATATTTAAATAATATATTTAATGTGGGTTGGGCACGGTGGCTCACGCCTGTAAATCTAGCACTTTGGGAGGCCTATGAGGGGGGATCAGTTGAGGTCAGGGGTTCGAGACCAGCCTGGCCAACATGGTGAAACCCCCTCTCTACTAAAAATATTTAAAAAATTAGCCCAGCGTGGTGGTGGGCGCCTGCAATCCCAGCTACTCGGGAGGCTGAGGCAGGAGAATCGCTTAAACCCAGGAGCCAGAAGTTGCAGAGAGCTGAGATGGCACCACTGCACTTCAGCCTGGGTGACAGAGCGAGACTCTGTCTCAAAAAACAAAAACAAAAAATATATATATATATATATATATATTTAATGTCCAATTTTATGGTCTTAATAGCAAGAAAAACACATGCTAAGTAAACTATTTATCTTAGTTTAATCCAAATATCTTACCTGGGTTCCTTGACATGGCTGGAACTGGCTGGGAGCTGACAAGTTGGGTCATGTATGCCTTCTGAAAACTGTATTTTAACCACAGTGATTTGCAACAATGTGTTACTTTGGGAGATGGATTGAGAACTTCTTTAGTTTCATAAACAATGCCATCATGTTTTTTCTTCATGTTTTTTCCCTGTTGAAAAACATATTTTCAGAGGCTTTCCCCCATTTCTCAGTAAATATTTGGTATTTTAGATAAATATTAATGTTTTAACAATATCAGCAGCATTTATTCCACATATAAGAGAGTTATGGATTGGGGTAGAAGGTGGACCAGAGTGATCCCTAAGGTCTTTTTCGATTTAGTTAAACATCTTTCTAGGCTGCCGCATCCTTATCACCTATTACACCGGCCTGCATCCTTATCTCCCATTAGTCTTTCTTCTCTCTCTCTCGCTTTTTTTTTTTTTTTTTTTTTTTTTTTTTTTTGAGACGAAGTTTTGCTCTTGTTGCCCAGGCTGGAGTGCCATGGCCCCATCTCGGCTCACCACAACCTCTGCCTTCTGGGTTCAAGCAATTATCCTGCCTCAGCCTCCTGAGTAGCTGGGATCACAGGCATGCGCCACCACGCCTGGCTAATTTTGTATTTTTAGTAGAAACAGGGTTTCACCATGTCGGCCAGGCTGGTCTCAAACTCCTGACCTCAGGTGATCCGCCTGCCTCAGCCTCCCAAAGTGTTGGGATTACAGGCGTGAGCCACAGCACCTGGCCTCTTCTCTTTTCAAGAGCCACATTCCATCAGGGGAAGTGTGTAAATTGGTACACTGAGAAAAAGAGAGACAAATGGGTATAGCCAAAATAAAGTAGATCAAAACCTAGAGAGGCGGAGAGGGGTGGAGATGGAATACAACACACTCTTTGTCCTATTTCCTCATGTGTGTGTGTGTTTCCTCCCCAAAACAATTCTCATAGTCCTCTTTGATCCTTCATACACACACATTCTGTCTCTGCAGACACTAATATGAAGATTACTCTTCCGCCCCCTTTCCCTTTTCCCCTCCAATATTGTAGAATCAATCCAAATGAGATGAAGAATTGCATTAGGACTTTTTTTTTCTTTTTTTTTTTTGAGACAGAGTCTTGCTCTGTCGCCCAGGCTGGAGTGCAGATCTCGGCTCACTGCAACCTCTGCCTCCTGGGTTCAAGCAATTCTCCTGCCTCACCCTCCCGAGTAGCTGGGACTACAGGTGCGTGCCACCATGCCCAGCTAATTTTTATATTTTTAGTAGAGACGGGGTTTCACCATATTGGCCAGGCTGGTCTTAAACTGCTGACCTCGTGATCTGCCCTCCTCAGCCTCCCAAAGTGCTGGGATTACAGGTGTGAGCCACCATGCCCGGCCGCATTATGACTTGTTGTCTTCCTGGGCATTTAATTCTTTTGACTTGAAGGGTGGCCACAGAGTTCAAAACTTTCTGTTCTACCTCCTAAATCTACCTTCTATTCTAACTTCTAAATCTAAGTTACTGGAAAGGGAAAGAATGGCTAAGACCACAATGAGCTGCTAAGATAATAGAGGTGGACTTCAGGAGCCTTACATCAGTGCTGTCTAATAAAAATAAGTGAACCACATATATGATTTTAAGTTTTCTAGTAGCTACATTTAATAAGTAAAAAGAAATGAGTAAAATTAATTTTAATGATATATTTTATTTAATCTAATATATCCCCAAATAAATCTAAATATTGTCATTTCAACATGTAATCAATATAAAAAATTATTAATGAAATATTTTACATTCTTATTAATTTAAGTCAAGTCTTCAAAATCTGGTATGCATTTTGCACTTACAGCACATCTCAATTCAGACTAGGCATATTTTGGGTGCTCAGTAGCCACATGCAGCCAGTGGCCACTGTACTGTACTTTACTGGACGGCCAGCCATACAAACCAAGGGGAGAAAGATTGTCAAATAGAATTGTGACTCATCGTTTTTCAAATGTACCATATTTTCCAGTGTAGACTGCTACCTCAATGTATTGCTTAAGTTTGTAATTCAGGCCAGACTGGGGGATAGGGAGCTGAGAAATGAGGTGTTGTGGGTTTCTGGGCATTTTTAGTGCCTTGGGCAGCCTGGCATTTTAACTGGACTCATTAGGCAAACTTCTGACCCTAATTTGATTTGTCAGGTAAGACATGCTGTTCAGCTCATGTGTCAGAGCCAGATCAGCCCTGGATGAACTGATAAAAGTACTAAAATTCCTGGCCGGGCGCGGTGGCTGACGCCTGTAATTCAGCACTTTGAGAGGCTGAGGCGGGCGGATCATGAGGTCAGAAGATCAAGACCATCCTGGCTAACACGGTGAAACCCTGTCTCTACTAAAAATTCAAAAAATTAGCCAGGCGTGATGGCACGCACCTGTAGTCCCAGCTACTCGGGAGGCTGAGGCAGGAGACTGGCTTGAACCCTAGAGGTGGAGGTTGCACTGAGCCGAGATCGCGACAGAGCGAGACTGAAAAAAAAGACAACTATTCCTAAATGAGCAAAGTTGATAATCAAGATGTAGCTACCAGGCGAGTTTCTTACCTGAAAGAGCTGGCCGGCTGACAGCTTTACCCATTAGCCCATTGTGAAACTGTCATTTTGTACTAGTCATTCATGTGACATTGCTAGACAACTGAGAATAAAATATCTAACCACAGCCTTTTAAATTAAACTATCAAGAATGTTGGATTTTATTTTTCCCAAGTAGGTTTTTATTATAATTTCCCCCAAACAATACTGCAGGATGTTAATAGGTATTCATTGAAAATAATTAATGCTAATTATATTTTTCATCTAAAACTTTTTTTTTTTTTGAGACGGAGTCTCTCGCTCTATCACCCAGGCTGTAGTGCAGTGGTGCCACCAAGCCCAGCTAATTTCTGTATTTTTAGTAGAGACGGGGTTTCACCAAGTTGTCCAGGCTGGTCTCGGACTCCCAACCTCAGGTGATCCATCCACCTCGGCCTCCCAAAGTATTGGGATTACACGCATGAGCCACCGCGCACAGCCTAAAACTTATTTTAAAATATATGTCAGGACCAGAAGTGGTGTGGCTTATGCCTGGAATCCCAGTACTTTGGGAGGCTGAAGTGGGCTGATCACTTGAGCTCAGGAGTTTGAGAACAGCCTGGGCAACATGGTGAAATCTGGTCTCTACAAAAAAATACACAAATTAGCCTAGTGGTTGCGCACACCTGTAATCCCAGCTACTCAGGAAGCTGAGGTGGGAGAATCACTTGAGTCCAGAAAATTGAGGCTGCAATGAGCCATGTTTACACCACTGCATTCCAGCCTGGGGTACAAAGTGAGAGTGAGACCCTGTCTCAAAAAAAAAAAAAAATTGCATAATTACCCTTAAGAAATGTTGGCCCTACCTGAAAATATTATATAACCAGGAAATCTCAGAATTCATGAAAGCATGAGAATATATCTGCAGATGCTTCAGCAACCATTTAGTTGATGTATGTTGTCTATTTAATAATTACTGGTTTATGTTAGGTATCTTGTCATTATTATTATTATTTTCTTTTTCTTCACTTTTCTTTTTTCTTTTTTTCTTTTCTTTTTTTTTTTTTTGAGATGGAGTTTCACTCCTTTTACCCAGGCTGGAGTGCAATGGTGCAATCTCGGTTCACTGCAACCTCCGCCTCCCAGGTTCAAGCGATTCTTCTGCCTCAGCCTCCTGTGTAGCTGGGATTACAGGTGCACACCACCATGCCTGGCTAATTTTTTATTTTTAGTAGAGATAGGGTTTCACCGTGTTGGCCATGCTGGTCTCGAACTCCTGACCTCAAGTGATCCACCCACCTCGGCCTCCCAAAGGGCTGGGATTACAGGCGTGAGCCACCATGCTGGGCTAAGTCTTATTATTTTGATATATATTTACGAAAGTTTTTACTTAATAAAATAATTTATTTCTTTGTGGGTTGTTCTGATATAAAGCTTAAAATACATTAGAAGTAAAGCTTTTGGCCAGGCACAGTGGCTCGCGCCTGTAATCCCAGCACTTTGGGAGGCCCAGATAGGTGGATAGGTGGATCACTTGAGATCAGGAGCTCGAGAGTAGCCTGGCCAACATGGCAAAACCTTGTCTCTACTAAAAGTACAAAACTTGGCCAGGCGTAGTGGCGCATGACTGTAGTCCCAGCTACTTGGGAGGCTGAGGCAGGAAAATTGCCTGAACCCGGGAAGCAGAGGTTGCAGTGGGGTGAGATCGCACCAGTGTACTACAGCTTGGGTGACAGAGCGACACTCCATCTCAAAAAAAAAAAAAGTAAATCTCTTATCATTTCTTCTGTCCATTAATTATTAATTCATCTATGGGTTCACATTTTGCTGTCTATGTGTTGTAGGTTAAATAACAGCTTCACAAAATGTCCACATCCTAATTCCCAGAACCTGTGAATATGTTACCCTACCAGGCAGAATGGACTCTGTAGATGTAATTATATTAAAGCTCTTGAGATGAAGAGATTATCCTGGATTAGCTAGGCCCAACCTAATCATATAATCCTTAGAGAGGGAGGCAAGAGGGCCAGATTCACAGAAAGAAATGTGACAATGGAAGCAGAGGTCAGAATGACATGAGAAGAATCTATCTATAACCCAAGGAATGCAGGCAGCCTCTAGAAGCCGAAAAAGATAAGGAGATGGATTCTCTCCTAGAGCCTCCAGATGGAATGCAACCCTGCCAACTCATTTTAGACTTCTGACCCCTAGAACTGTAAGATAAATTTGTATTGTATTAAGCCACTAAGTTTGTGGTCATTTGTTACAGCAACAGTAGAAAACTTATATACTACGTTAATCTGAGTGCATAATATTGTTAGTAAATTGTCGTTTTATTTAATTTTTTTTTAATTTTTTGAGACAACGTCTCGCTCTGTCACCCAGGCTGGAGTGCAGTGGCCCAAGCTGGAGTGCAGTGCCGCGATCTTGGCTCACTGCAACTTCCACCTCCCAGGCTCAAGCAATTCTCCTGCCTCAGCCTCCTGAGTGGCTGGGATTACAGGAGCTCACCACCACGCCCAGCTAATTTTTGTATTTCTTACTAGAGATAGGGTTTCACCATGTTGGCCAGGCTGGTATCAAACTCCTGACCTCAAGTGATACACCCCCCTCGGCCTCCCAAAGTGCTGGGATTACAGGCGTGAGCCACCATGCCTGGCCGTAAATTGTCATTTTAAAAGTGTTCATTGTAAGATAAATTTGGAAATGTAATTATGGAAAAACTATACTATAAAATGGGCTCTTGTCCATAGCAATAAACAGATGATCATAATAACTAGGAATGCTGAACTCTAAATAATTACTTATTAGTGATGGCAACTGTAAATTAAGCTACAAATCTTTACAGCAAGCAGTGTATGTTGGTTGACAATGAAAAATATTGATCTTTTACTGAATGCCAGGCACTGCTCTGGACCCTGGGGATATAGCAGTGAACAAGACACACATTGTTCCTTTTCTTGCAGAGCTACAGTCTAGCAGAAGAAAGAGGCTATATTAGAGTCATGTTGGGCGTTACAAGAGTACATTGGCCCAGCACGGTGGCTCATGCCTGTAATCCCAACACTTTGGGAAGCTGAGGTGGGCTGATCACTTGAGATCAGGAGTTCAGGAACAGCCTGGGCAACGTGATGAAACCGTGTCTCTACAAAAAATAGAAAAATTACCTGGGTGTAGTGGCATGTGCCTGTGGTCCCAGCTACTCAGAAGGCTGAGGTGGAAGGATCACTTGAGTCTGGGAGGCAGAGGTTGTAGTGAGCCAGATTGGGCTACTGCACTCCAGCCTGGGCAATAGAGTGAGACCCTGCCTAAAAAATATATATCTATCTATCTAAACCAGGCGTGGTGGCTTATGCCTGTAATCCTAGCACTTTGGGAGGCCGAGGTGAGGATATCGTTTGAGGTCAGGAGTTTGAGACCAGCCTGGCTAACATGGTGAAAGCCCGTCTCCACTAAAAATACAAAAATTAGCCGGGCATGGTGGTGGGCATCTGTAATCCCAGATACTCAGGAAGCTGAGGCGGGAGAATCGCTTGAACCTGGGAGGCAGAGGTTGCAGTGAGCCGAGATTGCGCCACTGCAATCCAGCCTGGGCCACAGCGCAAGACTCGTCTCAACAAATTAAAATATTTTTTAAAAAGTATATACAGGTAGATAGATAGATATAATATATCATGAGGGGTGGACCTAACCTAGTCTAGATGGTCAGGAAGGACTCATCTAGGAATGATGTTTAAGTTAGGACCTAAAATTTGACTTGGAATTAGCCTGGAGGGAGGATGAGCGAGGGAAAAAGAATGTCCGGGAGAGCTGAACACCAAATGCAAAAGCCCAAAGGTAGTAAAGAATTCAAGGCATGTAAAGAACTAAAAATAAAAACAGAACTTTCAATTCAAAATAGCTGAGATCTTCCCCATGCCACTCTCAAAAATAACAATTGGGGGGAAATACACAGAAACACTCATTTCATTTTTCTTGAACTGAGACTCACCTCAAACCACAATGCCTGAAAATAGAAAATGGATAGAGGCTATTAAAGGACTTAGCAGATCCAAGGAAGGTCAAGCCTAAGTGCTTAGAGAAGAAGAAAACAAGGAGAAGCAAGGCACGTCTCCCTGAGGAGCCCTGGAAAGACTCAGGTATCAGAAGCAGTGACGTGCAGAGGGAAGTTAAAGGAAGGG
Source organism: Homo sapiens (assembly GCF_000001405.40). Lineage (NCBI taxonomy): Eukaryota > Metazoa > Chordata > Mammalia > Primates > Hominidae > Homo > Homo sapiens. The sequence continues at coordinate 36,432,636 of NC_000006.12, forward strand.
AGATAGATGGGAGAAATGTAGTGCTTCAAAAAGGACACTTGTTTGAAAATCTGTTTAAGAAGTAGTCAGGTCTCCCAGAGCCCCACCCTATCTAATGTAATCAAGCTATACTTTTACTTCCATAGGAAATGGGAAATGCCACCTCTGGAGAAAGTAAACTAAAGGAGTTACAGATAGGGGGACACTTGGCATAGATCAGAGTGAGAGTCAGACATATTACTGAAAAGAAAACACCCAGGCCTCTTCTCCTGCATAGATGTAGAACTTCATAACCAGGTTCTACTCTCTAGCAGGAAAAAAAAAAAAAGGTACTTCTTAGGGGAAAAAACCTGACATATTGGTGGCTCCCATAGAAAAAGCCTCCAGTGAATTCTTTCAATTGATAAGACTCAAGCATATACTTAGAATTTCCAATTAGCTTTTAGGACTTTATTCTTAAAATATAAATGTACAAAAATCATCGGATACTAGAGGAAAATCTGTAACATAAAAAAAATTCTAAACCTCAAGCATGGAGGAATCAGGGGGGAAAAGAATCACAGAAAACTGAGACAATGCAGGGAGCATAAAAATACTTCAAAGAAATTATATCATCAGAGAAATATGATATCCATGAAACAAGAACAGGATGCTAAAAGAAGAAACACTATAAGAATAAACAAGAGCAGCTGGAAATTACAAATACTATAATTAGAAATCTGTAAAAAATATATACATTGTGAAAGATAAAGACAAAAAAAGTGCTCCAAAAGAGAATGACCTTGGAGATTGTTATAATTCAGGAAAAGTCATGAGAAGATTCTACAAGAAAACTGCTCTGATGTCCTTAAGAAATCAGTGTCATGGGGGAACAAAATGGTAGGCAGATGGGGAAGGGCATTGCTCTACATGAAAAGAGGCTAGGCCGGGCACGGTGGTTCACGCCTGTAATCCCAGCATTTTGGGAGGCCGAGGCGGGTGGATCACGAGGTCAGCAGATCGAGACCATCCTGGCTAACATGATGAAACCTGTCTCTACCAAAAAATACAAAAAAAAAAAATTAGCCAGGCGTGGTGGCAGGCACCTGTAGTCTCAGCTTCTCGGGAGGCTGAGGCAGGAGAATGGCATGAACCTGGGAGGCAGAGATTGCGGTGAGCTCTGCACTCCACTGCACTCCAGCCTGGGTGACAGAACAAGACTCTGTCTCAGGAAAAAAAAAAAAAAAGAAAAGAAAAGAGGCTAAAGAGATAAGAAAGCCAAATGCAATTCTGAAGTGAGATGTCATATTGTCCGCCACTTACTTTCAAATAGTTCAGCAAAATAGATAAATATAAAAATAAAGAAAATATGAGAAAATGTTAACAACTGTTTAATCTATTATAAGTAGTGGATATACTAGTGTTGGCTGTATTTGTCTTAAACTTCCTTTATATTTGAAATTTTTCATAATAAATAGCCATAGAAATAAAGCAAATATTGGGAGCTCACTGCAGTGAGCTATGATCATGCCAGTGCACTCCAGCCTGGTTGACAGAGTAAGACCCTGTCTCTAAAAAAAAAGAAAAAGAAAAAGAAAAGAAACAAAGAAATGCAAAAAAACATCCCAGAACAAAAGGACATATGTCTCCAGGATGAAAAGGCCCAGCATGACGAATGGAAAAGACCTAAACCAATATATACACACACATCTTGGAATGTACACACACAGCAAAATGTTGGTGATTATTGCATCTAAGTAATGGGTATACTTGTTGAAATACTATACCCTCAACTTTTTATGTTTGAAATTTTTCATAATAAAAAAGTCAGGAGAGATCTAAAATTTAATAAAATTTTATGTTAATGTCTCTAAGAATTGTGGCCTATTTTGAAAAGCAATAAATAAATTAGTTGAATCCAACCAAATGAGGTAGCCATTATAGGTTCCAATCGTAATGGAACATTAATGACATAACTGAAATTCTCCTTAGTTTTGATGAAATAGTTGGGTGTATAAAGGCCAAATAAAATCAAATCTATACTTGTAATTTCCAAGAGAAGTTCGTTTATAAGAGAATCAATAATCATGCATATTTATAACATTATCAGGTCTACAATAGATGCTTAAGTACTTGAGAAGGTTTGTCAGTCAGACAATTCAGGTATATAAAGAAGAAATAAAATATTTGAAATGTCTGTGGTTTGAAAAGATTTGTCTTTAGTTAAGTGGCAAAAGCCCCTTTTCAATTGATTGCTAAAATTTGCTAGCCTTTTAACTAAAACAATAAAATGTATCAGCTGAAATGTTATAATTTTCTCTTTATGCCTCTTTTAACAGCTTAGGGAGATTAACTTTTCTGAAAGGTACTTTTATGTGATTGAAAATCACCCTTGAAGGTAATGAAAAACTCAATTGTCACAGAAGACAAATATGGACAATAAAAAAGATAAATTAGAGTATCTAGAAGTTACAATATCTGAATAATAAGAATTCCAGAAAAAAAAAAGAAAAAAGAAAAATTAGCAAAAGCTTTAGAGAAGAAATTATCAAAGAAACAAATGTGGCCAGGTGTGATGGCTCATGTCTTTAATCCCAGCATTTGGGAGGCTGAGGAGGGAAGATTGCTTCAGCCCAGAAGTTGGAGAACCCCATCTCTACAAAAAATTTTAAAAATTAACCAGGCCAGGTGCAATGGCTTACGCCTGTAATGCCAGCACTTCGAGAGGTCAAGGCAGGAGGATCGCTTGAGCCCAGAAGTTCAAGACCAGCCTGGCCAAGATAGGTAGACCCCCATCTCTACAAAAATTTTTTTTTTTTAATTAGCTGGACATGGTGCTCTGCTCCTGTAGTCCAGCTACTCAGGAGGCTGAGGCAGGAGGATACTTGAGCCCAGGAGTTCCAGGCCGCAGTGAGCTATGACCATGCCACTGCACTCTAGCCTGGGTGACAGAGTAAGACCCTGTCCCTAAGAAAAGAAAAGAAACAAACAAATGCAAGAAAACATCGCAGAACAAAAGAACAAAATATGTCTCCAGGATGAAAAGGCCCAGAACAACAAATGGAAAAGACCTAAACCAATATACACACACACATCTTGGAATTCATCAATGATAAACAGTAGATCCTAAAATCTTCCAGATTGAAAAAAATCAATTAAGAACAAACTTGATGGCACTATTGGAAGTTAGAAGACAGCAGAGCTTTCAAAATCCTGAGAGAAAATGTTTTCCAATCTAGACTGTACACCTACTCACACTAACAAACAAGTAAGACTAGAATAAACCCCCTTTTCCTGCAACATCTCAAAAAATTAACCTCCCTTGCATCAGGAAGCTAGTGGAGAAGGGAAGGGCTCTACCAAAAGAAAGGAGTAAGTCAACAGAGATGAAAGCAGGGATCCTGGAAAACAAGACTGTGCCATAAACTTTTTCAAAAAATAAACTGCTTAACAATGATTGGTTTTTAAATGATGTGCCTGGATTCATTTAATAAAAATTAATTAAAAAAAAAAGTAAGCCAAAAAAAAAAAAAAAAAAAGCCAGCATGATTGCAGAGTACTGAGTAAGTGGCACAAAATAAGAAAAGATACATAGGCAGGGGCCAAATCCTGCAGGGCTTTAGATTTTGTCCTAAAAAAAAAGTGAGAAACTCTTTAAGGAATTTAAACATAGGGATGACCTGATGGGATTTCTGTTTTAAAAGATCACTTTGGCTACTGGATGGAGGTGGTTTGGAAGCAGGCAAGAGACCACTGTAGTAATTCAATAATCCACTAGGACAGAAGCACTGGAGATGGAAAGGAGATAAATTTGAGATTTAGGAACTAGAATTGATTGATTAGAAAATGGGATGATAAGTAGAAAATAATCATGGATAATGCCAGGGTTTTGATGATTCCTTAAGTAAGTGGGTCATAGTGGCAGTTACTAAACCAGAGAGCACCAGCACGGAATTAACATTTTGCCTTGTTTGGTACTGGGTTGTATCTGGGGGAGGGATGCAATGGCAGGAAATGATGAGTTCAATTTTGGATATACTTAGTGTTTGAGGTATGTGAAAGTCATTCAAGTAAAGATGTTAAGTGGGCATTTGCCAATATGAATTTGGAGCTCAGAAGAGAGGTCAGGACTGGAAAAACAAATGTGAATCATTATCATAAGGAATATGAAAAATGCCATGTAAGTAAAAGGAACTCTCTTGTGTCCATTGGGAAATATTTATTAAATTCTTACTATGTGTCAGGCATCAAACTAGATGCAAGGTTACAACAGTGAACAAAAATTTCACAGTATGGGATATTTGATAAGTAGGCTTCAACTAGGGTGTACTAGTCTCTAGGGGGCATTGTTCAAAATTTTGGGGTGCAATTGTACAGTTACATTAATGTGAGGTTATATTCAAATATAGAGGCCAAGTGCAGTGGCTCATGCCTGTAATCCCAGCACTTTGGGAGGCTGAGGTGGGCGGATCACTTGAGGTTAGGAGTTCAAGACCAGCCTGGCCAACACGGTGAAACCCCTGTCTCTACTAAAAATACAAAAATTAGCCGGGCGTGGTGTCACGGGCCTATAATCCCAGCTACTTGGGAGGCTAAGGCAGGAGAATCGCTTGAACCTAGGAGGTGGAGGTTGCAGTGACCCGAGATTATACCACTGCACTCCAGCCTGAGCGACAGAGCGAGACTCCATCTCAAAACAAACAAACAAAACCAAAAAAAACCCAAATTTAATAGGTAGAGTCAGGTATGTCAGACCTCCTCCAATGCCTGTAAAGGTCCTGCCCTCCACAAAAAAATTGTCCTACATTCTGTATGTTGACTGTCCCTCTGGATATTCATGTAGGCAAAAAATCCAGTTATAATGATCTGAATCTAGAACTTGTCTGTTTCACATATAAACAAAAAATATTTTTTGTGTGGGTTTTTTTTTTTTTTTTGGAGATGGAGTCTTGCTCTGTCGCCCAGGCTGGAGTGCAATGGCGCGATCTCGGCTCACTGCAATCTCTGCCTCCTGGGTTCATGCCATTCTCCTGCCTCAGCCTCCTGAGTAGCTGGGACTACAGGCGCCCGCCACCATGCCTGGCTAATTTTTTAAAATATTTTTAGTAGAGACGGGGTTTCACCGTGTTAGCCAGGATGGTCTCGATCTCCTGACCTTGTGATCTGCCCTCCTCAGCCTCCCAATGTGCTGGGATTACAGGCGTGAGCCACCGTGCCCAGCCACTGCTTTTTTTTTTTTTTTTTTTTTTAGAGTCTTGCTCTGTCGTCCAGGCTGGAGTGCAGTGGCGCTATCTCGGCTCACTGCACACTCCACGTCCCGGGTTCAAGTGATTCTCCTACCTCAGCCTCCCGAGTAGCTGGGATTACAGGAACCTGCCACCACGCCCAGCTAATTTTTGTATTTTTAGTAGAGACGGGGTTTCACCATGTTGATCAGGCTGGTCTCGAACTCCTGACCTCAGGTGATCCACCTGCCTCGGCCTCCCAAAGTGCTGGGATTATAGGCGTGAGCCACCGAGCCCGGCCTATTAATGCTTTCTTATAAATGAGGCACATGTGTATCTTTTGTTGGAGTTTCAGTTGCTTTTGACCTGCCACTATTAACAATTTACCAGAATAATAAATTCTTTGTAAAATAATTTCACTTATTTTGCTAGTAATGTAGATTTGGGAATAATCTATTCTTTACCAGATCCCAATAAAATAAAACATATAATGACAAAGAGTAATATGGATATTTTACTGACTTTGTATTTTGGCAATGTTTCATGCCTCATTTGCCTGACAATTCATTGGATTAGTGCAACACTATGTTTTGTTGTTGTTGTTTGTTTGTTTTTTGTTTTTTGAGACTGAGTCTCGCTCTGTCGCCCAGGCTGGAGTGCAGTGGCGTGATCTTAGCTAACTGCAAGCTCCGCCTCCTGGGTTCACGCCATTCTCCCGCCTCAGCCTCCCGAGTACCGGGACTACAGGTGCCTGCCACCACGCCCGGCTAATTGTTTGTATTTTTAGTAGAGATGGGGTTTCACCGTGTTAGCCGGGATGGTCTTGATCTCCTGACCTCGTGATCCGCCCGCCTCGACCTCCCAAAGTGCTGGGATTACAGGCATGAGCCACTGCGCCCGGCAGGATTAGCGCAACACCATGTTTTAATGCAGTAAGTTCAGACTTACTTTTCCAAGTATGTTGAGCCCTCTTTATTTTCTGTATTTTCATGCTTGAGTTAATAAATTGCAAAGTTTCCCTCTTTTGTTTGCTTTGTTTTCCTTTATATACCATTTGTTGGAGGTTCTCTGTTTTTAAAGAGAGGGGGATGAAAAGTAAATTATCCCCTTGGGCTTGCGAAATAAAGTTTACCTATCTACTAAATAAATATCTCATAGCTTTCTGTGGTGGCTCAGTGGGTTATTGGAACTTTTTTTTTTTTGAGACGGAGTCTCGGTATCGCCCAGGTTGGAGCAGTGGTGCGATCCTGGCTCACTGCAACCTCCGCCTCCTGGGTTCAAGCAATTCTCCTGCCTCAGCCTCTCAAGTAGCTGGGATTACAGGCGCACCACCGCGCCCAGCTAATTTTTTGTATTTTTAGTAGAGACGGGGTTTCACCATGTTGGACAGGCTGGTCTCAAACTCCCGACCTCAGGTGATCCACCCGCCTTGGCCTCCCAAAGTACTGGGATTACAGGCGTCCGGCCTATTTTCTTTTCCAAATGCAGTTTATTTAAAACTCATATAAGGTGGCTGGGAGTGGTGGCTCACGCCTGTAATCCCAGCACTTTGGGAGGCGGAGGCGGGTGGATCATCTGAGGTCAGGAGTTGGAGAAGAGCCTGGCCAACCTGGTGAAACCCCATCTCTACTAAAAATAAAAAAAATTAGCTGGGCATAATGGCGCATGCCTGTAATCCCAGTTACTTGGGAGGCTGAGGTAGGATAATCGCTTGAATCCGGGAGGTGGAGGTAGCAGTGAACAGAGATCACGCCATTGCACTCAAGCCTGGGCGACAGAGGGAGACTCCATCTCAAAACAACAACAACAACACTCATATAAGGCTGAAAAAAAAAAAAAAAAAACAACTAAGCATTCTCAGTATTAGGTTCAAGAATGAGACTTGTGTGTTCATAAACAAGAGGTCATGTGAGCTGCCAGAGCCAGTACATGGGATACGAAGGCCAGAGCCTGTTTGTAAACCATTAACAGGAATAACAAGAGATAAACATTATCAGTTTACACCCAGCCTCCGCCGAAACCCAGCGTAACACATTTCCACATTTCCTGACTCCCCTATCCTGACTCCCCACAGGATTCTGAGACCAGCCTGGGCAATATAGTGAGACTTCCTCTCTACAAATTAAAAAATTAGCTTGGGGTGGTGGCCTGCACCTGTAGTCCTAGCTACTCAGGAGGCTGAGGTGGGAGGATCACTTGAGCCCAGGAGGTTGAGGTTGCAGTGAGCCATGATCCCACCACTGCACTCCAGCCTGAGTGACAGGGCAAGACTCTGTCTCAGAAAACAAAAGAAAACGAACATTTAGCAAATTTAATTATTCGAGAGAGACAGTTCAAAATCTAGGGATTTTTGGTTTGTTTTTATATTTACTACATAAGCTTAGTCGGTAGAAATGAGGATTAGCTTTTTGTATGACAATTTACAATAGCTATTATTTAAAAAATATTTTTATTCTTAAGAGTCAACCTTGACCGGGCGTGGTGGCTTGCGCCTGTAATCCCAGCACTTTGGGATGCCGAGGCGGGTGGATCACGAGGTCAGGAGATCGAGACCATCTTGGCTAACATGGTGAAACCCCATCTCTACTAAAAATACAAAAAATTAGCCGGGCACAGTGGCGGGCGCCTGTAGTCCCAGCTACTCGAGAGGCTGAGGCAGGAGAATGGCGTGAACCTGGGAGGGGGATTAAGTCCAGAAGATCGAGGCTGCAGTGAGTGGTGATCACCCAGCCTGAGCAACAAAGGGAGACACTGTCTCAAAAAAAAAAAAAGAAGAAGGTTTTGGTTTCAGATACAAATAAATATCAGAGACTCGGGGTCTTGAGATACCTACATTAAATTAGAAATAAAATGATAAAAACCAGCAAACACCTATGCTTTCTGTGAATATACATTTCTCATATCCCGTCTCCTTGATGTCTGCCCAAAAAAGGTACCCAGTCTGATATGCTGTTCATTATATGAAATTTTAGCCAAAAGTTGAACCATTAACTATTAAAAGTCATGTTATCACTTATTTATTTTGGATGATGGATAACGGGTGTTTATTATATCTTTCTGTATGCTTTAATTTCCAAAATGAAAGTGTTTAAAAAATAATAATAAGACTCGGTAGTTAGCCTGATTCTCCAAACTTCAGGCCAGATTTTTGTATACCACAAATCTGCAGCCAGTGCAGTGGCTCATGCCTGTAATCCCCAAACTTAGGGAGGCAGAAGCAGGAGGATAGCTTGAGCCTAGGAGTTCAAGACCTGCCTGGGCAACAGAATAAGAACTCCATTCTCCACAAAAAGAAAAAAAAAAAAAAAAAGAAAGACAATATACAAATCTACGGGAAGGAATCTTTCCAGAAAGGAAGAATTTGTTTCAAGAACTGTTTTGCAGGAATATCAGAAGGTTTTTTATTTTTCTTTGACTCAAAGGCTGTAACACTGTACTTTATAAAAATGGAAATAAAGGCATTAGTTTGAACAATCCTCTATGCTGCTACTGTTGTAAAGTTTGGAGCCTATAACTCACTCAAATTGGTTTATAGCCATGTGTTTACTAAATCTTTTTTCATATTCCTTTTCTCCAGGCATACAGGAATTTATATCTCACAGCCTTCTTAGAGTCAGTCAGGTTGAGCCTGGTGACTAGTTCAGGACAGTGAAACGTCAGCAGAAGTGAAAAGGCCACTCACTTCTGGCAGAGGCAAAGGAGAGCCCTTACAGGATTCTCCAATCTAGCTCTTCTGCCAGCCCGGAAGTGCTGGGAGGGCAGAGCCACTGACGCAAGCAGCAGGGAAGCTGAGTCACCATGGGGACGTGAGACTGACTTACAGATGACGAGTGCAGCCTCACAGCCTAGTCCATGTTGAGATAAACACAATACAGTCCTGCATACTTTATAGTCATAAACGAGGGAGAATAGAAATGGAAAATGACCCTCTAGGCCTCTAAGACCAAATTATAATGAAAAAATTTATGTCTTCAGTTTTGAAAATTAAATTTTTTGACCCTGATAAAACAAATTTGCTATACAAGTATCCGTTAACCGTGTGAAACCTACTGAGTCAAACTATTTTCTTACATTCCTTCCACTTCAACACCAATTCTAATCCAATTCCAAATTAGTTTTCAGAGAGTCTCTTGTAAGGAAAAGGAGAATCGACTTCGAATTTTAAAATTTGTGCTATTATTAGTTTATAGAGCTTTCAACAATTTACAAATAGTTTGCATAATCAGTATATTTAATTAGTATATATAGACATATATATATATATTTGAGAGGGAACTTCACTGCAACCTCCCAGTTGCCTCCTGGGTTCAAGTGATTCTCCTGCCTCAGCCTCCCAAACAGCTAGGGTTATAGGCGCCCACCACCACGCCCGGCTAATTTTTGTATTTTTAGCAGAGACAGGGTTTCATCATGTTGGCCAGGCTGGTCTGGAATGCCCAACCTCAGGTGATCTGCCCGCCTCGGCCTCCCAAAGTGCAAGGATTACAGGCGTGAGCCACCAAGCCCGGCCTAGTGTAATTTTTAAAAGTACAAAAGCCACTAGAAACCGTGACAATAAGAACTTCCTTTTGGGTTTTCCAGCATTTGGTTCATAGGACATGGACCATATATAGATGTTTTTTGAATGCTGAAATCTTTTACTCATAACACAGTTTTCCCAGTAACTTGCTTCCGGTTGATTTAAAATTTGTAATACACCTTTGTAATAGCAGGTACCTTCATGAAACTCAGTATTTGAGAAAAATGTGGAGTTTTTCCCCCTTTCTTTTGGCCAGAATGTATATCCAGGGTAGTGACTTTCGAGCAAATGCGTTTAAGCAACTCCAGTATTCTTACTACGCTACCTCCAACCTCGCTCCACGCATGGGGAGATCAGGGTTCCACATTTTCGGGTAAGCATTAGCCGTCCTGGCGCTGCACGAGCGTATTCTACAATTCCGAAAACTACTAACTTTTCCGTCTGCAACCTTTAATAATTGAGAGGGTATGCGCAACTCAGAAAAGTGCGCCCGCTGAGGTTGGGTGCAGAGTGGACTGGAGGAAAGGCGACACCCATTTACGGTGCGGCCCCGGACGGGGTCCCCAGACACGGCCTTCCCGGCGTGCCACGCGCGGAGGGGACTCTTAACGTGAAGCGCTGGGTGACTCAGCCGCGTGGCCGCGCGGTCCGGGGCGGGGGGCGCGCGCCGCTGCGGCACAGCCGGTCCCGGCTGCGGCTTCTGGCTGCGCGGCCTGCGCGCGCCTCCCGGGCGGATTCCAGCCCCGAGCGGGACAGCGCGGCGGGGAGCGACGAGTAAGTGGCGGCGCGGTACGGTTTCGGGCGCGAAGACCGGGCAGGGAGAGTGTGGCGGCGGGCGTGGCCCGAGTCTTCCCTTTGTGGCCGAGGGGGCGTCTCCTCCGGACGCGGCGGCGGTTCGGACCCCCGAGTCGAAAGGCCGCGGGGCTGAGCTGGGCGCGAGGAACCTGTGGGCAGCGGCTTGATGGGCTCCTGTTTCCGCGCGGAGGGCAGAGTCTGGTGATCCTGGGGAGGGAGGCGACGCTGCGCCCAGGTGGTGGGCACAGCTGAAGTGTAACTTGACTGCTTGACTGCTTTTTGCAGGCCTCGGGTGGTTCATCCCGCCGGAGAGGAATGGCGAGAACCTGGAGTGTTGACTGGCAAAACATTTGCAGACGCGGTTTTTCTGGCAATTAATTGGCTCCATTAAAAATTAGGTAGTTGGTGGGGACTTCCTCCTGAACTCTGGAGCCGAGCGCATTTTGCTCGGTCTTTTCAGCCCTGTTTCCGCGTCTTCCTTCCCTGCCACCCGCAAATTGCCAGCTTTCATCCGTGGCTCTGAGTGCAAAAGAGCTGGGGAAAGCCTTAACCAGCAATTTTCTTTTAAATAAAACTTTGCTTTTTATAGCAGTGTCTTCAGGTTTAGAAGCCCAGTTCTGCACTATGAGAAAACTCTTCTATTTTGGAGTTTGTGATTCTTTCTGAAAATTCCTCAGTTGAAGAGATTTATTTTTAAATAAGAATCTAGTGAACAAACTAACATGATAAACAAGGCTGTGAAGGAACTGTTTAACCAGCTTATGAAAATATGTCCCAGAGTCCTTAGTTTTGTTCCTGTTCGCTGTGCGAGAAGTTGAGGTAGTTTTTTAATGGTCTTCAAAACAAAGTGTTGTAGTAGTGTCTGTCGGATGTGATGAATCCAGAGTCAGAGGACTTCCGCTCAAGGCCCCCACCTGAAACCCCAATTCCTAGGCCATAGTTCTGAAACAGAAGATTGTTCCTTAGTAATAAGGTTGCAGTACCCTAGCACCTCTTCCATAAATTTGATTCTAGAGATTTGTGATGGGTCCCTGAGTCTGGGATTTAAGCAAGCACCTGCACTCTTGGTCTGTTACTGATGATCCAGGGACCGACCACACGTTGACAGACACCACCTTTAGGCTGGGCTGGGAATTTTAAAAACTGCCCAACAGCCTTAACCCTTTGTCGATGTTTTCCTCCCCTGCCCTAAACCAGTCGTAGGACAAGAAGCCCTGACTCTCCAGAAGCCAATATGAGAAAAGATAGTGCTTTTTTTGACCCTGACACGGGGTAGGAAATGATTTTCATGCATATTCCGATATTGCTCTGATGGTTTAGAGATAGCCCATTAATCTTTTCCTTCTGAGGGCTGCTTCTAGTATCATCAGAGCTTAATGCCATTAGGCCAAATCTCCTCCGCCCAGCTCACTCAAGTCTCCCCATGGAACCAGGGCAGCCAATGCCATATAATTCCCATGGCCTTGACTGTCATATTATCTGGTATGTAGCAGTACTAGTAGCATTATGAGGGCTTTCAGTTCAGCTGGACGTTAATTTAGTCATCAAATACCTGCGTAATGCCTATTTTCCTCAAAGCACTGTAGTAGGCTGTTTTATCAACAGCATTGCAATATAGACACATATTTCTGGCACAGAGTTGCATTCCTCCTTTGAGGCAGAAATGAGGGCTGGATAAACTCCACTGCTGCCAAAAGGTTCTCTTTATTCATCCACAATTTGTTCCTTCCTGTTATGCCAGAAATACACGTACTATTCCAATAATCTCGTTTTCCTTAAGAAGTTAAGAAATACATTGTATTAGGCCTAACTGTAGTAGTTAGGTCAGTCTTAAATTCTGTAACAGAAGCCGGGCGTGGTGGCTCATGCCTGTAATCCCAGCAATTTGGGAAGCCGAGGCAGATGGATCACCTGAGGTCAGGAGTTTCAGACCAGCCTGGCCAACCTGGTGAAACCCTGTCTCTACTAAAAATACAAAAATAAGCCAGGCATGGTGGTGGGCACCTGTAATCCCAGCTACACGGGAGGCTGAGGCCGGAGAATCACTTGAATCCGGGAGGCAGAGGTTGCAGTGAGCCGAGATCGCGCCATTGTACTCCAGCCTGGGCAACAGAGTGAGACTCCGTCTCAAAAAAAAAAAAAAAAAAAAATCTGTAACAGAGACATCTAGTAACTTTGGTAAGGACAATAATACACGCATTTTTATATTTATTATTCCCCCTTCAAATAGATGTGTAGAGATGAGGTTAGAATTAGGCCATGTGTTTCTGTGACTTTTTTCCTCTCTTTGGTGTCTGATTTATCTTATTGAATCTTTTTCTGTTGATTCATAAAATGTCATGTCTTTCCTTCTGTAGCCCTGAGCTTCCTGATTGTTGTGTCTTCCTCTGGCCTTCAATCTGATCTTCCTGCCCCTCTTTGGCTAAGTGGAGTGAAATATTGAGGGGAATTGTTAGAATACCACATGATTTTTAGTTGGAAGATCCAGAGTCTTAGATATATGAGGCTTAGAGATATAAAGGAGCTTATTACAAATTTATCAAATGCAATCCTCTCAGATAAAGAATCTGAGAGATGAGATTGCAGAGTGAGGACTTCTGGCTCCTAGCCCAGTGTTCTTCCCACCAAATTAAATGCTTCAAAAGTAGAAAAGGTCCAGAGAAATTATAAGTAGATGGAGAAAAATGGAGAGACTTTCATATGACTACAAAAGCAATATTATCTTATCTGGAAAAATGGAGATTGAAGGAGGATATGATGTAACCATATAAATCATAAAAAGTGGGAGTACTAATAATAAGGAACTCTTTGAAGCTTGAAATAAGTAGTGAAAGGACAAATAAGAGCAAGAGATAGCTATCTTGTAAAGCCCCAGAAATGTTATGAACTCAGTTTTTTTTTTTTTTCTTTTGAGACAGAGTTTCGCTCTTGTTGCCCAGGCTGGAGTGCAATGGCGTGATCTCGGCTCACTGCAACCTCTGCCTCCTGGGTTCAAGCGATTCTCCTGCCTCAGCCTCCCGAGTAGCTGGGATTACAGGCGCCCGCTACCATGCCCGGCTAATTTTTTGTATTTTTAGTTGGGACGGGATTTCACCATGTTGGTCAGGCTGGTCTCGAACTCCTGACCTCAGGTGATCCGCCCACCTGGGACTCCCAAAGTGCTGGGATTACAGGTTTGAGCCACCATGCCAGGCCTGAACTCAGTATTTTTAAAAAAATATTAAATAAAGGCTTAGATAACTACTTTGGTGATTTTTAAAATATGTTAAATGCTTGAGCAATGCCCAGAATCTTTGGAAGTTGTCATCAAGAATATAACTATTGTCCTTATCAAACTTATTAGGTACCTCTGTGATAGAATTTAAGACTGATGGCTAGGTGTGGTGGCTTACGCCTGTAATCCCAGCACTTTGGGAGGTCAAGGGAGGAGGATTTCTTTAGCCCAGAAGTTCCAGACCATCCTGGGCAACACAGGGAGACCCTGTCTGTATTATTTTAAAAATTAAAAAACGAACAAAGAATTTAAGACTCATCTAACTACTAACCTCATCCAATGTGATATTTCTTAATGGAAAATGAGATTATTGGGAATAGTACATGTATTTCTGGAATAGTAGGAAGGAAAGAATTACGGATGAAGAAAGAGGGCCTTTTGATGTTTTAGCTTGGAATCCCCAAATTAAACACTGTAGGATTGATTGCTCTTATATATTCCTGAAAGTAGTAGAAATAAAAATAGTAATGGCTTAATAATTAGTATACGTTCTATACCAGCCACTTACTAAATGGTTTTACATCATTGTCCCATTTAATTATCTCCATTCTATAGATAAAGACTCTAAGACACAAGAGATTAAGTTTGCCTCAAATAATATACCTAATAAGTGGCTGAGCCTGTAGTAAAGTAAGTCCATTTGACTTCAAAGCCATTAAAATATATGCTCAAGAGTGTCCTAGTTATATTTCATTGGGAAGTGGTTAAGAATGTGGGTTGTGGAGTCAGTGTTGCCTGGGTTCAAATCCTGACTCCTCCATTTACTAGGTTGGATAAAGTACTTTATCAGTTTCTGTCTCTGAAATAGACAATAATAGTACCTACCTATCCCAGGATTTTTAGGATTGAGTTAATTCATGTAAAGTTCATAGAACTGTGCCTCACAAACTGTAAGTTTTCAGGAAATGCTGGCCATTAATGTTTTCAAAAATATTTTTAGGCTGGGCAGGATGGCTCAAGCCTGTAATCCCAGCACTTTGAGAGGCTGAGGTGGGTGGATCATTTGAGGCTAGGAGTTTGAGACCATCCTGGCCAACATGGTGAAACCCCCGTCTCTACTAAAAATTCAGAAAATTAGCTGGGCATGTTGGCATGCGACTGTAAGCCCAGTTACTGGGGAGGTTGAGGCATAAGCATTGCTTGAATCTGGGAGGCAGAGATTTCAGTGAGCCAAGATCGCACCACTGCACTCCAGTCTAGGCAACAGAGCGAGACTCTGTCTCAAAAAAAAAAAGAAAAAAATATAAAATTTTTGATATACTATTGTGCTTAGAAAGGAAGACATATTTATAATTTATTTCATGGTGGGTGCTGTAGCTCACACCTATAATCCCAGCACTTTGGGAGGCTGACATGGGCACATCGCTTGAGCCCAGGAGTTCGAGATCAGGCTAAGCAACATGGCACGACTCTGTCTCTACAAAAAATATAAAAATGAGCCAGGTGTGGTGGTGTGCGCCTTTAATCCTAGCTACTCTGGAGGCCAGGGCAGGTGGATCGATTGAACCCAGAAGGTGGAGGTTGCAGTGAACTGAGATCGTGCCACTGCATTCCAGCCTGGGTGACAGAGCACGATCCTGTCTCCAAAATATATGTGTATGTGTGTGTGTATATATATATATATATATATATATTTGAAATACTGAGGTTTTATGATAAGTATAAAGTAAGCTTTATCTCTGCCCTTACTAAAACAGGAACATTACTAAAATTTTGGAAGGCATTGGAATGTAGTAGAAAGGTCCATGATCCAGGTCAGATGATTTGCTTCTAGTTGTCGCTGTCACTGCTAGCTCTGTGATTCTAGGTTCAAAATTTCTGTTTTACACAGAAGGTTGTGAGGATCAAATGAACTAACAAATAGGAATGAAATTTGAATTTTATATGCTATACAAATGTAAAATACCATTTTAAAAATTATGGAGGAAAGTTACAATGAATTATTGTTGCATAGATTATTGAAAGTTCAATTTCCTTAGAATAAAACAGGTAGTAACTTACACCTCTATGTGAAGATCACAGTACATATCTTAAAATTATCTAAGACACCCTCCATGTGTTTGTCTCAAATCTCTTTTTTACAGGGAGAACGTGAAATTTAATTTTTGCAGTTGTATCTGTGTATTGGTTTGCTAAGGCTGCCAAAGCAAAGGACCACTGTCTGGGTGGTTTGAACAACAGAAATCTATTTTCTCACAATTTTGGAAGCTAGAAGGCCAAGATGGTGTCAGGAGGGTTTGTTTTCTTCTGAGGCCTCTGTTTGACTTGTAGATGGCCATTTTCTTCTCCCTGTGTCTTTGTGTCCGGAATTTATTCCTTCCAGTGGGTTCTTGGTCTCACTGACTTCAAGAATGAAGCCGCGGAGCCTCGCGGTGAGTGTTACAATTCTTAAAGATGGTGTGTCCAGAGTTTGTTCCTTCACATGTTCAGATGTGTCTGGAGTTTCTTCCTTCCAGTGGGTTCGTGGTCTTGCTGACTTCAGGAGTGAAGCCGCAGACCTTCTCAGTGAGTGTTACAGCTCTTAAAGGTGGCGTGTCTGGAGTTGTTTGTTCCTCCCGGTGGGTTCGTGGTCTTGCTGACTTCAGGAGTGAAGCTGCAGACCTTTGCAGTGAGTGTTACAGCTCATAAAGTTAGTGCAGACCCAAAGAATGAGCAGCAGCAAGACTTATTGTGAGGAGCGAAAGAATAAAGCTTCCACAGTGTGGAAGGGGTTCTGAGCGGGCTGCTGCTGCTGGCTCAGGTGGCCAGCATTTAGTCCCTTATTTGGCCCTGTCCGTGTCCTGCTGATTGGTCCATTTTACAGAGTGCTGATTGGTCCATTTACAAACCTTTAGCTAGACACAGAGCGCTGATTGGTGCGTTTTTACGGAGTGCTGATTGGTGCATTTATAAACCTTTAGCTAGACACAGAGCACTGATTGGTGCGTTTTTACAGAGTGCTGATTGGTGCATTTACAAACCTTTAGCTAGACACAGAGCGCTGATTGATAGACACAGAGCGCTGATTCATGCGTTTTTACATAGTGCTGATTGGTGCGTTTACAATCCTTTAGCTAGACACAGAGTGCTGATTGGTGTGTTTTTACAGAGTGCTGATTGGTGCATTTATAATCCTTTAGCTAGACACAGAGCACTGATTGGTGCGTTTACAATCCTTTAGCTAGGCAGAAAAGTTCTCCAATTGCGTTTACAATCCTTTAGGCAGAAAAGTTCTCCAAGTCCCCACTCGACCCAGGAAGTCCAGCTGGCTTCACCTCTCATCTTCACATTGTCATCCCTCTGTTTATGTGTTCTACTCGCCCCATTTTGAGGACTCCAGACATATTGGATTAGGGCCCACCTTAATGACTTCGTTTAAAAGGCACTGTCTCCAAATACAGGCACATTCTGAGGACTAGGGGTTAGGGCTTCACATATGAATTTTGAGGGAGACACAGTTCAGCCCCGACAATCTGTTTAAGAAGTTATGTGTTGGTGGCCGGGCGCGGTGGCTCACGCCTGTAATCCCAGCACTTTGGGAGGCTGAGGCGGGCGGATCACAAGGTCAGGAGATCGAGACCATCATGGCTAACATGGTGAAACTCCGTCTGTACTAAAAATATAAAAAATTAGCTGGGCGTGGTTGCAGGCGCCTGTAGTCCCAGCTACTTGGGAGGCTGAGGCAGGAGAATGGCGTGAACCCAGGAGGCGGAGCTTGCAGTGAGCCGAGATTGCGCCACTGCACTCCAGCCTGGGCAACAGAGTGAGACTCCGTCCTAAAAAAAAAAAAAAAAAAAAAAAAAAAGAAGTTATGTATTGGGGCCGGGTGCAATGGCTCCTGCGTGTAATCCCAACACTTTGGGAGGTGGAGGCAGGTGGATCATCTGAGGTCAGGAGTTTGAGACCAGCGTGGCCAACATGACGAAACCCTGTCTCTACTAAAAATACAAAAATTAGCTGGGCACGATGGCACGTGCTTGTAATCCCAACTACTCGGGAGGCTGAGGTAGGAGAATCGCTTGAACCTGGGAGGCAGAGGTTGCAGTGAGCTGAGATTGTGCCACTGCACTCCAGCCTGGGTGACAGAGTGAGACTCTGTCTCAAAAAAAAAAAAAAGAAAGGTTATGTGTTGGGTAATCTGAATGCTCGTTTCCTTCATCACTATGTCCTACGCCATGAGGCCCAGGCAGCATTCTTTTTCACGTGACTGGCTTTACCTGTTCTTCAGAACCATGCTTACTTTTGTATACCCTGAGAAGCATATTATGCCTCTGTATAAATCATTGTGTTATGTTATATTTAAGATTATCCTGTTAGCCTACTGAATAATGTGCTTGAAAAACTATTCCATACATTAACTTAAATTCCTAATTCATCTATTAAGCTCATTTCTTCTTTAATCTAGATGGAAGAATGTCAAACTATTTTATGTGATAATATATTGTTTTCTGATTAAACTTTAAAAATTTTCTCTTAAACTGTTTCAAGCAGTTTTAAAAATTTATTTTATCTTATTTTACTTTTTAAGAGTTAGAAGTCTTGCTGTGTTGCCCAGGCTGAAGCATAGTAGCTATTCACAGTCTTGATCCCACTACTGATCAGCACAGGAGTTTTGACTTGCCTGTTTCCAGCCTGGGTCAGTTCTCCCCTCCTTAGGCATCCTGGTGGATCCCTGCTCCTGGGAGGTCACCATTGATGCTAAATTTGGTGCAGACACCTGATTGACATAGCGCACTACAGCCCAGAACTTCTGGGCTCAAGTGATCCTCCCACCTCAGCCTCCTAAGTAGCTGGGGCTACAATAGTGTGCCATGGAACCTAGTTACAAGCAGTTTTTAAGAAACCATTCCAATGATTCCAATGTTTTCTTGAGAAGGTATCTGTTTTTAGAGATACATTTTCATTTTTCCTTATTTTAAAGATAATAACACATTCATTTTAGAGACTTTAGAATATTCAGTAAGACAATAACTTTTTAAAAGAAAAGTCACGTGATTCTACAGTTAAGGGAGAATAATCTTTTCCATCTTTTTTCTGTGGATACATTTATTGTTTCAACTTGCCTTTTAAAAATCTAATATATCAATACTATTTCACACTATTTCAGTTATTTTCTTTTCTGAAATAAGGTCTTGCTCTGTCACCCAGGATGAGGTGTAGTGGCAAGATTTCAGCTCACTGCAGCTTTGACCTCCGGGCTTAAGCAGTCCTCCCACGTCAGCCTTGCCCAAGTAGTTGGGACTACAGGTATGTGCCACCACACCCAGCTAATTTTTTTATTTTTTGTAGAAACGAGGTCTCACTGTGTTGTCCAGTTTTGTCTTGAACTCCTGGGCTCAAGCGATCCTCCTGCCTTGGCCTCCCAAAGTGTTAGGATTACAGGCATAAACTGCTGCACCTGGCCCTATTTTAGTTATTTTCAAACAGATTTCTATTTATTTATTTAGAGACAGAGTCTCACTCTGTCACCCAGGCAGTGCAGTAGTGCAGTCTCAGCTCACTGCAACCTCCTCCTCCCCGGTTCAAGTGCTTTTCATGCCTCAGCCTCCTGAGTAGCTGGAATTACAGGTACACACCACCATGCCCAGCTAATTTTTGTATTTTTAGTAGAGACAGGGTTTCGCCATGTTGACCGGGCTGGTCTCAAACTCCTGACTTCAAGTGATCTGCCCACCTTGGCCTCCCAAAGTGCTGGGATTACAGGTGTGAGTCAATGTGCCTGGCCTATTTTTTTAATTGGTGAATCATATGAATTGATTTTTGAATGTTAAACCAATCTTTGCCATAATGTATTATCCTTTTTTATGTGGCTGAATTTGATTTTCTCATAATTTGTTTAGGATTTTTGTGATTATGTTCATGAGAAAGTTTGATATAATTTCTTCGTTAAAAGTGTGGGAAAATTTGCTAGTCAAGCCATTGGATTCTGGAAAAGTTTTAATTATCAATTAAATTTCTTTACTAGATATAGGACTTTGCAGATTTTCTAATTTTTCTAAGTCAGTTTCAATAAATTATAGAATATTCATTTAATCTGCAAATTCTAATTTACTGGCATAAATTGTACAAAATAACTGCTCATCTTTTTAGTCTCATGGGATGTGTACTGATAGTCTTTTTTCATCTGTGATCATTGTAGTGTGCATCTTCATTTTCTTTTTTTTTTTTTTTTTTTTAGATGAAGTCTCACTCTGTTGCCCAAGCTGCAGTGCAATGTCGCTATCTTGGCTTACTGCAACCTCCGCTTCCCGAAGCGATTCTACTGCCCCAGCCTCCTGAGTAGCTGGGACTACAGGTGTACACCATGACACCTGGCTAATTTTTGTATTTTTAGTAGAGATGGGGTTTCACTATGTTGGCCAGGCTGGTCTTGAACTCCTGACCTCGTGATCCGCCCGCGTCAGTCTCCCGAAGTGCTGGGATTACAGGCGTGAGCCACCGCGCCCAGCCTTATTTTCTTTTTAAAACAACTTCACTGAGAGAGAATTCACATAACATACAATTCACTCATATAAAGTATAGAGTTGAGTGGTTTAGTATATTCAAAGTTGTGCAGACATTACCACCATTATTTCTTTCTTGATCAGTTTTTAGGGCTTATCAGTTTTCTTAGCTTTTTTTTTTTTTTTTTTTTTTTTTGGATACAGGGTCTCACTCTGTTGCCCTGGCTGGAGTGCAGTGGCGCGATCTTGGCTCACGGCAACCTCCGCCTCCCAGGCTCAAGCAATTTGAGTGCCTCAGCCTCCCAAGTAGCTGGGATTACAGACGCGTGCCACTACTGCCTGGCTAATTTTTTTTGTATTATTAGTAGAGACAGGGTCTCACCATGTTGGCCAGGCTGGTCTTGAACTCCTGACCTCAAGTGATCCACCCGCCTTGGCCTCCCAAACTGCTGGGATTACAGGCGTGAGCCACCACCCCCAGCCTTTTGTTTTATTTTGTTTTGTTTTCTTAAAGCCAACTTTTGGCTTTATTGATTTTTCTCAGTTGAGCTTGTGTTTTCTTTTACATTAATTTCTGCCCTTATTTCTTTCCTTATATATTCTTTAGGATTAATAAGCTATTATTTTCCTGCCTTGAGAAAGATACTTTGATTATTGTTTTTCATTCTTTTCTAATGTTTTGTTTTTTGTTTTTTTTTTTTTTGAGACGGAGTTTTGCTCTTGTTGCCCAGGCTGAAGTGCAATGGTGTGATCTTGGCCCACCGCAACCTCTGCCTCCTGGGTTCAAGCGATTCTCCTGCCTCAGCCTCCCCAGTAGCTGGGATTACAGGCATGCACCACCACACCTGCCAATTTTGTATTTTTAGTAGAGACGTTTCTTGATGTTGGTCAGGCTGGTCTCAAACTCCTGACCTCAGGTGATCCGCCCGCCTTGGCCTCCCAAAGTGCTGGGATTACAGATATGAGCCACTGTGCCCGGCCTCTAATATATGTTTTAAAGCTATAAATTTTCCTTTGTGCCTGGAGTTAGGCTTATTTAACAAGTTCGCATATGTTGTATTCATTCAGTTCAAAATATTTTCTCCATTTCATTGTGTTCTGTTTTTGGTCCAAGGTTATTCAGAAGTGTGTTGCTTAATTTTCCAACATTTGAGGATATTTTGTTTTTGTCATTGATTTTTAACTTAATTCCACTGTGTTCAGAGAACATAACTATTCTTTCAATCTTTTGAAATGTATTGAGACTTACTATGTAGCCTGAATGTGGTCAGTTCTGATTAATTTTTCAAGTGTACTTGCAAAAGAATTACTCTGCAATTGGGTGCAAATTTGGTTAATTTATGAATGATGTTATTCAAACCTTCTATATGAGCAGTGGACAAACTACCTCCTGCTGCCTTTTTTGTACACAAAGTTTTATTAGAACACAGCCATGCTTACTCATTTACAAATTGTCTATGACTGCTTTTGCTCTATAATAGTATGGCCCACAAGACCTAAAATATTTACTTTATGGCTCTTTTTTTTTTTTGAGATGGAGTCTCGCTCTGTCGCCCAGGCTGGAGTGCAGTGGCGTGATCTCAGCTCACTGCAACCTCCACCTCCCGGGTTCAAGCAATTCTCCTGCCTCAGCCTCCTGAGTAGCTGGGACTACAGATGCATGCCACCACACCCGGCTAATTTTTGTGATTTTAGTAGAGATGGGGTTTCACCATATTGGTCAGGCTTGTCTCGAACTCCTGATTTCAGGTGATGCACCCAGCTGGGCCTCCCAAAGTGCTGGGATTACAGGCGTGAGCCACTGTGCCCAGCCTTTTTTTTTTTTCTTGAGTCGGAGTCTTGCTCTGTTCCGCAGGCTGGAGTGCAGTGACACAATCTCAGCTCACTGCAACCTCCGCCGCCGGGTTCAAGCAGTTCTCCCGCCTCAGTCTCCCAAGTACCTGGGACTACAGGCACCCACCTGCCTGTAGTCATGCCTGGCTAATTTTCATATTTCTGTAGAATTGGGGTTTCACCATGTTGTTGGCCAGGCTGGTCTTGAACTCCTGACCTCAGGTGATCCGCCCATCTTGGCCTCCCAAAGTGCTAGGATTACAGGCATGAGCCACCGTGCCCGGCCTACTTTATGGCTCTTTACCAGAAAAGTTTGCCACCCATTCTACAGTGTTACTTTTAGGCTCCCAATGGAAAACCTGGGGTATTTCACAGGATCCTTCCTCCTCTGCAGACCCATTCCAGTTTTTGTCTCTCCAGCATCTTGATGCTGACAAAAGCTCTGCTTAACTTCTCAACTTTTGGGCCAGGCACAGTGGCTTACGCCTGTAATCCCAGCACTTTGGGAGGCTGAGGTGGGCGGATCACCTGAGGTCAGGAGTTTGAGACCAGCCTGGCCAACACAGTGAAACCCTGCCGCTACTAAAAATACAAAAATTAGCTGGGTGTGGTGGCAGGTGTCTGTAGTCCCAGCCACTCAGGAGGCCGAGGCAGGATAATCGCTTTAACCTGAGTGGCAGAGGTTGCAGTGAGCCAAGATCATGCCACTGCACTCCAGCCTGGGCGACAGAGCAAGACTCCGTCTAAAAACAAAAACAGAACAAACAAAAAAACTTCTCAACTTTTTAGCTGCTGCTTTCTACTTAGCTTTATAGCCTTTTGGTAGCTGCTTCCAAATTGGCAAATATCTGGAGGAGAAAAGTGGTACAGAGTGTTGGGCTTAACTTATTTGCTTTCTCTATTAGCGTTCCACCAAAGAAAATAGAACCAGTAGTGTGTGTGTGTGTGTGTGTGTGTGTTCACACACATACATATTAGGCTATTTATTGCAAAGAATTGGTTCACACTATGTTGGGGACTAGCTAGGCAAGTCTGAAACCCGTAAGACAGGTTGCAGCCAGGAGGGACAGGCAGGACCTCTAGGATAGGAGCAAAAGCTACAGTCTGCAGGCAGAATTTCTTCTTCCTCAGAGAAGTTTGTGTTCTGCCCTTAAAGCAACTGATTGGATCAGGCCCACCCAGATTATCTAGGATAATCTTCCTTACTTAAAGTAAGTAACTATAGACTGTAATTGTATCTACCAAATACCTTGACAGCAACACCTGTATTAGTGTTTGAATAACGGGACTGTAGCCTAGCCAAGTTGATACATAAAATTGACCATCACATCTTCTCTGTAGGAATTCACTTCTTGAGTCTTGGCCACTTCACTAGTTGTCTGATGCCTTCAAACAGATGTTTTTTTTCTGTTTTACTCAGCTTTTCTGAGCGCTCTCCAGTAGGAGGTTTATTCTGGTAGAAACTTGCCCATTGGTAGCAGTAGAAATCCCAGTGTTCTAGAAAATGTTCTGAGGCCAGGTACAGTAGCTCACACCTGTAATCCCAGCACTTTGGGAGGCCAAGGCAGGAGGATTGCTTGAGACCAGCCTGGGCAACATAGCAAGACCCCATCGCTAAAAAATTAGCTTTTTTTTGAGACGGAGTCTTGTTCTGTCACCCAGGCTGGAGTGCAGTGGCGCAATCTTGGCTCACTGCAACCTCTGCCTCCCGGGTTCAAGCGATTCTCCTGCCTCAGACTCCCAAGTAGCCAGGATTACAGGCGCCCGTCACCACATCCAGCTAATTTTTGTATTTTTAGTAGAGACAGGGTTTCACCATGTTGGCCAGGCTGGTCTCGAACTCCTGACCTTAGATGATCCGCCCACCTTGGCCTCCCAGAGTGTTGGGATTACAGGCCTGAGCCACCACGCCCAGGCTTTTTTTTTTTTTTTTTTTTTTTTTAAGAGCTGGGATCTTGCTCTGTTATCCACGGTGGCATATAGTGGTGCTATCACAGCTCACTGCAGTTTTGACCTCCTGAGCTCAAATGACCTTCCTGCCTCAGCCTCCTGAGTAGCTGAGACTACAAGTGTGCACAACCATGCCTGGAAAAAAGAGATGGTAAAGAGCCTGTGGAGCCTGTAACCCACTCCTGAGTAGCTGGGACTACAGGTGTGCAAAACCACGTCTGGAAAAAAGAGATGGTAAAGAGATGGCGGTCTTGGTGTGTTGTCCAGGCTAGTCTCATGCAATCCTCCTCTCATGCAAACCTTGGCCTCTCAAGTAGCTGGGACTACAGGCATATGCCACCATGCCTGGCTAATTTTTTTGTATTTCTTTTTGTGGAGACGGGGTTTTGCCATGTGGCCCAGCCTGGTACTCCTGGTCTCAAGTGATCCACCTGCCTCGGCCTCCCAAAGTGCTCGGATTACAGGTGTGAGCCACCGTGCCCGGCCTAATTTTTTATTTTTTGGAGAGATGGGGGTCTCACTGTGTTGCCAAGGCTGGTCTCAAATTCCTGGGCTCAAGCAGTCCTCCCACCTTGGCTTCCTAAAGTACAGGGATTGCATGTGAGCCATTGTGGGCTGTATGCTATTCCTGAATTAATGAAGATACTATTTAATCCTTTAAATCACTTATCTGATGCTTTTCAGAGATTCCCACATTACTTGCCTCGGTCATATTGTGGATTTTAGAATTGGAATGGTTTCTTGTAATTTTACCAATACTGAGCATTAAAGAAGGCCTTGCTATTTTTAAGTCTGTATCCTAATCAAATGTTGAGGCCGGGTACGGGGACTCACGCCTATAATTCCAATGCTTTGGGAGGCCCAGGTGGGATGATTGCTTGAGCCCACAAGTTAGAGACCAGTTTAGGCAACATAGTGAGACTCCTATCTCTACTTAAAATAGAATTAAAAAATTAGCTGGGCATGGTTGTGCATACCTGTAATACCAGCTACTTGGGAGGCTGAGGCAGGAGGATTGCTTGAGCCCAGGAGTTGGAGACTACAGTGAGTCATGATCTGCCACTGCAAAAATGTCAAGAAGTCTGGAAACAGTGTTAAATGCAAAACTGTGGCAAGAATTATAGATTTAATATGCTAATCAAAGAAGGGAAATTTATGGTACTTGTCTTTAATATTTAAAGGGTTGGAAGTGATGGAAGG
The DNA here is from genome assembly GCF_000001405.40 of Homo sapiens. Taxonomy (NCBI): domain Eukaryota; kingdom Metazoa; phylum Chordata; class Mammalia; order Primates; family Hominidae; genus Homo; species Homo sapiens. The sequence goes on from NC_000006.12 coordinate 36,457,812, forward strand.
ATATGTTTTTCCGGGGGTAGGATTAAACTAGTGCATGGAAGTCACAGTGGGTGTAATAGATTATTTTTGGATATTTTTAGGTAGACTGGGATGAACTAGTAGAGGTGTTTTGTAGTCTTGGGTGGAAGGTTTGAGATCCCAGATTTTGAGGTTCATGATTGGTAAAATTGTGGCGGTGGGTGATTGGGAGACCATCATAAGGTTGCTGGCATTTTATTTTGTCATGTAAGGGCATTAAAAAAATCTAGCCTTCTTTTTTGAGACAGGGTCTTGCTCTGTTGCCCAGGCAGGAAGGCAGTAGCATGATCATGGCTCACTGCAGTCTCAACCTTCTGGACTCAAGCAGTCCTCCCATCTCAGCCTCCTGAGTAGCTGGGACCACAGGCATGAGCCACCATGGCCAGCTAATTTTTTTTTATTTTTATTTTTGTAGAGAAAGGTCTAGGCCGGGTGCGGTGGCTCATGCCTGTAATCCCAGCATTTTTGGGAGGCCGAGGTGGGCGGATCACCTGAGGTCGAGAGTTTGAGACCAGCCTGACCAACATGGAGAAACCCCGTCTCTACTAAAAATACAAAAAAATTAGCCGGGCGTGGTGGTGCATGTCTGTAATCCTAGCTACTCAGGAGGCTAAGGCAGGAGAATTGCTTGAACCTGGGAGGCAGAGGTTGCAGTGAGCCAAGAGCGTGCTACTGCACTCCACCCTGGGCAACAAGAGCAAAACTCCATCTCAAAAAAAAAAAAAAAAAAAGAAAAGAAAGAAAGGTCTGGCTATGTTGCCCAGGCTGGTCTTGAACTCCTGGGCTCAAGTGATCCTCCTGCCTTGGCCTCCCAAAGTGCTGGGATTACAGGCGTGAGCCACTGTGTCTGGATTATTACATTTTTAAAGAAGGCATTTTTGGCCAAGTGAGGTGGCCATGCCTGTAATCCCAACACTTTGGGAGACCAAGGCGGAAGGATGGCTTGATCCCAGGAGCTTGAGACTGGCCTGGGCAACATAGTGAGACCCTGTCTCTACAGAATAATTTAAAAAGGGGAAAAAAAAATTAGCCAGGCATGGTGGCATGTATCTGTGGTTCCAGCTACTTGGGAGGCTGAAGTGGGAGGATTGCTTGAGCCTGGGAGTCCAAGTCTGTTTTTTCTTTTTTTTATACTGACCACTATACTAATGAGGAAAAAAAATACATTTTTAATATTAAAAAAGAAGTAAAGATGGCTGGGCACCGTGGCCCACGCCTGTAATCCCAGCACTTTGGGAGGCCGAGGTGGGTGGATCACTTGATATCAAGGTCAAGAGTTTGAGACCAGCCTGGCCAACGTGGTGAAACCCCATCTCTACTAAAAATACAAAAATTAGCCAGGGCTGGTGGCACGTGCCCATAATCCCAGCTACTCGGGAGGCTGAGGCAGGAGAATCGCTTGAACTCGGAGGCAGAGGTTGTAGTGAGCTGAGATCATGCCACTGCACTCCAGCCTGGGCAACAGAGCGAGACTCCGTCTCAAAAAAAAAGAAAAAGAAGATATCATTTAGGTACAAAGGATAGCCCTTCCCAAGGAAGCCTTACACTATATACCATAATTTTTCACTTCATATTTTAACATTTTTAAAATCAGGATGCATCTGAAAATTCTATTTAATACAATAGTGCTGCTTTTTCTTAAAAAGTTTTTAGATTGATGATGTCTTAGCGTCAAGTGTCTTAGGACTCAGAAAATGGTGTGTGGGTTACATTATCTACATTGGCCTAATTTTTGACAAGACTGCATGAAAACTTTTGACAGCAATTGGTGCTGGTCCTTGAACTAGATGACCTTTACACTGTTTTCTGACAGTGATTTGTGGATTGTTTATAAACATGAATTTTCTACATGTTAGCTCTGTTACTACAGTACTTTTGACAGCAATTGGTGCTGGTCCTTGAACTAGATGACCTTTATACTGTTTTCTGACAGTGATTTGTGGATTGTTTATAACATGAATTTTCTACATGTTAGCTCTGTTACTATAGTACTGATTTATGGATCTGTCCTCTAAAGCCTTCAACTCTTTTCTTGCTATATAAATGCTTAGCTCTTTTCTATAAAATAGTCAACTGTATTTACTAATATACTTTTAATTTTTTAATTGCACTGCTTTAAAAAATGTTATTACTAAAAGTATATCCCTTGGATTTCCTAGAAGTTTGTCTTTAAATTATTCTTTACAGCCTATGCAGTTGTTCCTTTAGAGAGTTTTAGGTAATAGCCAAGTAGAGGAGTATCCTGGACACTGAAGACCTTACCCTGGAAATTCTATTATATGTTGACCAGCTTTTTTGTAGGAGTCGTGAGCTTTCTTTGACCTATTATGTGCCTTGGATTGTTCTCCTTAAGGTTTCATTAGAATGACCTTAACTAGTTAAGTTCAATCAAAAGAGGAAGCACCCCACATGGAAATTATAGAATTCCATCTAACCAGTATTTAGGTAATAAAGTTGAAAGAAGTTACAGCAGAATTAGATCTCTCTTTTTTTTTCCCGAGACTGAGCCTGTAGCCCAGGCTGGAGTGCAGTGGAATGATCTCAGCTCAGTGCAACCTCCACCTCACAGATTCCAGCGATTCTCCTGCCTCGGCCTCCCGAGTAGTTAGAACTACAGGTGCCCACCATCACACCCAGCTAATTTTTTGTATTTTTAATAGAGACGGGGTTTCACCATGTTGGCCAGGCTGGTTTCGAACTGCTGACCTCAAGTGATCCGCCCACCTCAGCCTCCCAAAGTGTTGGGATTACAGGCGTGAGCCACCGCACCCAGCCTCACAATTAGAACTTAATTTGAACTCAGATTGTAAAATCAACCCCCATCTGGAGGTATTTGATTTAGAGGCTCTGTTGTAGCAATTATTTAAAGAGGAAAGGTGCTAGATGTGCCCATTATCAGCACAGGAAGATTATATGTCCTAGCCCCCGGTCTTCAGCTTGAAATCACATTTCCAGTCCTGTAAAACATACATAGAAATTTTGAAGTGATTTATACCTATAAGGAGCAGCGGCACTGCATGGTGGTAAACAGCATGGACTATGAAGCCAGAAGTCTGGCTCCACTGCTTGTTAGCTGTGTGACTGTGGGAACTTTCCTTAACCTCCTTCTTCCTTCAGTTTTCTTATGTGTAAAATGAGGGTAACAATGGCATCTACCTCATAAAGTTTTTTGAGTATTAAATAATATTTATAAAGTACTTAAATAATATATAGTGCATGATATGTGTTAAATCAATTAAGTTTAAGTCCATCTGGACTTAGGATGTAATGTTTGCAGTAATTTGACATATGAAAGAATCCAGCAGATTAATTTGTGATTCTCATTTAAGATATGTTCTTGAGTAATTTGGTTTAGATTTGATTATTAGTTGAAGAATGCTAGAAAACTTTGCTAAGTTTGAAAAGTGTTGTAATATTTAGGACCTTTTTATGTATACTATACTTATAAGTTTAATTTTTTAAACATCTACCAGAACTTTTTTAAAAAAGTACTTAAGGATTTGCTTGGTAGGCATTTGAAGTGCTAACACAGGAAAAGAGCATCTATTAAACTAAATGTAGTGAAGATGTTTGATGGGAATGCCAAATTTAGGGGATTCATGTTTTATATTTAAACTGGAGGTGGGTACAAGAGTTTTTATTATATGGTTCTTTAAATCTTTTTATATGTAGTACATTAATATTTTTAAATTAGGTAATTAGGCTGATACAGTTATAAAAAAACTAAGGGTCTTTAGACTGTTAATATACTGAATTTAAGGTCTTAATGTAAATCCAAGTAACTCACATAGCCTTTTATGTGCACAAAAGCTGTCTTTCAACGTTAAGTTATATTGACAAAAAAGTACTGTAACTCATATAGTCTTTTATGTAAGTTAAAAGCTGTCTTTCATCTAAGTTATATTGACAAAAACGTACTAAGGGTAGTAAGTTAGGAGTGTCAAATAGAGGAGACAGGAAAATTTATCCAAGCAATTCTAATCTTGTCACCCTGTCATTGTACTTTTATCTGTCAGCTTGTTAGCCTGGCCTGTGATTTGTAGAGAAGGAGGAAGGAAAAGGGAAGTGGAATCAGAGGAGTACGAGCTTTCCTGTGGAATTGTAATGCCTTCTTCTCTCCTGCTTCTCATTATGATTTTCTTCCAAGTAGAAATGAGGAGCAGAAATAGTCCTGTCCACAGATATCCTTTGAATTTTCTGCCTTGCCAAGCTTGTGTAGTTTTTTGCCTTAAATTCTATTTTGTAGGCTATTAATATAGCTTCACCAACTCTCTTTTGGGTATCTGCCCCTTTTCCATCCTTCACCATTTTTCTGTTGTGTTAGTTTCATGTATTTTCATAACCCTTGTGGAGTATGATGATAACAACCCTTCGTAGTCTGTTACATATATAGTTTTTCAAGTCTGTTGTCTTTGTTTATAGGATCCTTTGCCATACAAATGTTTTTAAATGTTTTGTGGTCAGATTTGTCTTTCTCATTTCGCTTTTGGGTTTTGGGTCTTGATTAAAAAGGCCTCCCAACCCCTAGATTGTAATCTCCTGTAACATTCTTGGAAAAGAATATTGTTGTGATTCAGCTTCTCATCTATGAAATGAAAAGACTATACTGAAACAGTAGTTCCCAAACATCGCCAGTCAGTGGGAGATCACTTGAGGAGCGTGTTACAAGTTCAGATTCTCCAGACCCAACTAAAGACTTATTGAATAAGAATCTCTGGGGAATGGGGCCCAAGAAGATGTTTTAACAAGTTCCTCTAAGTGATTCTGATTATCAGCTGGATTTGAGAACCATTGGACAATATGATCACTGAGGTCTCTTCTGATTCTAAAATATCATTTCTGTATTATGTAACTCTTAAATAATACATTATCTCAACAACTAGATTGTAAGCTCTTTGAAGGTAAGCAAGACTGTGTCTTAGGTAATACCCTTTTCTTCGCTGTCAGCCCACTAAGATACTTACTACCTCACTCCTAGACAATTTTAGTAACCTTCTCTTATAGCCCCTCCAGTCTGTCTGTGGTCTTATTTATCTTAAAGCAACATTTTGAACATGACACCTTCCTGCAGAAGCTTTGGCTACAAGACAGAATCCTATTTTACCTTATAATCTAAGTGCCTCTGTAAACTAGCCCCAACTTTTTGTCTTTAGCTTTACCCAAGGGAGTGTGTACAATTATCTAAGCTGTGCTTTATACAGCTCCTTAGATGATGATGTGCATGGTCTTCCCTGGAATTGTATGATATGGTGGTAACCTTGACTTTTCCCACCCTTTTGCATTAATCCTTCACTCTAGCCTGATTGGTTTACTTTCTTTCTCTTTCATATGGTAATAAAGCCTTGTTTATTCTTATTTTCCTGCCAGTTATTTGTCATTCATCTTGCCTGGAATGCCCTTTTTCCCTTTTCTGTATCTAATCTCTCCATATTAATAGCTACACAGTGGAGTATTATGCAGACATAATAAAGAATGAGGAATATGTGTATGAACTCCCATGGAGTGATTTCCAGGATATACTGTTAAGTAATATAACAAGGTACAAAATATGGTATTTTATTTGGTAGAATATGGTATTCTATCTTTTGTATAAGAGAAAAAAGGAGTTAAGAATATATGTATATGTACACACATACTTCCTTATGTCTGCAAAGAGAAACATTAAAGATAAACTAACAAAACCAATGCTATGGTTTGAATGTATATGTCCCTCCAAAATTGTTGTGTTGGAACTTAAACCCCCAAGGTGATACCATTAAGAGGGGAGGCCTTTAGGAGGTGATTAGGCCTTATAAAAGGGAATTGAAGGAACCTAGCTAGCCCTTCTCCTTCCATCATGTGAGGACGCCTGGATGCCATCATCTTTGAGGAACAGCCCTCACCAGATACCCAATTTGCCAGCACCCTAATCTTGCTTGGATTTCTCAGCCTCCAGAACTGTGAGAAAAGAAATTTCTGTTCTTTATGAATTACCCAGTCTCAGGCATTTTGTTTATAGCAGCACAAATGGACTAAGACAACTGGTTATCTGTAGGGAATAAATAGGAACAGATTGAGAGGGAAAAAGGGGAAGGACAGAGACTTCTCTGAACATTCCTTTTTTATGAGTCTTCAACTTCGGAACCATGTAAATGTTTTACATATTCAGGAAATACATTTTAAAAATAATGGGAAAATGCTATGATTGAATAAAAAGAGAAACAAAAGAACCTACCTTACAGAACATATAGAGAAAAAATACACAGTAACTTTTGAATATAGCATGCTGACTGTACATCCTTAGTGGGATATGCTTTAAGGACAAAAAGAACTGCTCCCTTGACCAAAACACCTAAACTTAGTAGGTTTATTGTTACTAGTAATTTGACATTATAATTCTGAAACTAGTCTATGAACCAAGAATTTCAATGTGAAGGAAAAGATACACTAATATAAAATGAGTTAGGAAAAACCAGTATTAAATTTGAACTGAAAACATCAGTATAAACTCTATTTATGAATGAATGAGAGAGACTGGGTCTTGCTCTGTCATGGGTTGGAGTGCAATGGCATGATAATGGGTTACTACAGCCTTGACCTCCCAGGCTCAAGTGATCCTCCTTCCACAGCCTCCTGAGCAGCTGGGACAACAAGTGTACACCATCACACACCAGCTAATTTCTTATCTTTTGTAGAGACTCAGTACTTTCGGAATATGATAGCCTCTTACTGTGAGTTCATAATAGTCCTAGAAGGAGGTCTTGTAGACATTTTAGATTTTCCCCATCCCCCTCTGTTTCCCCTCCCCCAAACTTCATCCCATTTTAACCTATTCCCAGAAATTCTGGGTGTCACCAGAGAGCATTATGTGCAGCAAAACAGAAAACCTGCTTAACAGAAAACATTAGCAGAGTTCTCATTAGCATGCATAAAGAAAAAGCACAATGGAACTAGACCAAGTGGTTTTCACATAAGAACAGACTGGAAGGGCTAGGATTTTTCAGTTTGGAATGAAGGTTTGGCAAAGATATAACTACTTCTTAAGTTTGATTATGGGATATGGGTTAAGGGCAGATTAGCTTATTTACCAAATTCTGTGGCATCCTACTTCATTTTCACCTCCCACCTCCTACACAGAGTGGAGATACGGTCCTAAGTATAAACAAGGGTACTGCCTTTTGAAAGATCATGTCCTTGCACTATTAACGGTATGAAATGGTGGCTCACGCCTGTAATCCCAGCACTTTGGGAGGCCAAGGTGGGTGGATCATGAGGTCAGGAGATCAAGACCATCCTAGCCAACATGATGAAACCCCGTCTGCACTAAAAATACAAAAATTAGCCGGGCGTGATGGTGCATGCCTGTAATCCCAGTTACTCAGGAGGCTGAGGCAGGAGAATTGCTTGAACCCGGGAGGCAGAGGTTGCAGTGAGCTGGGATCGTACCACTGCACTCCAGCCTGGGCAAGAAGGGTGAGATTCCGTCTCAAAAAAAAAAAAAAAAACAGTATGCAAGCATTATGCTTTTGAGATACATCAATATTATTGCCCCCATGCCATTCCAATTAGTTTTTTTTTGTTTTTTTTTTTTTTAATCTGAGTAGTTCAATGGTAGGATATTGAATTTATTTAAGGGAATAGTGATCTAGGTAAATATCTTGTTTTCTTCAGAAATAATTGATTAGGAGAAATTGCAAATAAGAAAATATATAAATTTATTATCTACAGGCTGTTGTGTGGATTCATACTCAAGATGATTGTTCTAGAGAGAAACCAGTACATTCTTTTTTAGGTGCAAGGAATATGTAGAGATAATTCCACTATCAAAGACTGTATATACATTTTCCAAGATGGGGAGATGATGGTGATAAAACTATTTTGCTGTTCCAGGTCAGTAAAATCAAGACTTAACAAAATATGGGCCTTCATGGGAGGCCTGTGAAATAAATAATAAAATATATACTCTTAAAATATATAGCTCCTCAGAGTGTATAAAATGCTTTCACAGAATGTATGGAAGTGAAGCATGAACTGGCTTGCTGGATGTTTTCTTTGCTTCACAGCTGTATATTCTGGGTTCCATTATTAATATACATTTTAACTCTTGCTGCCTTTCCAAAGCAGTCTCTTCAGTTACTGTTAAGCTATAACAGGGTGGTGAACCTCTGGTTCTTGCACATTGCTGTGACCTTCAGAGTTGTGTTGACCAAAAAATAGTTTTGCAGCAATAGAGAATTATATTGTTGTTGAAGTGTTTTGTTTCTTTTCTTTTTTTTTTTTTTGAGATGGAGTCTCTCTCTGTCACCCAGGCTGGGGTGCTCTAAGCTCACTGCAATCTCCGCCTCCTGGGTTCAAGCAATTCTCCTGCCTCAGCCTCCCGAGTAGCTGGGACTACAGGTGCACACCACCACACCCAGCTAATTTTTGTATTTTTAGTAGAGACGGGGTTTCACCATGTTGGCCAGGATGGTCTCGATCTCCTAACCTCAGGTGATCCGCCCACCTCAGCCTCCCAAAGGGCTGGGATGACAGGCATGAGCCACTGGGCCTGGCTGTGTTTTGCTGCTTTTTTTCTCTTTTTTTTTTTTTTTGAAACAGGGTCTTGCTCTGCTGCTCAGGCTGGAGTGCAGTGGTACAATCACAGCTCACTACAGCCTCGACCTCCTGGGCTTAAATCATCCTCCCGCCTCAGCTTCCCAAGTAGCTGGGACTACAGGCATGCACCACCATGTCTGGCTAATTTTTAAATTTTTTTTAGAGATGAGATCTTACTATATTACCCAGGCTGGTCTTGAACTCTCAGGCTCAAGAGATCCTCCTGCCTTGGCCTCCCAAAGTTCTGAGACTACAGGTGTGAGCCACTGCGCCTTGCCTTTTTTTCTTTCCTTTTTTTTTTCCCCGCCTTCAATCTGTTCTGAGGACGAAGATTCATTTGGGGGATGGCTACAGAAGTGAACCAGGGTAGGCAATGAAAATATCATTCAAAGTTGAATGAAGCGTCCATGCTGGAAGGGGAATAGAACCTTACTATTATATTTAAACTGCCTGCTCTGGTTTGTTGAAGAACTTGGTATCAGTTTGCTTCTTAGGTTTCATAAGTCAAGAGATTTTTGTTCCATCATTCTGGGATTTTAGAGGAAATAGAGTTTATAGGGGACTTTGGGAAATGCTGGGTTCGGTGATATCTGAAAGTATGTGCCATTAAACATTAATCCTGGGCTGGGTGTGGTCGTGCACACCTGTAATCCCAGCACTTTAGGAGGCCGAAGCGGGTGGATCACCTGAGGTCAGGAGTTTGAGACCAGCCTGGCCAACATGGTGAAACCCCGTGTCTACTAAAAATACAAAAATTAGCAGGGCGTGGTGGTGGGTGCCTGTAATCCCAGCTACTTGGGAGGCTGAGGCAGGAGAGTCGCTTGAACCCAGGAGGTGGAGGTTGCAGTGAGCTGAGATGGTGCCATTGCACTCCAGCCTGGGCAACAAGTGAAAGACTCCGAAAATCCTTCAGGATTTTTTTTTTTTTTTTTTTTTTTTTTTTTTTTTTTTTTGAGACGGAGTTTCGCACTTTCGCCCAGGCTGGAGTGCAATGGCGCCATCTCTGCTCACTGCAACCTCCACCTCCCAGGTTCATGCCATTCTCCTGCCTCAGCCTCCCGAGTAGCTGGGACTACAGGCGCCCCCACCACGCCCGGGTAATTTTTGTATTTTTAATAGAGACGGGGTTTCACCGTGTTAGCCAGGATGGTCTCGATCTCCTGACCTCGTGATCCGCCCGCCCCAGCCTCCCAGAGTGCTGGGATTACAGGTGTGAGCCACCGTGCCTGGCTCTGAAGGATTTCTTGAAAAAAGAAATTCTGAAGCCAAATCCATTTGGGAAAACTCTGCAAACTGAATCCTCTCTTGGAGTTCCATAGTACGCTCTGATCTTACTCGTCAAAGCATTTGTTTGTTATAAACAACTTAAATATTGATAGGGAGGAGAGTAAAATTGTATTAATAGAATATTATACAGCCCTTAAAAATGAATGAACTAGATCTCAATCTTCAATCATGGATGGTTCTCAAGAACATTTAGAAAAACATTACAGAATGAGAATGAGGCATATAGTATATAATTTGTGTGTTTTTTAAAAACTGTATGCTTTCCCCAGTATATCTGAATAATAAACATGCATTTTAATAAAGTCTGAAAGGATTCATCCAAGCAAGTAATGATAGTTACTTGGAGAAATGACTGGGATTAGGAATGATGATCAAAAGGTCCTTTTTTGCATTATCTATAAGGTTTGAATTTTCTTAGGAATATATTTGTGTATTACTTATAATAAAAATTAATTAAATGCAAATACCTGTTAAGTGCTGAGAAAGTTACTTTATTTTCCCTCCGTGGTGATACCTACCCTGCTAAACTCCAAGTACATCCATTTATTAGTTCACCATATACAAATTAAACTGATTTTGGAGCCCTGGTTTTATAAACTAGGACATTTTTTATACCATGATAACAAAACGATTTTCTTACATTATGAAGATTAAATTAAGTGGCTTATACAGTCTAGTCCATACAAGTTCTCAAGAAGCAGGCTCAGTCAAGCTTATTGTGTGTTGGTTCAAGAGATCTTTTCGAGTGCAACAAAGAGAAGTTTGAACTTGGTTCTTGAGCAGCTGGAGGAGCTGTAAATAGATTGGAATATTATGGTTCAAAACCAGTTAAGATTAAAGAAGCAGACCGTCTTTGGTAATGTTCTTTCCAATTCCATGGACCTTGTTCTTTATCTTATTCTGTAGACTTGATTTTGACATCTGAGCCACACTTGAAGGCATTGGTGGTTCTGTTTGACTTTACCAATCACCAAACATCAATTTTAAATGGCTGCATTTTCATAATATAAATACTTTATTTTTAAGAAAGGATAATTGTGAAAAAAGCTGTAGTCACATTGAAGGTTTTCTATCAATACATTCACTTTATTCCTTCAATTTGCTTAATAAGAGCCATTGTCTGAGAAAGATTTCATCAATTGAAAGTATCTCTTTAGCATGATTTATTTTCAGGCATATTCCTCTATCCATCCTATCAAAGTGGTCATTTTTACATTTCATCTAAGTGAAAACTTGGATCAGGGCATAAACTGATCAATTTTATGCTAAAAATATTTTAATATATGTTATGAAGGGATTCAAAATTTCATTTACATTACAGATATTATGTTTATTTTTTATAGATGTTTATTGGCACCTACCACATGCTTGGTATGCCAGGAAATTCAGAGTATTAAAATGCATTACTGCCCTTAGTGAGCTTCCTGTTTCCTAAAATATTAAGCATGTAATCCATATGCATACAAATTACTGGTGATTTAAGATGATTCTTCCACCAGAATGCCAGTGGAAATTTGTACAGTGTAAACTGTGAAAGTGCTAAGTAGAGTGAACTTCAGAAATATTTTGAGTAGCCGCCATCGAGGATGGAAGGGTTGCAGGGCGTGATTAACCAGCAGAAAGTTATGAGGCCCCCTGTGTGGCTGCTGTGGCATCTCCATCCTGCCTCATCACTGGGGGTCTTGCACGTGGCAGTCACATAGTGTGTGTTGTTCATGGGGACTCTGCACTGCTTTCGAGAGAGATGAATGACATGATTAGCTTTATAGCCAGTGTGATTTTGAGGTGGGGTTTCGGGATTGAGCATAAGGTATACAAAGTGAAAGAGAGAAAAGGGGAGATAAAAAGGAGAACTTGAGCTCTACAATCAGAATTAGCTTTTTTCTTCAGCTCAGATGATTCTCACACTGGCTTTAAGGTTGTGATTGTTTTTTAATTTCCTGGTGCTTAATTGTTGCAACAGTGTATGTGTCAATTTTAAAAAAACATAGGTTTTCTTTAGTTGAAAAGTTGGACTCTCTGCTGCCCTATGTCTCTGTAATATGAATACCACAAAATTATTGTACCACCATTTAATGTAGAATTGATCAAGAATGTGACCAAAGTCAGTGAATTTGATGTCTGTTCATGGATAAAATTATTCCCTGGTAACAAGTTTATCTGCATTCTTAGTAATTTGATAAAGACCATTTAAATCAGCCTGATTCCTATCGATATAAAAATCACAAAAATGTTTAAGATGCCTATTTCTCCTGAGAACAGGAATGCTAGCTGTCAGTTTTCTAGTTTTGCTTTCATACCATGGAATTCCTTAGAAATCTGTTTTGTGAGTTCTAAATCATGCATATTCCTGTGTTCCAGGATTTCTCTCTGATCAAACGGACAGTTCAGGACTCAGAATCTAAGGATGAATGTTCACCGTGGCAGTGACAGTGACAGGTTATTGCGGCAGGAGGCCAGCTGCTTAGTGGATGATACTTTAGCTGTAGCCCAAGAAAAAGAAGCAAACAGCCTGGCTTCATCTGGTCCTCATAATCTTACTTATCCTCTAGGTCCCAGGAATGAAGGTACAGTGATTAACTCTTGACTTAATTTGGGGGGCTTTCCAATACTAGAGCATCTACTCTACCCAGAAGGCATGAATGTTTTTAATCTAAATAAATTATCCAATTAATTGCTTAGCTTGCATGTCACAATTACATAAAGCTGACCTTCACAGAAACTCTCCACTTATTTAATCAGTCTAGCACATCTAATATGGTGATAATGGTATTAAAACAAACAAACAAAAACAGCCACAGGTTTGGAGTCAGAAGACATATTCAACTTCTAGCTCAGCTGCTTATTAGTTGTAACCATGGATGAGATCCTCAGTCTTTCTGAGCCCTGCTTTTTCTTTACTTTATTTTTTATTTTTATTTTTATTTTTTGAGATGGGGTCTCACTCTTCACCCAGGTTGGAGTGCAGTGGCGCGATCTTGGCTCACTGCAGCTCTGCCTCCCAGGCTCAAGTGAGCCTCTCACCTCAGCCTCACGAGTTGCTGGGACCACAGGTGGGTACCACCACACCCAGCTAACTTTTTATATTTTTGGTAGAGACAGGGTTTCACTATTTTGCCAAGGCTGGCAAGCCTCACTTTCTTAATCTAGAAAACAAGGCTATTAATATTCTTCCTAGGCCCGGCACGGTGGCTCACGCCTATAATCCCAGCACTTTGGGAGGCCAAAGCAGGTGGATCACTTGAGGTCAGGACTTCAAGACCTGCCTGGCCAATGTGGCGAAACCCCCATCTCTACTAAAAATACAAAAATTAGCCGGGCGTGGTGGCAGATGCCTGTAATCTCAGCTACTTGGGAGTATGAGGCACAAGAATCGCTTGAACCTGGTAGGCGGAGGTTGCAGTGAGCCAAGATCACACCACTGCGCTCCAGCCTGGGCAAGAGAGGGAGACTGTGTCTCAAAAAAAAAAAAAAAAATTCTCCCTACCTCACAAGGCTAGTAGATTAACAAATTAATAGATGTGAAAGATCCCGATAAACTGAAATTCTTTTTAACTTTTAATTAAAACAATAGCACCAATAATAGCAACTACCATTTATCGAACATTCACTGTACTAGGAACTTTACATACATTCTTTAGATCAGGGGTGGCAAACTGGTCAAATCTGTCTACCTGTTTTTGTAAATAAAATTTTAATGAAACAGCCATCATGTCCATATTGTCTATGGCTGCCTTCCTGCTACAGTAGTGGCAGAGACTGACCACAAGCCTAAAATATTTACTTTGTAGCGCTTTATGGAAAATTTGCTGACTCTACTCCAGATTAGTCCTTACAACTATTATCCTTGTTTTACAGATGAGGAAACTGAGGCTTAGAAAGCTTAGGTAACTTGCTCAGGTTCACATTGCTAGGAGGTAGTGAGCTGAGATGATTTCTATATGTGTATTAACTGACAGAAAAGCCTATGACTGCCGCTGAAGAGTACACCATTAGGGAGAACTTGTGCAAGGAGTCTGTTTTCCTACTCGCCCATTTAAGCAGGATAGAACCTGAGGTGTCTTCTTTGGGTTTCGGAATAAACCCATTTTAATTGCTTCATTATTGGGGAGAAATCAAGCATTCTAAAGAACTGAATTAGTAATTCTGGTATCTATTTCTTTTTTTTTTTTTTTTTAGACGGAGCCTCGCTCTGTTGCCCAGGCTGGAGTGCGGTGGCGCGATCTCGGCTCACTGCAAGCTCCGCCTCCCGGGTTCACGCTATTCTCCTGCCTCAGCCTCCCAAGTAGCTGGGACTACAGGCACCTGCCACCATGCCCGGCTAATTTTTTATATTTTTAGTAGAGACAGGGTTTCACTGTGTTAGCCAGGATGGTCTCGATCTCCTGACCTCATGATCCGCCCGCCTCGGCCTTCCAAAGTGCTGGGACTACAGGCGTGAGCCACGGCGCCCGGCCCAGGTATCTATTTCGTTTTTAATAAACAGCACCTCACGTGTGAAAGCCTATCCTGGTGATCAAAGTGGGTTGCCTGTGGGTTACCTGGTGATTGCCTGTGAGTTACCTGGAAGCGTAGCTTTTGGTGTGCAAACATGAGACCACATTGAAAGTTTATGAGAAGCTATGGGATGGGAACTCTAAATAGGTTTTTGATCTAGATTTTTGTTGCCTTTTATCTACAAACAAATGGGAAAAAAACTAAGTGTCCTCTACCCAACAATTTATTTGGTTGTCTGAGTGTAGGAAATCAGACTAATTTCCCAGAGGTCATGGGCATTAATCATGTTCCTGAATTTGTTTACAAATTTTATAAACAAGAGGAATGGGAGTAATTCAGTTGTATTGATAACTTTTTTTTTTTCAAAAAGGGCTTGAAGAAAAGATAGAAAAATGTTAACAAATCTTGCCAAATGTATGTAGGTGATGGGGCGTATGTATTATATTAAGTTTGTGCTTCCCTATGTTTGGAATTTTTCATTAAAAAACTTTTTTTTACATTAAAACAAAATAGGGCTGGGTGTGGTGGCTCACACCTGTAATCACTTTGGGGAGCCAAGGTGGGCGGATCACTTGAGGAGACTGCCTATTTAAAAGAACCCTTTGGTAATCCTTTGTAAATACTTACTTCTGATTGTCTTCTATATACATCCAGATTTCATATATCTAGTTTTAAGCCTGTTTTGTATCATGCAGTATTTTACATATATATATAATTTTTTTTTCTTTTTTGAGACAGAGTCTTGCTCTGTTGCCTAGGCTGGAGTGCAGTGGTACAATCTTGGCTTGCTGCAACCTCCACCTCCCAGGTTCCAGAGATTCTCCTGCCTCAGCCTCCTGATAGCTGGAATTACAGGCACCCACCACCACTTCTGGCTAATTTTTTTTTTTTGAGACAGAGTCTTGCTCTGTCACCCAGGCTGGAGTGCAGTGGCGCGATCTCGGCTCACTGCAAGCTCTGCCTCCCGGGTTCACACCATTCACCTGCCTCAGCCTCCTGAGTAGCTGGGACTACAGGCACCCGCCACCACACTCAGCTAATTTTTTGTACTTTTAGTAGAGACGGGGCTTCACCATGTTAGCCAGGATGGTCTCGATCTCCTGACCTCAGATGATCTGCCCACCTTGGCTTCCCAAAGTGCTGGGACTACAGGCGTGAGCCACCGCACCCGGCCTATTTTTAAGTGCTCTCACGTCCTTAATTTCAGTTTATAAGTGAAACAGCCCTGTGAGGTATATGGAGTGAACATTATTTATCCTCAATATAGATGATGGACCAGGTAGAAAAATTAAATAAATTAACTGGCCAGGCGTGGTGGCTCATGCCTGTAATCCCAGCACTCTGGGAGGCCAAGGCGGGCGGATCACGAGATCAGGAGATAGAGACCATCCTAGCTAACACGATGAAACCTTGTCTCTACTAAAAAATACAAAAAATTAGCCAGGCATGGTGGCGGGCTCCTGTAGTCCCAGCTGCTCGGGAGGCTGAGGCAGGAGAATAGCGTGAACCTGGGAGGCGGAGCTTGCAGTGAGCTGAGATCGCGCCACTGCACTCCAGCCTGGGCGACAGTGTGAGACTCTATCTCAAAAAAAATAAAAAATAAAAAAAGGAAAGGAAAGAAAAATTAAATAAATTGCTTAAAGAAAACAGCTTTTTGGTGATACTAAGAAACAGATTTCATGAATGAATCCTAATGCCATTTGCACTGGAACTTTTCTGCTGAGAGTAAGACCTGCCGTTTTGAAAAAATAGTGTAGGTGATGTTAGGATTCTCCTGTACATAGTGAAAATGCCTTTTACTGTGAATTTCTAGGAAAAGTAATATATTGGAAAATTAAAGACTATCATTATCCCTTCTGAAAAATAAAATTTTGTTTTGTTTTGTTTTTGTTTTGTTTTGTTTTATTATAAGTTTTAGGGTACATGTGCACATTGTGCAGGTTAGTTACATATGTATACATGTGCCATGCTGGTGCGCTGCACCCACTAACTCATCATCTAGCATTAGCTATATCTCCCGATGCTATCCCTCCCCCCTCCCCCCACCCCACAACAGTCACCAGAGTGTAATATTCCCCTTCCTAAAATTTTAAAACAATTTTGAAGAATCTGAAAATGAATAGTTTTGGCACATATTAGTAGCAGGTTCCTTAAATAAAACACGGGAAATATAAAAGTATTATTTAGCAATAGAAGTGAAAACAAGTAAAAAGTGATTGCCTCTGAACCAACACCAGGGAAGGTATAGGGAATAGCAGGGGAGACTGCTGGGCCTCCACATAAATTCTTCTCTACTGTTTTTCTTAACCATATACATAGTTTACTTTAGAAAATTTAAATAACGTTCAAGTGTGGGCATCCTGCCTTCATCCTCTCCCTCCCCCAACCCTCACATGTACATGGAAGAGATCCAATATAAGTCTCTAGTTTTTTTGTTTGCTTGCTTTTTACTTGCTGTAGGCAAGAGGTTTTTTTTTGCCTGTGAACATCTAAAATTTGGGGGTTTTTTGTTTGTTTACTTGTTTTAAAGAAGACAGGGTTTATTTTTCTCTCAAGGCTTTTGCTCTCAAGTTGTTTTGGTTTCTTTGTATGTTCTTTTAGACCTCTCACTTGACTATGCCTCTCAGCCAGCAAATCTTCAGTTCCCTCACATAATGCCCCTTGCTGAAGACATCAAAGGTTCTTGCTTCCAAAGTGGGAATAAACGGAACCATGAACCTTTTATTGCTCCAGAAAGATTTGGAAACAGTAGTGTGGGCTTTGGCAGTAATTCCCATTCCCAAGCACCAGAGAAAGTGACGCTTCTTGTAGATGGCACACGTTTTGTTGTGAATCCACAGATTTTCACTGCTCATCCGGATACCATGCTGGGAAGGTAACTGATGATAATTTTCTTCCAAATTCATTCTGTTCTCTATAAATAAAAATACCTGCTGTTTATCTTGCATTAGATATAACAGTAAAAAGTATTGTATAGGTTGGGCGCGGTGGCTCACGTCTGTAATCCCAGCACTTTGGGAGGTCGAGGCAGGCAGATCACCTGAGGTCAGGAGTTTGAGACCAGCCTGGCCAACATGGTGAAACCCTATCTCTACTAAAAATACAAAAATTAGCTGGGTGTGGTGGCGGGCACCTATAATCCCAGCTGCTACTTGGGAGGCTGAGGCAGGAGAATCGCCTGAACCTGGAAGGTGGAGGTTGCAGTGAGCCGAGACTGCACCATTGCACTCCAGCCTGGGTGACAGAGCAAGACTCCCGTCTCAAAAAAAAAAAAAGCATTGTATTATTTTTCTGCCCTCATACATTTGTGAAAGGGAGGGCAAGCTGGTAAAAGCCTAATACATGTTGGTATTTCGGGGTGGGGAGAGTACTTCATTTACAAAGCCAGTATAGTAAAATGAGCCCCACAAAAGGAAATAAAATCTATTTGGAAACTATGAAAAAATAACCTGCTAAATCTCATTCTCTGCTCCTCTACAAATTCACTCTAAGTAATGTTTTCAGAGTTTCACAGGTCAAAGATGTTGGGGGTAAGGTGAGACCTAAATCTTGCTCCCTTTTTAAAAAAAAAAATAACAGTATTAGGCAAATGTTCTGCATGGCACAAGAACAAAGCTATTTTACTGAAAAGCATTTCCCTGCCATCTATTGCAAGTTTTATGCTTGGCAACAGATGCTATACTGTCATTTTCTAATGCCTTCCATTACTATTCAAGTTTTTTGAAATGGAATCTTTAAATAGAATCTTTAAACCTAGTTGTTTTGTTGTTTGTTTCATAATTGCCCTCTTTATTCTTCATGGTCCATTCTCTGTGCTGCTTCATTCAGATTTATCTCCTCTTAACCGTCTCTGGCCCCCAGAGTTTTAGGGTTAGAGTTTAGGAAATGGAAATAGCCTACTAAGGAGGAACACTGTCCAGGAAGGAGTCTCAGAGCCTGGGCTAGGAGTAAAGAGATTGTCTTTCTGGCCAACCATAGACCTTAACCTAAGGAAGAGCAAATTGGGATAAGAGTAAAAATAGTAATAATAATGATATTATACATGTAGATTTGGCTTTTGATCATTTTCATCTACTTAGAAGTAGATTTTATTTTGTTTAGAGATCTAACTCAGGACTTTGAATTAATTAAACTGAGTTAGAAATTCGAATTGATCACACTAATTTATTGAATTCTAGGCTAAATAGAATCCAGCCATTCAAATATATGTGTATTTGAACATATAAATTCACAGTGAACCATTTTTTTTTTTTTTTTTTTAAGACAGAGTCTCACTCTGTCACCAAGGCTGGAGGGCAGTGGTGCAATCTCGGCTCACTGCAACCTCCACCTCCCGGGTTCAAGCAATTCTCGTGCCTCAGCCTCCCAAGTAGCTGGGATCACAGGTGTGTGCCACCACACCCGGCAAATTTTTGTATTTTTAGTAGAGATGGGGTTTCACCACGTTGGTCAGGCTGGTCTTGAACTCCTGACCTCGTGATCCGCCCACCTTAGCCTCCCAAAGTGCTGGGATTACAGGCATGAGCCACTGTGCCTGGCCACAGCGAACCACTTTTTAATTAGAACCAAACCTGTCTACATATTTCTTAAACATCTGAATTAAGATAAAAGTAGAACATTAAAACATTTTCCAGACTGGCCCTCTATTTTTTATCAGGTTTGACTTCCTGTTCTCAGTTTGGGTATTACCATCATTCCCACCCCCTGAAAAAAGTGTTTCTCAGTGCAGGCTGGCTGTTTTAGGTATGTTGCCTCTGAAAGTAGTGATCAAGAGAAGAAAGGCAAATGTTTTCTGGGTAACAGATTCTTGGGTGACACTGGTTTTTTGAATCTTGGAATGGGTTGTCCCATGAAGAGGAGAGTCTGGTTCTTTATCTGTATGGTTCATTCAGCTGAATTGGCAAGGTCGTAAATTCTGTAAGTTATTTAGATTTGTTCTGTTCTGTGGCTACCTGTCCTATGATTATATACAGTACTTGTAAGCCTAGCCAGTGAGCTTACAGATGTGGGCCACTAGTCACAAGGGGAGAAGCTGAGAGAAAGAGAATGGATTAATGCAGATCCATGCCACTACTAAATAAATAACTCTGAGCTGAAGTCCAGCTGATAATAAATGGGGGGATTATAGTTACAATATGTTCACTATTTTTATTCAGAGCTCTCTGAGCTAGACTTCATTCAACCAGAGCATTCCAGAAAAACATCTGCATTCTTTGGAGGCTTTTATCAAGATGGAATTCTTATGTGTGGTACAGTTATTTGGGAAGCATGTGAAATGGAATCATTTTCTTTTCTTTTTTTTTTTTTTTTTGAGACGGAGTCTCGCTCTGTCGCCCAGGCTGGAGTGCAGTCGCGCGATCTCAGCTCACTGCAAGCTCTGCCTCCCGGGTTCAGCCATTCTCCTGCCTCAGCCTCCCGCACAGCTGGGACTACAGGCGCCCATCACCACGCCCAGCTAATTTTTTGTATTTCTTTTTTTAGTAGAGACAGGGTTTCACCATTCTAGCCAGGATGGTCTCTATCTCCTGACCTCATGATCCGCCCATCTCGGCTCCCAAAGTGCTGGGATTACAGGCGTGAGCCACCACACCCGGCCGAAATGGAATCATTTTCAGACCTTTGAAAAGCAGCCAGTTCGCCGGGCGCGGTGGCTCACGCCTGTAATCCCAGCACTTTGGGAGGCCGAGGCGGGCAGATCACGAGGTCAGGAGATCGAGACCACGATGAAACCCTGTCTCTACTAAAAATACAAAAAAAATTAGCCGGGTGCCCTGGCGGGCGCCTGTAGTCCCAACTGCTGGGGAGGCTAAGGCAGGAGAATGGCGTGAACCTGGGAGGCGGAGGTTGCAGTGAGCCGAGATCGCGCCACTGCACTCCAGCCTGGGCAACAGAGCGAAACTCCATCTCAAAAAAAAAAAGAAAAGAAAAGCAGCCAGTTCAGGCTGGAGGACAACAGTTGTGAACAGCTGAACAGGCAACACTTCCCAGCAGTTTAAGGAAGGAAATGGCAGTTAACCCCCATTTGATTGGGAAGTCAAATCTTAGGCTGGTTGAAGATAGCAGCTGCCTGCCCTATCCTTTGTGTTATCTAACCATTCCACAGCTCATACACAGAAGTGCAGCAGGAGTGGAAGTCATGGGGTCATTTAGACTGCAAGGGATCTGATAGAGGGAGGAAGGATGGGGAGAGGCAAATAAGAAAAGCTCTTCTCCCTGTACCCTCATGACTTCTGAGTTCATGCTGACAGCAAGCCTGTCTCTCTGAAATGCAGTAAACTGCTGATAAGCCTAATACCTACTACCCTCCTTTTCTACTTGATCTGAAAATCCCATCATTAATTATTCTTTGTATTGAGTAAGGCCATTTTTCCCCCAGAGCTCGACTATTAAGACATACCAAGAAAGCATTAACATAGCTGCATCTAACAGAAGATGAGATGTTGAAAAGTAAAGCTCAGAAATATTGATGAATGGCATATTAGATAGGTCAGTATTGACAGATGAGGGGACAGGAATAAAAAGGAGCCTAGATGCTGTCTTTCTGAGCTGTCAGTATAGAAAAGCAGGTTCTTGGGCAGTGGGGAGGGCATGAAAGGCCACCATCTCAACACAGATATTTTCCAAGGGCCACCTCTGCAGTTGCTATTTACTGCATTTACTGCCAAAGAAACTCACTACAGATGAACTTTGTGGACTTGATCCTTCATTCTTCTTTGTACACAAATGCTTAAAGCAATTGCCTTTTTTTCCTGTCTGAAGGGAGCTTCCTAAGACTTGAGGTGTCTTGTAGGCATTGGGTTCCAGTGCTGTGTTTTTAATTTATACTATGAGAGAGTGGGATGGAGTCTTCCAGAATGAGGTGGAGAAGGGAGAAATCTCATCTGTGAAGAATCATGATGGAGAAGATAACATTATTGCCTGGATATCTTTCAGGATGTTTGGACCAGGAAGAGAGTACAACTTCACTCGGCCCAATGAGAAGGGAGAGTATGAGATTGCTGAAGGCATCAGTGCAACTGTATTTCGCACAGTGCTGGTGTGTGGTAGCCTTTTTTGTTACATTCTCTTCCTCAGGGGCATGTGTGATCAATAGCCTTGAGAGTTCCATCAACTATGTTATTGACTTTAGGGTCTCTGGTTTCCAGTTGTTTCCTTTCTCCCTTTGTTTTCTATTCCTGTAACTTTTAAGTCCTTGCTTGTTTGTATGTGAGCTCTATCAGTTACCAAGTTCTGGTTAAACAAGTCAAGATAGCCAGGAGCTGTTTTGCCATCTAATGAATCATCCAATTTGGTGATAATTCCAGTAGCTCATTGCTTTAACAAAACCAGGAATGCACAGGGATGAAGAAGTAATTTTTCATCTTGTTCTCTGCCTACATTTTTTCTTCCTAATCTATTTACAGGATTATTACAAAACCGGTATCATCAATTGTCCTGATGGCATCTCTATCCCAGATCTTAGAGATACTTGTGATTATCTCTGCATTAATTTTGACTTCAACACTATCCGATGTCAAGATCTGAGTAAGTACAGGAGCAGGTGCCAGCTGCACTTAAGCAGCTGAACTTTCAGTTTTCTTGGAAGTCACCGATTTTTTTTTTTTTTTTTTTTTTTTTTTTTTGAGACAGAGTCTCGCTCTGTCGCCGAGGCTGGAGTGCAGTGGCACGATCTCGGCTTACCGCAACCTCCGCCTCCTGGGTTCAAGGGATTTTCCCTGCCTCAGCCTCCCAAGTAGCTGGGATTACACATACCTGCCACCACACCTGGCTAATTTTTGTATTTTTAGTAGAGATAGGGTTTTGCCATGTTGGCCGAGCTGGTTTTGAACTCCTGACCTCAGGTGATCCGCCCGCCCTCAGCCTCCCAATGTGCTGGGATTACAGGCGTGAGCCACCAAGCCCAGCTGATATTTTCTATTACTAAACAGAAGGAGTTTCAAGTTTAGGTTGAAAATCTTCTGCAGAGGCAGAGATGTGATACTAACTAACCCTTTTCCTCTCTTAGTTCAAAGCACTGTGAGGAACTGGAGTAGACAAAGGAAAACAGATAGTAGTTTCTAAATGGAGCCTGACCAGTGGGAGACCAAGCTGACTGCTTCCCTCTTGGGACTTTGGTGTCTCGACTCTAACAAACAAGGATACTGATTGTCCAACATGAGGAACAGTTCACTAATAAAGTCAAACAGCACAAATTGGCCAGGTTCTCCTGATCATGATATTGCCTTTTTTTTTTTTTTTTTTTTTTTAATTTGAGATGGGGTCTTGCTACTATGTTGCTCAGGCTGGTCTCAAACTTCTGGCCTCAAGCAGTCCTCCCACCTCAGCCTCCTGAGTAGCTGGGACTACAGGTACATGCCACCACGCCTGGCTTATTATTATTGTTTTGTTTTGGAGACAAGAGTCTCGTTCTGTCGCCCAGGCTGGAGTGCAGTGGCACAATCTCAGCTCACTGCAGCCTCCGCCTCCTGGATTCAAGCAATTCTCCTGCCAGAGCAGCTGGGATTACGGGCACGTGCCACCATGCCCGGCTAATTTTTGTATTTTTAGTAGAGATAGGGTTTCACCATGTTGGCCAGCCTGGTCTCGAACTCCTGACCTCAAGTGATCTGCCACCTCGGCCTCCCAAAGTGCCGAGGTTACAGGCATGAGCCACTGCACCCGGCCTATTATTATTAACTTAGTGTTTGCTAAGTGCTTTATAGATACGGACTTGCTTAAATCTTATAATAGTCCTGAAAGATGGGTGATAACCTCATTTAAGAAATTAGCTTATTCAGAGCTCTAGGCATTAAGGCCAGGATGAGAACTCAGATTGTCTGACTGCAAACTCCATGCTCTTATTACCTGGGCTTCCTGAAATTATATAAATAACTATTCTCTGAATTTCATGATACATTTCCCTGCATGTTGCATGAAAGCCCCTGTACATGTGATTTCTTTACTGAGTGTATTACACATTTAGAGTAAGTCCTTTGGTGTCACCAAAATTCAGATTATTCCTCTATTATGGTACTCTAACTCCATGAAATCAGGATCCAAACCATCTTCAGAAGAGGTACTACAAAGAATCATCCCCAAATGATGATTTCATCTCTTATAGGATTAACATGGTCTGACCTTGTAAGTCCAACAAAACCTCGATCAGAATGCTCAAGGATTATTAAACATGAGTAAATTGAAGAGTGGTAGAATAGGAGACATACCTTAACAAAGCTTAATTATCACCCTGGAGCAGGAAACAATCTCTTTGCCTTTAAATGTGCCACTTCTCTGAACCTCATCAATGATAACAGCCATTCCCTCATAGTCTTTTTCACTCCAGTAATATGTGCATTTAGGCAGAAAGCATGTTCACCTACATTTTCTCTCTGCAGGTGCTTTACTCCATGAACTGTCTAATGACGGTGCTCATAAGCAGTTTGATCACTACCTCGAAGAGCTCATCTTGCCCATCATGGTGGGCTGTGCCAAGAAAGGAGAACGAGAGTGCCACATTGTTGTGCTGACGGATGAGGATTCTGTGGACTGGGATGAAGACCACCCTCCACCAATGGGGGAGGAATATTCCCAAAGTAGGAGCTTCTGGCATGGCGTAGATGTTTTCAGCAAGAAACTTGCTACCTGGAGTAGCAGCTTGATCCTAGAACCAATGTGAATATCAATGTTGAGCCTGTGATGAGCACACTCACCTGGATGACAAATCCCTAGTGACGCAGGTCTAGCCTTTATGCTGGGGAACACAGTGAATGTTGTTCACCATTCACTCTTTCTCTGGTGTCTCGTACTGTGTAAGATACTGAGGCAGCACATTAAATGATGGTGTCATTCTTCTCTTAATTCATTTTAAATCCTTTTGAATTGGTAATAAGTCAAAATTCAAAAAACATAAAAGGATATACACTAAAAAGTCTTATTCTCACTCCTGCCCCATCTATCCAGTTTTGCTTCTCAATTTCTTTTACAGGCTTCCAGGTATATTCAGTGTACATATATAACCAATTACTTGTTTTCTCCTCCTTTTTCAAATGTACCATATTATACAACTGTTCGGTGCCATGTGTTAACAAAAATCTTCGACATTCTGGGCCGGGCGCGGTAGCTCATGCCTGTAATCCCAGCACTTTGGGAGGCCGAGGCAGGCGAATCATGAGGTCAGGAGTTCAAGACCAGTCTGGCCAACATAGTGAAAGCCCATCTCTACTAAAAATACAAAAAATAAGCCAGGCATGGTGGCGTGCGCCTGTAGTCCCAGCTACTCAGGAGGCTGAGGCAGGAGAATCAGGTGAACCTGGGAGGCGGCGGTTGCAGTGAGCCGAGATCACGCCATTGCGCTCCAGCCCGGGCGACAGTGTGAGACTCCATCTCAAAAAAACAAAAGAAAAATCTTCAACATTCTTTTTTGTGGCTCTATAGTGTTCCTTTGCACAAATGTGCCATAATTGACTTAACCAGCCATTATTGGACGTTTAAACTATTGGCCAGGCGCAGTGGCTCATGCCTGTAATCCCAGCACTTTGGGAGGCCAAGGTGGGCTGATTGCTTGAGGTCAAGAGTTCGAGACCAGCCTTGCCAATATAGTGAAACCCCATCTCTATTAAAAATACAAAAATTAGCTGGGCGTCGTGGCTCATGCCTGTAATCCTAGCTACTCTGGAGGCTGAAACAGGAGAATCACTTGAACCCAGGAGGCGGAGGTTGCAGTGAGACAAGATCACACCACTGCACTTCAGCCTGAGTGACAGAGCAAGACTACGTCTCAAAAAAAAAAAAAAAAAAAAGATTAACCGGGCATGGTGGCCCATGCCTGTAATCCCAGCTACTCAGGAGGCTGAGAGGCAGGAGAATCATTTGAACCCAGGAGGCAGACGTTGCAGTGAGCCGAGATCATGCCATTGCACTACAGCCTGGGTAACAGAGCGAGACTCCGTTTCAAAAAAAAAAAAAAAAAAATTATACCTTTATAATTTTGATAGATGTTGCCAAATTATCCTCCATAAAATTTGTACCAATTTACACTCAGAAAACAATACATGACAGGTTTGTTTCCTACCCCCTCACCAAAACAGTGGCTTTTTCTTTTTTTTTTTTTTTTTTTTTTGAGACAGAGTCCCACCTCCTGGGTTCAAGTGATTCTCATGCCTCAACCTCCCAAGAAGCTGGGACTACAGGTGCGTGCCACCACGTCCGGCTAATTTTTGTATTATTAATAGAAACGGGGTTTCACCATGTTGGCCAGGCTGGTCTCAAATTCCTGACCTCAAATGATCCACCCGCCTCAGCCTCCCAAGTGCTGGGATTGCAGGCACCATGGCTGGCCAACAGTGGCTTCTTAAAAAATTTTTTTACAGATAGAATCTTGCTCTTTCACCCAGGCTGGAGAGCAGTGGTGCAATCATGGCTCACTGCAGCCTCAAACTCCTAGTCTTAAGTGATTCTCCCATCTCAGCCTCCAAGTAGCCTGGGCTGCAGGTGTGTGCCACCATGATTGGCTAATTTTTTTTTTAATTTTGTGTAGAAATGGGTTCTATGTTGCCTTGCCTAGGCTAGTCTCAAACTCCAGGCCTCAAGCCATCTTCCTGCATCTGCCCCCGAAAGTGTTGTGATTACAGGCGTGAGCCACTGTGCCTGGCCCCAAAACAGTGTTTTTAAAACTTTTATCTTTGCTACTTTCTTAGTAAGTAAAAAAAAACGGCAGAATCTCATGATTGGCATGAGTTTTAATTACATTTCTTATTTCATGAGTGAGGCTGAATTTTTTTTTTTTTTTTTGAGATGGTGTCTCCCTTCTCTTGGCCAGGCTGGAGTGCAATGGCGTGATCTTGGCTCACTGCAACTTCTGCCTCCAGGGTTCAAGTGCTTCTCCTGCCTCAGCCTCCCGAGTAGCTGGGATTACAGGCACCCACCACTATGCCTAATTTTTCTATTTTTAGTAGAGACGGGGTTTCACCATGTTAGTCAGGCTGGTCTCCAACTCCCAACCTCAACTGATCTGCCTGCCTCGGCCTCCCAAAGTGCTGGGTTACAGGTGTGAGCCACCACACCCAGCCAAAACCTTTTTAGTTTTCAAGAGCCATTGTAATTTCCTTTTTTGTTAATAGTGTTTGTGCCTTTTGCCCATTACAAAATCAGATTGTTAGTTTTTTACTTAGTGATTTGTGAAAGCTCTATTTGTGGCAGCTCTTTCTAATTAAGGAAATTAACCTTTTATGAGTTGCAAATATTTTCTTATTCAGTGTCTTTTTAGCTTTGGTAAACGGTTTAGGCTATGCAGAGATGTTGTATTTCTAAAATCATCAGTTTTTCTTTTATGGCTTCTAGGTTTAATGTTGTACCCAGAAAGTCCCCACCCTGAGACTATAAAAATTTCTCTTACGGTTTATGTATTATTTAACATTTAATCTTTGATCCATCTGGATTATTTGGGATTAGGAGTCAAGTATATCCTTCATTAGTTTGATTTTGTTAGCTTCTCTCTTTCCTCTTAGGTCTTTACTCCATGGCTAACCCTATATTTTTTCTTTTTCAGTTCTTTATAGCTCCAAGCTCTACAGATTCTTCAAATATATTGAGAATAGGGATGTTGCAAAAACAGTGTTAAAGGAACGGGGCCTAAAAAACATTCGCATTGGAATTGAAGGTAAAAAAAAAAAAAAAATCCCAGTCAACATTCAGGTTGGGTCTATTGCCACAGCTTACATCCTCAAAATTTAGCCTCCAGAGGCCTAGAAAATAGGCATACATGAAAACCACATTCTTACTCAAGTTTGAATGTTCCTGTTTTTTCCTCATTTTTCTTTTCATTTTATCTCCAGTTGAAAATGGTTCAAAGCAGCCACAGAAACAAGTTCGAGTTTACTACTTCAGGATAAAGAGCAGCAAGGGCAAAGGACAGTGGTAGGGAGATACAGCAGGGCTTGTGGGCTCACCAGATGAGAGCGTCGTTCTGCCACCAGTCTTGGTGAAGATGTTTCTGGTATCTGGAAGGGTCCTTCTGAAAAAATAGCTTGGGGACTCAAAATTAAAGATTATTCCGGCTGGGCACAGTTTGTTGTGCCTATGATCCCAGCACTTTGGGATACCAAGGTAATTGCACTCCAGCCTGGGCAATAAGAGTTAAACTTCATCTCAAAAAAAAAAAAAGATTATTCCATACTTTTGAGGAATGTCTGAATATATTAACAGAACTACTTTGAATGATCTTGAGCAGTGGCTCCCAACCTGTGGTCCCCATGGAAGGCTCTCAAGAGACTGATTCCTGGAGAGTGCTAAAGTCATTTGGTCTCTCCTACGTGGAGTGGATCTTTTTTTTTTTTTTTTTTTTTTTTGAGATGGAGTCTCACTCTGTCGCCCAGGTGGAGTGCGGTGGCACGATCTCAGCTCACTGCCAGCTCCGCCTCCTGGGTTCACGCCATTCTTCTGCCTCAGCCTCTCGAGTAGCTGGGACTACAGGCACCCGCAACCATGCCCGGCTAATTTCTTGTATTTTTAGTAGAGACGGTGTTTCACTTTGTTAGCCAGGATGGTCTCAATCTCCTGACCTCGTGATCCGCCGCCTCGGCCTCCCTAAGTGCTGGGATTACAGATGTGAGCCACGGCGCCTGGCCCCCTATGTGGATCTTTGTTTGACTCTTGTGCTTTGCTACTCTTGTTGCCTCATTTCTGCCCACAGAACCCATCAAAGCTTCACTGTGTCTGACTTAAGTTGAATTTAAAGTTGGAGGACTTTTTTTTTTAAGAGACAGGGTCTCACTCTTCTGCTTACACTGGAGTACAGTGACACAATCATGGCTCACTGCAGCCTTACCTTCCTGGGCTCAAGTGGTCCTCCTGCCTCAGCCTTCCAAGTAGCAGAGACCACAGGCATGCACCACTATGCTCCACTATTTTTTTTTAACCTTTTTTCTAAGAGATGAGGTCTCCCTCTGGCCCAGGCTGGTTTTGAACTCCTGGACTCAAGCGATCCTCCTGCCTTGGCCTCCCAAAGTGCTAGGATTACAGGTGTGAGCGACAGTGTCCAGCCTTGGAAGACATTTTTGAGATTATCTATTAAATCTCCTCCTACTCGGTCTTTCCCTTGTCTGTTAGGTGCATTTCCCAGAACAACCCATCAAACTGTTTTACCATTAGAACATTCTGCCATACATATTTAATAGATAACGGCCTCCCTCTCCTGCCTGCCTTCCAGTTAATAGCCTCTGAAGCTACTTTGACTATTTTTCCCATTTCCATGTGACAGCC
This sequence comes from Homo sapiens, assembly GCF_000001405.40. Classification (NCBI taxonomy): domain Eukaryota; kingdom Metazoa; phylum Chordata; class Mammalia; order Primates; family Hominidae; genus Homo; species Homo sapiens. The sequence continues at coordinate 36,486,426 of NC_000006.12, forward strand.
TTTCACATATTTTAGGCAGCATCTCTGTTTTTTCTTTAGGCTAAACATTCCACATTTCCTTAACTGTTTCTCATATAGTATGCCCTCTAAGCAATAGAATTAAGAGGACTAGGGTAGCCATGCTTTGGCAGGACTTTTCTTCTATGGTATTGTTGCCAGCAACAACAGGTTCCTGAACTGGTAAGAGGCTTCTCTCCTCTTTCCATTAGAAGGGATAGAATTCTTGTTACTTCTCAGATTAGTCCCTTCTAGGGACAAGACCTACTAATCTGACCAGGAAGGAAATGAACATGTAGGTGACTGGGGCTGGGAAAGCATGGGACAGGGACTGGTCACTTCGCACATATTTTCCATGCTGTGATTTTGGGAGAAAACTGATGTGGTTAGGAAGGAGAAAGTATGGACACCAGAGTGAGCACAATTTGTTAGTCATGAGAATGGCCTTTTTCCATTGCAGGTTACCCTACCTGTAAAGAAAAAATTAAGAGAAGGCCTGGCGGCCGGTCTGAAGTCATCTATAATTATGTACAACGCCCCTTCATCCAGATGTCATGGGAAAAGGAAGAAGGGAAGAGTCGCCATGTGGATTTCCAGTGTGTTCGAAGCAAATCCCTCACGAATCTGGTAGCTGCTGGAGATGATGTCTTGGAGGACCAGGAGATATTAATGCATCACCCACCCCAAGTGGATGAACTTGACCGGCTAAATGCCCCACTTTCTCAGATGGCTTCTAACGACTTTCAGGATTAGGGCCAGCTGTGGGTCTACTCCTTGTTGGAGCCCATCTCACCTGGGATGCCTGCAGCCAGCCCTCCCTCGTGATTTGTCTCACCTTGAGTAGGAGACATGCTTCTCCCCTAACCTTTTCCTTTCTGCCATAATTAACATATGTCCTTTTCAGTAAGTCCATGCCTCTGGCAGGGGATGAAGAAGTACTCACTGGTAATTAGCTACCATCTTTGCAGCAGCCCTGGTAACTTGAAAAATTTGGGTCTGGTGCTGTTCATTGAGTCTTTGTGTAACTGCAAAAGCAGGAAAGGAAGTCAAGACTCCTGTTGCCTCGTGCTTAGCAAAGCAGTCCTTATCCTTTATACTCTGTTCTTGGGTTTTGTTTTTGTCTTGTTTTATACCAGGCAAATTGCTTAGTAGCAAAGGGACCAAACTGAAAAGGTGACAATCTCTAACTTCTAAAAGCAGACACCAATCGGATGCTCATTAGAGGTTAATGAAGATGCCATTCTTGGTGGCCTCTGCACCCAAATTGCATCTGGAAAGAACTAGGGTCTCATTCAGAATGTCCAAAAGGAAATTCTTAAGAGCTTAAATTCAGATTTGTGTCTCATTAATGCAGTGAACAATTCAAAACCACACAGATTCCTTGGCAGGAAGGATAATGGAATAACAGTGTTGATGAGACCTTTTTAGCTTCAAGGTTTCGGAGTCTAAACAAATGGATGATTCATTTGGAATGAAACTCACAATGCAAGTAGAAGGACCTCTCCAAATCAGGCCAGTTGGGTTATCCTGGCTTGGAATCTGGTGTGAAACCATAGGTCTTAACACTCTGGAGCAGCACATTGCTGTGGATATGTCCAGGAGACCTTAGATATGGCTTAAAGGCTTTCAAGATGAGGACAGAAATTGCTTACAATTGCTCAGTTTCTCAACAGAAAGACTCATAAGAGTGCCAGCATGGGGTACATGGAGTGAAGCTGGGTGGGAAGCATCATCTGCACAGTCCCTGTCCTAGTGCAGGACTTTTCTCTGTATGTTTTCATACCATGGGATTTTTGGATATCAGTGTATTTTGGTTCTTGAAATAGCCTAATAGCTGCTCACACATTGGGTAGGAATATTATACCAATGTCATCCCCAAAGGAAGGGTGAGCTGAATGGAAATTAAGCCCAGTCATTTTATTTGATCTATTAGCTCTGTTATCAGTGCATGATCACCCAGATCACCCTCCTCAGCCCACACAGTGCTGAACCATCTTCCCTCCTGTTCTCCATGGCTATTAATAGTATAGCTAAATTTAGAGTGCAGAGCCAGATATAAGTATTTTGGAATTATCTCCCAGTTTGTGGTAGAAGCTGACTGGAATACAGGTTGAGTATCTCTTATCCAAAATGCTAGGGACCAGAAAGGTTTCAGATTTTTTCAGATTTTGGAATACTTAACAGTTGAGCACCCCAAATCTGAAAGGCTTCTGAACGTCATGTCAGCACTCAAAAAAGTGGATTTTGGAGCACTTCAAATTTCGGATTTTTGGATTTGGGATGCTCATCCTGTGTAGGAGAGGCTACTCGATTCCATTTAATGACTGTCCTAGTCATAATCATCCAAAGATAAAAGCCAGGTAGATGTTGAAAGCTCTTTCCAGGGCTGAAAAAGTGTTCTTACGTTCTCTGCATGTGACTAGCATCACTGTGGAAATTAATGCTCTGTTCTTCACTAGAATGTAGTAAGTGGTTAAACTGAGCTATCCCCCACCTGATGACTATTGGCATCCATTTGCAAGGCCAATGGCCTGGATTAAGGGTTAGGATTATTTGTAGCTAGAAGGTAATTTTATTTCTGTGAAACTAATTGGCTCATATTTGAGGTTAGGTGTGGCCTTGACCTTACCAGTACATTTATACCCACTACCAGTTGACTAGCCCAGATAATTGTTAAATGGTGCTTCTTTTCTGCTTCTCAGTAGACTTCCATGCCATTACAAAGGAAATTTGAATTACCTAGTGTTTGTATATTCCATGATAACTATGTATAACTTCTGTTACACAGCTTATGTATTGTTAACATTTAAGTGTAAACCATGCCACAGCTAACACTTAAAAATGAAAACTAATTAGTTCTTGCTTAGGGAAAATGCCAGGTATGAAGTATGGCATATACTTGACACTGTCCTGTGTAACCCTTTACTTTGCTCAGGCTTTCAAGATTGAGTCTTTTTTCCCCCAAATTAGGTTAACATGCATTTGACCCCAACCTGTGGGGTTTGAGTAAGCTGGAAATCTGTGACGGTAGGCTTTCTAGTGTCACGAGGTGGTGGTGACTGAAGGAAAAGCTGGGATCACAGGTTCCTTCTGATGGAGAGGAAGGTTTATTTCTATGCCCCTCCCACCACCCTCCACCTAGAGCTCACCCAAGCCTGCTCCAGTCCCAGGGGCAGGCCATTCTGCAAAAGCAGGACCTCACAGAAACAAGGGCTGGGTTGAGGTCACCCCCTTCAGAGTTGGTTCCTGGCCAGATGGGTAAGAGGCATTTGTAATTTTAAAAATGTGAAACTTGGGTTTGGTGTTTTCTTCTAAGTGCCTAAATAAGCAAGCCAGGCTGTTGATATTTTAGCCAGAGAAATCGGCAAGCCAAGATTAACCCGAATCTGAAGTTTAGAATCTTGAGTTTGCATCTGCATCATATCATGCTGTTTTGATGAGGAAACATTTGCCACTGAGGAGTTGGAGGGAGGGCAAGACGACAGTGTTAAGTCAGATCATTTAATGGTTTCCCCTAAGCCCTGGAAAAATATTTGAAAGAATGGCAGCAAAAAGGTTAAGAAAGCAAGCCAGATTTACTGCACAATATGCAGTACCCAGTACTACTTTAAATCCCAAGAGAACAGTGTGATGTCTAATATATACAGGTCTATGAAAATACTGTGGAATAAGCCCAGGAAGGTTAGATGTGTTTGCAAATAAGTTGCCCAAAGGGTCCCCCTCTAAGTAAAACAAATATTCAGACCACAGGCTTTAATGTAAACTGTCAAAAAGTGGGATGTGGAGGATTTTTGTTAAGTGTCAATCGAAGTTAAAAAGCAAGGGTTTTTGGCCAGGCGTGGTGGCTCACGCCTGTAATCCCAGCACTTTGGGAGGCCGAGGCCGGCAAATCACCTAAGGTCAGGAGTTCGAGACCAGCCTGGCCAACATGGTGAAACCCCGTCTCTACTAAAAATACAAAAAAATTAGCCCGGTGTGGTGGCAAGTGCCTGTAGTCCCAGCTACTTGGGAGGCTGAGGCAGGAGAACTGCTTGAACCCGGGAGGTAGAGGTTGCAGTGAGCCACGATCATGCCACTGCACTCCAGCCTGGGCAACAGAGCAAGACTCCATCTCAAAAAAGAAAAAAAAAAATTAAAGGTTTTGGCTGGGTGCAGTGGCTCATGCCGGTAATCCCAGCACTTTGGGAGGCCAAGGTGGGAGGATCACTTGAGGTCAGGAGTTTCAGACTGGCCTGGGCAACGTAAAAAATTAAAAAAATAGCCAGGCATGGACATGGTAGTGCATACCTGTGGTCCCAGCCACTCAAGAGGCTGAGACAGGATGATTGCTTGAGCCCAGGAGGATGAGGCTGCAGTGAGCCATGATGACGCTACTGCACTCCAGCCTGGATGACAGGGCAAGACCCTGTCTCAATATTTTAAGTCAAGGGTTTGTAGTAATGTATTCAGTGCCACTTCTTGCCATCACTTTGCAATTATTGAAATGGGAATACTGAGCTCAGAAAGCAAATATGATGCTTTCATGGGAGATGGAGCCACATTTGTGTTCTGGGTGGGATCACTAGTGCAGGAGAACATTACATTTTCTTCTGAAGGCAAAATGCTTGTAGGTTTTGCCTCTACTTTGTATTTACTTTTAAAATTGCACTTGTTCACCTACCAGTGTTTACGAAATCCTGTATTTGGGATGCTTTTTCTATAATAAAATATTATAATTTGTGTGTCTGTTTTTTTTTTAGCAGAAAGTAAAATTAGAAATAAAGATGTTGGGCCAGGCGCGGTGGCTCACGCCTGTAATCCCAGTACTTTGGGAGGCCAAACAGGTGGATCACTTGAGGTCAGGAGTTCGAGACCAGCCTGGCCAAGGTGTGGCAAAACCCTATCTCTACTAAAAATACAAAAATTAGCCAGGCGTGGTGGCACATGCCTGTAGTCCCAGGTACTGGGGAGGCTGAGGCAGAAGAATCACTTGAACCTGTGAGGCAGAGGCTGCAGTGAGCCGAGATTGTGCCACTGCATTCCAGCCTGGGTGATAGAGCAAGACTCCGTCTTAAAAAAAAAAAAAGTAGGTGGGTCTTTGAAGACTTCACTACCAAGGTGGTAGGTGAAGCCACAGTATGGAGATCACCAAGAGATCACACGACTGAAGAGGGCAAAGGCACCAGCACCAACATTTAAGTGTGGAACTAATAAGAAGGAAGTCAGGGAGATGGGAGGAGAGTGAGTTTGTTTTAAAGGTTAACAGGTTAACATCTCTGGGATGCTTCACTAAGCTACTCACAACTCTGGGTTGGCTTGTCAAGGTCACATCAACACTAATGTAAATAAGGTGATGCTACATTCCATTAAGCCACTTGTTGTTGGGAATTCTCTCAAACTGATCTGCAATTCAGAACCACGGTGAGCAACCTGTTGCCTCACCAGACTGCCTGGAACTGAGCTTGAATGTTGCTTGGGCAAGGTGTTTTTTCTCTGAAAATGTGCGTGAAAAAGCATCACGAAGGCCGTTTTTGTCAGTGTTGGCTTTGATGGATCATTCCAGAGAAATATGCTCTGTAGGAAATGAAAATATCATTCACTGAATCCTTCTGAATTCAATTAAAAACACCACTTGGGTTACACAGAAGCCCAGGAGAACCAGGACAAGGCGATCTAAAAAAGTTCCAAGGAAATAATTCTGACAAAGAGCATTACCAACTGATGGCAGAGGGGGACTCTTACTAGGCTGTACAGATGAGTTTTCAAATTGGCAATCTGTTTTGCAGAACCTGAGTATTAATCCTGAAGGAACTCATGTGAATCTTAGTTTTGACTTTTTTTTTTTTTTCTTTTTGGAGACAGAGTCTCACTCTGTTACCCAGGCTGGAGTGCAGTGGCACAATCTTGGCTCATTGCCACCTCCACCTCCCAGGCTCAAGTGATTCTCCCACCTCAGACTCCCGAGCATCTGGGACTACAGACACGTGCCACCATGCTAATTTTTTGTATTTTTGGTAGAGGCAGGGTTTCGCCATGTTGCCCAGGTTGGTCTTGAACTAACTGGGCTCAAGCGATCCACTCACTTCAGCCTCCCAAAGTGCTGGGATTAAAGCGTGAGCCATCATGCCCAGCCCTTTGAAAGTAATTCTAAGAGCAACAATGGATCAAGCTGGTATCCACCCATCAACAGTCAGAAAAGCAGCCTGGGTAATTTAGATGCAGGGGAGAGGAGTACTAAATAAATGCCAATCAACCAAGCCAACTACAAAGAAACAGGTACTAAAGAAAATTGTGATGCATTCCTGAACTGGGAGACATCAAATGATATGATTTTGGTTTCATTTTAGTATGCAATTTTCTAACTACCCCAATGAGAGTAGGAAACAGAATTTCTGTCAACAGGATCGACACTGAGCCAGTGTTGCCCAACATGTTTCTTAGGATTCATAAGCCTTAGAAAGACATTACCCATTCTGGCTGCATTTAGCTTCCTCTGCCTGCAGTTTCTACTCTAGCTGGTCTTTGCCCCTCCCTTCTGGACTCCTTGAGGTGCTTTTCCCTACCCAGAAAGGGGCTAACAAGTGGGGCATATGGGACTCCTCCAGCATACAACATCTCAGAGACAGAACCCTGCTCTGATGGACACAGGGCTGAACAATTCCATCTTTTTTTTTTTTTTTTTTTTTTTTGAGACGGAGTCTCGCTCTATCACCCAGGCTGGAGTGCAATGACACGATCTCAGCTCACTGCAACCTCCGCCTCCCAGGTTCAAGCGATTCTCCTGCCTCAGCCTGCTGAGTAGCTGAGACTACAGGCTCGTGCCACCATGCCCAGCTAATTTTTGTATTTTTAGTAAAGACGGGGTTTCACTATGTTAGCCAGGATGGTCTCAATCTTTCCTGACCTTGTGATCCCCCTGCCTCGGCCTCCCAAAGTCCTAGGATTACAGGTGTGAGACACCACACCCAGCCAACAATTCCATCTTATGAGCTCATGAGATTCCTCGTTGACTGCAGGCTGCGAAAAAATGGGGCTGGGCTGTAAAAGGCTGTACAAAAGGTCCACCAGATGACAGCACTTTTGTCAGGATGTGTGTGCCCTTGGCCTTACTGTGAGGGGAGGGCCCACTGCCCTGCAACACTGAGGTGGGTGGAAGAAGCACATGCAGTCGGGGCAAGAGAAGTCTCTTCATATGGACAGTGATTCAGGAGACTAGCTCCCTAAGAACAAAAGTCAGTCCCAGCTTCCCTGAGATGGAAAAGCACTTTGCATGAAGATGGTGATACAGTTTTGAAATTAACACTCGAAATTAGGCGTTGTAATGGTTTGTGGACAAAGGGGTTAAAAGCAGCCATCAGCACTCTGCCTCTAAGTTATATGCCACTATCTGCTTTAAATCACATCACAATCCCCTCTCAGCCTTTTTGCTAAGATCAAATGCAGTATCTGTTCTTATCAGTTTAATAAATCACACCACGTATTTCCACTACTGTTTTTACACAGTTTATTCAGAAGTTTAAAAGTTAAAATGTGGGCATTTTCCCCTGAAACAAATCATCCCCTGCCACTCCCCAACACAAAGACTCTCCCAACACCGCAGTTCCTTCTCTTTACCCAGGCTTACCACACATTCTTGCAAAACACACAGGAGTCAACACCCCAACTATTTGGTAATACAAAGAGACTACAAAGTCACACAAAAGAATCTCATTTACTTCCTTTTCACTAGCAGGCTATGAATGAAAGACTGAGAGGCAAACACATCACCTTCATCCAGAGTTGACACTTCCCTAACCTTTTTTCTTCCTCTAAGAGGTTAAAATCCAAAGTAGTTTCACTGACAACTGTAACTCTGATATTCCATTTTTCTCTTCTGAATGGCTAAGCTAGGACATACTTTCCTTTCAAAGCTGATCTTCAGAACCTCAAGACTGGCAGAAAGCAGGCTCCCAGCTGCAGCTCGGCCACAATACTTTGCAACAGGCAAAGTTCCCACATAGGTGCAAATGATGCTTTAAGAGTTATCAAAACTTTTTAAAAAATAATGCATTAATATGGAGCCTCCACATTTTTCTGACGAAATTCCTCTAAAGGTGGTGGCAGCTGTGAAACAGAAGGCACTTTGTGCTAAAATTCAGAGGGTCTCTCAAGAGAGAACGCCACAGCAGAGAGACCCAATCCGCCTAAGTTGCAGGCGACCCTTTAGGGTGGGGAGGAGTATCCCCCAGGAAGGCATCTGCAAAGGAAAAAATTGTAATCATGATTCCAAGGCAAAATGGCTAAAGTTGGGAGAGAAGAAATACCAAGAGAGAAGACAAAACATGGCTGTGCCAAGGACTGAGGAGTGAGCTTTACAAGGACTTGTCAGCTGGCTCTGTACTTCTATTGGGCTGGTTCCTTCACCATTTCCAAAGGGGTTCTGGAGACCTTGCAGGAACAGGAACAGCACCTTAGCCAAGAGGGTTCCAGGCCTCCTGCCTAGGCCTGGGCTCTCCTCGTTAGGTTCCCAGGAATAAATTGAGTTCCCATTGGCAGCACTTGCAGGTATTGCTAGTCCACGGCAAGATCTGTCTTAGGGATTTTCTGGTACAGCCGTGAAGAGAAAGTGAGGGTTTTCCACATAATCCGGGATTTCTTGGCAATGCCCAAAGACTTTCTGGGCCTTCTAAGAGCAACAGTGGATCAAGCTGGTAACCCCCATCAACACTCAGAAAAGCAGCATGGGTATTTTAGATGGGGGACAGGAGGAGATAAATCAATGGATTGACAGTCTTTATCTTAGTACCATAAATAAAGTGCACCATGAATGGAGGCTATAAGCCACTCGCCTGAGGCTGAGGTATGGGTAGAAACTACCATCACCACCCTCAGGGTGGCGGATCATTTCCTTCAGCCAGAATCCTGGCTGCTGAGACTGTCTTTATTGCTTTATTTCCTTAGTACTATGGAACTTTTAGCTATAAAGGAAATACTTGGTGGGCTTGGCAGAGAGCGTGTCACAAAATTACAGGAACTGGCTGATATTCGATGACTATACACGACAATCTCAATAATGTTGGATGATGGCTGTTTTTCCCCTTCATTCTGATGAACTTAGGAAAACTCAAGTTATTTTTAAAACACCTATCAAATTGGCTCATGATGCTTCTCTTCCAAAGCAGGATAGCTGTTTATGGCCGACGTAGTAGAAATGGTTGTCTTTGTTTACAGTTTTTCAGATGCATTATGGAAGAAAATCCTCTTACTACCACATTTCAGGAGACTTTACTATGACATATTGGTGGGTTCCATCAACTTCTTGGAAGCTCTTCAAGAGTGTGAGAGGAAAAGCATGATGTTATACAAAGAACTCTGCTCCACATAGGATTCCGTGGCAAGAGTACTATTTTGCTGCTTTCATGTAGGAAGGTATTGCCCCCCTTGCAGTCAGGCCCTCAAAGCGCTTGTACGTGTAATTGATGAAGACCCAGTCTTTGTTCTTGTAGTCAGTCTCAGGATGATTACTTGTGGCCACTGGGAAAGAAATAGATGTGAGAGTTGATTCACTGCCTTGCCTCCAATGGACTGCTCACGGTGCTGAAGACAGGACTATGAAGAACACACCAGTTTCTATTTGGGAAAGCTTATTTTTCACTCTATGAATTTTTTTTTTTTTTTTTTTTGAGACAGAGTCTTGCTCTGTCGCCAGGCTGGAGTGCAGTGGCGTCATCTCAGCTCACTGCAACCTTGCCTCCCGGGTTCAAACAATCCTTCTGCCTCAGCCTCCCCAGTAGCTGGGACTACAGGCGTGTGCCACCATACCCAGCTGATTTTTGTATTTTTAGTAGAGATGGAGTTTCACCATGTTGGCCAGGATGGTCTCGATCTCTTGACCTTGTGATCTGCCCACCTCGGCCTCCCAAAGTGCTGGGGTTTCAGGCATGAGCCACCGCGCCTGGCCTCACTCTATGAATTTTCCACATTTTCTTGCTCATGTTCTTTAAATCTCATATTTCTTCACAAATTTTTTAATGTTTTATTTTCCCATTCCTGTCATTTCAGATTACCTAACACTTAGTAAATAACAAAAGAACAGATTTTTGTGACTTACTCACCCAGTTGAGCAGTCTAAACATGGGAGCTGATACTCATTTTCCATTCACCAAGGTTTCACCACTACCCAGCATTAGAATTAGAAAAGTACTTACAAAGAACCTGAAGAAATGAAATTCCTCTCCATGTTCACTACCCTGATTTGTAAACATCATCCCAAAATTGGGGGTAAATAATGTGCTTATAAGGCAGCAGGAGACAATGCTGGTGGTGTTACCTGTTGGCTTAAGAATATCAGATTCTGGAAACTCATCGAAGTTTGAGGTATCATCAATGCTTTTGATTTCAATAGATATTGCAGCAGGTCTCTCTCTGCCAAGAATACACATGCCAAAAATTACTAAGTTAGTAATCAAATGGATCATACCAATCAAGTCTTTCTCCAAAAAAGACCCCTGGTCTGACATGAGAAGACTCTTCACTGGCAGGCAGCATTTATTTTCTCTGAAAAACTTATAAACACTGACCAACCAAGCCAACTGACTGTACCCAAAGTAAATTATGATTTTAAAAAAATAACTCAATCATTCATAGCTAGAAAGAAAGATAAGAATAACTAAAACGTGAAGTTAGTGCAACTCCCCCCATGGCCTGGCCTGTCTACTAAAAAGGGAAACTGAACCTCTAAATGTCCCCTTGTGTAGGGCTCTGCCCTTCTTCCACTGGAGGTGCCAAGTAGGATGGCTAGAAAAGTGGCAAAGGTAAAAAATCACAAGCAGCAAATCAGTACACAATTATAAAATAAATGAAAACTTCACCTTCTATTTAATAACCAATGAATGCTGAATGAGAAGGTCTGGACTACAGCAGGTGGTCTAGGCTCTCACGGCTATTGGCCGTAGTCTACTACCCCCACCATAACAATTTTCACTCTCCCTTTCCCTCTCCACTTCCACCCCTCCAATCTTTCCTCCACTCCTTTCTCCCTTCTCTATGTTCCAGTGATACCTTCCACCCTGTGGGCAGGAACAGTCCCGCTGGCGGGACCTAAGAGGTTGCTGAGTTCTAGGTAAAGGGTAATACGCTTCCTAGATGCTCCCTCCACCTCAAAAAACAAAGTTCACTTCACTTTGTAAATAACTGCTAGATTCAATATATTCCATGACACACGGCTGACAAAAAATCTAATGCCCAATCTTCACCATGAATGAAAATCAGGAAAAGACCCTAAATCTCTAAGAAGCTCTCTTCCCTTACTTGGCTTGCCAATGATGGTCCTTCCAAATTATTATTAAGTAAACTAGAGACTTTCTGAAATAATTCTGAAAGTGTTTATATGGATATACCTGATATGTTCCCAGTCAACGCCTTCAAAAAAAGAGTTACTTTTTATTTCCTCAACTCCAGGAGCTCCAATTCTATGTTCCCATTCACAGCAGAACCTGGAAAAGACAGAGGCCTTTCAGCACATCTCAAGCAGTCTCCTCAGAAAAAGAAAAACTTTCTTTTTTTTTTTTTTTTTTTGAGACAGCATCTCACTCTGTCACCCAGGCTGGAGTGCAGTAGCACAATCATGGCTCACTGCAGCCTCAACTTCCTGGGCTCAAGGGATCCTCCCATCTCAGCCTCCCAAGTGGCTGGGACCACAGGTTCCACCACACCCAGCCAATTTTTTCTTTTTAGAGGTGGGGTTTTGCTGTGTTGTCCAGGCTGGTCTCAAACTCCTGGGCTCAAGTGATCCCCCTGCCTCAGCCTCCCAAAGTGCTGGAATTATAGGCGTAAGCCACCATGCACAGCCTTTTTATTTGTTTAAAGAGAGGAATAGGAGGAAACAGAAAGCAGATTCAGGAGATAACAAAAGTTTTTAAAAAAATGGAATCATTCATATTAAAAAGCTGAGAAAGAAGGTGGAGGGATGTTCTCTAATACCTCAAAATTAGATCCTTGGCTTTCTCAGAGATGGGAACTTCTGGAGGAAAAGTCAAAGTTTCTTTCCAGTTCATCACCTTCTTATATGTCTCTTGAGGGGTCTCAGAACAGAAAGGTGGGTAGCCTGTAATAAAAAAGGAACTTCGGAGCTTTTACACTCCAGAACTTTGAATCTGACCGAGATTACTCTCCTTAATAAAATTCTATGTCTTTTTTTTTCTTTTTTCTTTTTTTTTTTTTTTTGAGACAGGGTCTCACTCTGTTACCTAGGCTGGGGTGCAGTGGCACAATCATGGTTCACTGCAGCCTTGAATTCCTGGGCTCAAGTGATCTTCCTGCCTCAGCCTTCCCAGTAGGTGGGACTACAGAAGAGCACCACCACACCCAGCTGATTTTTTATTTTTCTTTTGTAAAGACAGAGTCTTGCTATGTTGATCAGGCTTATTTTGAACTCCTGGGTTTAAGAGATACTACCACCTCGACCTCCCAAAGTGCTGGGATTACAGGCATAAGCCACTGTGCCCGGCCTGATTCTGTATGTCTTTAATGACTACTGGATTACTCTGTATGGCCATCCCTCCATGACACAGACAGGATTTCCACTTATCCCAGAAAATACCTAAACCTATTTTTCATTTTCCCCCAAACTCCCAGACCCAAAGTGAAATCATGCCTCTGGTACCACTAGGAAGTCAGCTAATAGGTAGAGCTGGGAAAAGAAAGGAGGACATAAATAGAGTTGCAGGTGTGGGAATCACCATGCCCAAAGAAGAAATGAAAGGATGAAACAATATCATTCCAGAAATACCCTTATATGGGTAAAGTACCAAATAACTTGAATAAGAAAAAAGCATAGATTTTAAAAATGACCACCATGCCTCTTTTTGAGAACTACAGGCAAGAAGACAAACACGCACACACCCTATCACCCCATCTTCCCTCCAGACGGTGTACGCCCACCTCCACAGGCATCGTTCCCATGTTCCTGAAGCCAAAGCAGCCAGATAGACTCACCCGGAACCACCAAGGATATACTTAATCTAGTGCTCACTGGCATATGACCACCCCCACAGATGCGTCCCATAAATACAGAGACACACCAATACAATAAGAGGGAGAGAGGCCAGAGGGTCCCATGATTTGAAGGCTTTGACAGAGGAAGGGGGCGGCAAATTAGGAAAGTGAGGCAATGCCCAGTTGAAGTGCTCTGCATACAACGGATATTTAATAAATGCTAGTGACTAAAAGAGCTTCTAGATGGAGAAGATGAAGGTATAAGAGAAAGAAAAACATAAAAAATGATCAGCAAAGCAATTGCAGGATGCCAGTAAGCCCAAGAATGGAGTGGGATACATCTTACTGAAAGAGGTGTCATCTGTCTAAAACAATTCACTTTGAAAGACAAGTAGGGAAATCACTTAGATCACTGCCAATTGAAACAGAGGCTGGTATCAATGTAAAAGTCTGTCATGGATGCACAGAAAAAGTCCTCTGAAACCATGCAACTTACCGATGAGCATCTCATACATGATCACCCCAAGCGACCACCAATCACAGAGCTTGTTGTACCCGGTCTGCATGAACACCTCAGGAGCAATGTAGTCAGGAGTGCCTACTGTGGAGAAGGCCTGAAACATGGACCACACATCAGCGAGGCCCAGCCAGGCAGGAGGTGCCCAGAGTTCTGTTCTAGAAACCAAAGGCTATGAGTAACATCAGAAGCTACCCCCAAGCTAAATAAGCAGGACTGCCCAGTAGCTTAATGGCAAGCTCGATTTCCCAAAGCACTTTCCAAAATGAACAATAAAGCTTTGTTCATGAGGCAGGAGACCCTTAACTATGAGTCACTAGGGCGAAGGCATCTGTGTCATAATAACTGGTATTACAATTTACTGAGCACCCATTAAGTACTAGGCTCTGTACTTAATATATATATTACATGAGTTTTATATATATATATAACTTCATATACATGAGTCCATTTAATCCTGACAAAACTTTTCCAAGGAGGACCTTATTAGCTTAACTTTGCAGATACAATTTGATGCTCAAAATGGCTTTGCCTGAGACCGCAGAACTAGTTAGGTGGTAGAGCCCAGTTTAAAAATTAAATATCTGGCCGGGAGTGGTGGTTCACGCCTGTAATCCCAGCACTTTGAGAGGCTGAGGTGGGCGGATCACGAGGTCAAGAGATGGAGACCATCCTGGCCAACATGGTGAAAACCCGTCTCTACTAAAAATACAAAAATTAGCTGGGCGTGGTGGTGTGCACCTGTAGTCCTAGCTTCTCGGGAGGCTGAGGCAGGAGAATCGCTTGAACCCGGGAGGCGGAGGTTGCAGTGAGCCGAGATCGTGCCACTGCACTCCAGCCTGGCGACAGAGTGAGACTCTGTCTCAAAAAAAAAAAAAAAAAAAAATAGGAATTATAGTATCTTACTCCAAACCATCCCTCTTTCTATGATACACATTCTTTGATTTGACACAATCATAAAGGGAAGCTATATGATCAAAAGCTAAAGTTATATCCTATAACTTAAACATTTATAAATACCTATTTACCAAACTTAATTGTTTTTGTATATAGTTCTTGGAGGAATGTTTTCTTTTTCTAAGAAATGGGGGTCTCCCTTTGTGGGCCCAGGCTGGAGTGCAGTGGCACGATGATGGCTCACCTCAAACTCCTAGGCTCAAGAGATCCTCCCACCTCAGCCACCATAGTAGCTAGGACCACAGGTGCATGCCACCACACCTGGCTAATTTTTTAATTTTTTTGTAGAGATGGGGTTTTGCCATCTTGCCCAGACTGGTCTTTAACTCCTGGCTCAAGTGATCCTCCCACCTCAGCCTCCCAAAGTGCTGGGATTACAGGTGTGAGCCACCGCACCTGACCAAGAGAAACATTTTCTGCATTCCAGTATTCTACTCTAACATACCAGGACTGCAAAATAAGAGGAGAAAGTACAATCAAAGCCTCCTAATGTACTTAACATTTGAGGGCTTCCATGTGTAAGGCTCTGATCTAGGTGCTTTAAATATTATATAATTTTTTAAATTACAGTTGTATTGTTTTTAAAACATGTATTATGAAATATTACAAACATACAGAAAAAAGGAACAGACAATACAATACAGACCCATTACCCACATTAAAAAGATTAATAATTTGCCATATTTGTCTCAGATCATTTGTCTTTTTTTTTTTTTTTGAGATGAACCACACCTGGCTAATTTTTTGTATTTTTAGTAGAGACAGGGTTTCACCACATTGGCCAGGCTGGTCACAAACTCCTGACCTCAAGTGATCCACCCACCTCAGCCTCCCAAAGTACTGGGATTACAGGAGTGAGCCACCGCAACCGGCCTTGTTTGTCTTAACATTCGTTTTGAGATTTATTCATGTAGCTCTAGTTCACTCATTTCTCTGCCGTATGCTATACTGTTATATAAATTAGTCACAATAGTTTTTATCCGTTCTTCTGTAATGGACAGTTACAGTGCTTCCAGTATTTCACTATGACAAATAACACCTGAATAAACATTCTTTTAATACCTTCTTGGGCACTGTGCAAGCATTCCTCTAGAGTATTAACTAGAATATTGCTGAGCCTTGGGTTATAAGCATTTAAACTTGAGGTATCTTCCATGTCCTCCAAAGTAGTTAGTCCCTATTTAAACCAACCCCGGTGGGGATTAGCTTCTGGTACTCCATATCTCATCAAGACTTGGCTTTGTCAGATTTTTTTTTATTTTTACCAATCTGATGAATATGAAATGGGATCTCTTTTTTTTTCTTTTTAAGAGATGGGGTCTTGCTCTGTCACCCGGGCTGGAGTGCAGTGGTATGATCATAGCTCACTGCAGCCTTGAAATCCTGGCCTCAAGGGATTCTCCTGCCTCAGCCTCCTGAGTAGCTGGGACTGTAGGGATGTGCCAGCATGGCTGGGATCTTGTTTTAATTTGCATTTACTTTATTTCAAGTAGGGTTGAGCACATATTCATATTTTAATTAGCCATCCAGGTTTTTATTATGAATTCCTATTCAGATCCTTTGTCCATTAGTATTTTTTAAGTTGTGTTGTCCTTTTTCTTATTGATTCATAGGAATTCTTTATGAATTCAGGACATTAATCTGTTTAAGATATTTGTATACTGCAAGTATCTTCTCCCAGATTGACGCTTGTTATTTTTATTGTGATTTTTTTAATGAAGTAGTATTTGTTACCAAAAGTAAATATGTCACATACATACATCTGTTAATTACATACATTATCAAATTATAATGCATAATCATGAAAATGAATAGCCACGAGTTCAACTGAAGAACCAAGGAATACCAATATTATTAAAGCTAAACATGTACTCCTCCTCGTCTCTCCTGCTTCTCTTAACCACTATGCTGAATTTCGTGTTTTGTCACTCCTCTGCTTTTAAAAAGAATTTTGCCATCTATCTCTCTAAATGAGATCTTAGTTTTATTTTTGAGCTTTATTAAAATGGTACCATTCTATATACAGTCTTCTGCTATTAGATTCTTCCTCTCAACTTTGTTTCTAAAATTGATTCACACTGTCACAAGTAGCTGTTCGTTCAATTATTTTTACTGCTGCAAAATATTCTATTCCAGAATGTAACTGTTTTCCTGTGGATGGACACTGGATTATTCCCAGTCTTTTGCTATTATGAAAATGCAATAAACATTCTTCTGAATGTCTCCTGGTTCACATGTGCAGTTTCTCCAGGGCCTATGACTAGGGGTAGAATTGCAGCGCTGTAGGGTGTACACATGAATTCTGAAAGATAATTCCAAAGTAGCTGTACTGTGTGGCTTGTCTTTTCATTTCTTTACGTCTTTTGATATATAGAAGGTTTTTTTTCCTTAAAGTAATAAAATAAACCAACTTTTTCCTTTATGAGCTGTAGTTCTTGTTTAAGAAATCCCTCTTTACTCTGAGGTCATAAAGATATTGCCCTGTATTTTCTTTAAAAATTTTTAAAGTTTAATTTCCCATCTAGAATTGACTTTTGCATATACTGTAAGGTAGGGATCCATTTTTTCCATATAGCTAAGTGTGTGTGTGTGTGTGTGTTTGTGTGTGTATGATATATATTTAAATGCAGATATTAACACAAATGCCAGTGTTGTCTTTTGTCTTTAAGCTTTAAAAACTGACATGTGGATTAGGCCCTCTCCAAGAATTTTCATTCTAATCATAAAGGTAAGAAATTACAAACTCTTTAATTTAGAGATGAGGTTTACTCTACCAAAGATGAATGTAAATCTAAGCAGATCTTACTTGTTCAAAGATTTCCATTATAAAACCAGAGGTCTACTGCCAGAGGAAAAGAACTCCTTCAAGATACCAGTGCATTAAAAAAAACTCTTAACGAGTTATAAAATATAGCAAACAACAGGCTCAAACCTGTGAAGGTAAAAGTATTGCTCTTATTCCAGAAACTAGAGTCTGCCACTGGAGCTCGCTCGCATTTTACCACACTTTTTACCACACCATCTGTACCAGGTGTGCCCTTTCCAATCTAAGGACTGCCCCCTTCCCAAACCTTTGTTGTTTTCCACACCAGGGTGTCCTCCAACTCCAACCTCGTAAATCTGTACTCCAGTTTCTCCTTTTTTCTGTCTGGGTATTTCAAGTGTCAATGAAAATTGCTATCTGGAATAGCTCTGTTGGTTGTTAACAGTCATTTCAACTGAATGTGTTCTAACCTTATGATTTTGTGTCAGGGTTTTAGAAGAAATAAAGCAATTTAATTTCCTACTCACTTCTGTAAATTCAACCCTAAAAAATTAAACTGACCAAGATTGGATGCCTATGTGTCTATTACCTTTTATATCTGTAATTAACTTAAAGCTGACTCATATTAATCAGTTACTGGGGCCTAAGGTTATACAGGACGACATAACAATTTAAAACATTACAATATGATTTAAGCAGCCGAGGAATGAAGCTAAAGCCTCTACTTTTTTTAGTGATTCCCAATGGACTAAAAAGTAATAGGCTGAGTAGCAATTACATATGTTAGGCTTAACCTAGAGCAGTAAATTTATATTAACCATTAACGAATATCAATCTTCAGCTTGGTACTAGCTGAATGGGATCACTAACAAAAGGTCAAAGTAACACAGTTAATTAACATTTGGAAGACTGAGAGGTGGCTTCATTTTCTTCAAGTTATGAAAAGAGATAATATGAAGATGACCTTAATTTACACTTTCCCATTTCTACTGTATATAGTATAAAAAGGCAAGAACCTTAACCATAGCATCAGGGCCTTAAGTTTATTCAGATTTTCAAAAATGTTTTTAACTATTAAATGACATTTAACTGCAAATACGAAAATTGTGAAATTGCTTTCCTTATAGAACTATAGAAATGGTTCCTCTAATCATGACATGACCCTTGGGTACACATCAAAGAGCACAAAGCTTGTCTTGGAATATAAGGAACAATTCAAAACACTTAAGCTTTATCCCCAAAATACTTGTCAGCACAGTAGCCAAAGGTTAAATCCTGGCCTCCAAAAAAAAAAAAAAAAAAAAAAAAGAAAGAAAGAAAAGAAAGGAAAGAAAGAAAGAAAAGAAATCACAGATTCCTTACCTTCTGTTTCCAAAAAATAGATAAATATTAGTTTCCCAACAACGCAGGAGCTATTATTTAAGACATAACCTCTTCAGTGGAGGTTCTCCACATTCACTGCACAGTAGAATCACTCAGTCTTTTAAAAACCAGATACCCAGACTATATCCCAGACCAACTGAATCATAATTTCTGTGGGTGGAACCTGGACATCAACATGTTCTGAAGTTCCCCAAGTGATTTTGTTGTGCAACCAAGGTTAAAAACTACTCCTCTGTGGAGAGACATAATAGAAGCATCTGACCAAATTTGTTCCTGACACTCCCTAATCCTCAACAAGATAAACCATTTTTCAACCACATACAGAATTCAGAAGTTTAAAGAGTCGCAGAGTTCCCAAGGAAGGGAGACTATTTTGTAACTAACTGTACTAAACTGAAGATTTCCCAAGTAAATATTGTCTGAGGCCCCACTGATAGGTGGGCTTCAAATAAATCAAAACGAATGCAAGGCTTTCCTTTGACTCTTCCTTAAACCATCCCATAGGCTTCCATTTTCACATGTAACTGACATCCACCTATTAGTGACCTACTAAGAGTGTTATTAAAGGTACTCTAGAGAACTGTAAATCAGTATTTTACTAGGAATTCTGACTGAAACACAGTATTTGGTAAACTTGCCAAGTTACTACCATATATGTGGGCAAACGGAAGTGCTACCATTTCCAGACAATACATTTGCATGACCATCATTCCAAGTTAGTCAGTTTCCCATTGCTGCTACTCTGCTTTCTAATGACCAAATGTTAGTTTGGCTTTACCATCATCAATTTCATTTGCTATGGGTTTCTTGCAAAGCTTAAGAATGTAGTGATACGCATTTCTATTATCTGGCCAATAACTTTCCAGTAACTGGACACTGGAACATGTACACTGAACTTCAAACATGAACCAATTTATCAGCTATTGGCAAAAAATAAATTCTGCTTAGACAGCAATATTTCACTGGTAAATTTGTACTTCCAACATACTATCAAGGTAAACACGATGTTTCTTATTTTTCAGCCTGTAGGACATAATTTTATATAGGCACAAAGTCAAATGCATATAAAGTAATAAGCATTCCCTTTATATTTCTCTCCAATCTTTATAAGTAAGTTCTTTTTTACATCACAAAGTCAGAAAGTGTGAGGCAAATGAATTGAGGAGTCTTGACTTGCCCTTGCCCGAGTGGATCAAAATTTTTAAAAAGTTTGAGAATTGATGCCTGAAAACTCTAAGTAGGTATTTGTACTTAGTTCTGACAGATCTCCAGCTTAAATATAACCCCTTTACCACTATGAAAATGGAGAAAAGGTGGGGCAGGAAGGAAAGGTATTGTTACCAAGCTAAAAGGTCAGAATGAGGTCGCCCACGGAAAATGTCACAATCAAAACAACCTAATATTACCTGTCCTCCTTCAAAAGATTCCTTTCGGTCCTACCAACCTAACAACAGCACTCTCTTTAGGTAATCTTAAAAGCAAGGGATATGTTGCAAATATTTGTCAAATGCAAATTTATGTGAAAATCTTTTGAACTTATTCATACTTGGTTTGTAGCATTTCAGAAGCCACAGATATTACTTACTAGCTGACGTCTATTTCTTTTCCAGGTTTCTGCTTTCCTTTTGGAATTCATGTTCTGGAAAGCTGAAAGTAAAGAATACAAGCTGCAGTCAAAGTTCAGACCAAAATGTTTACTACTTTTTTTAGTAGGCTCTTTCAAGTCACATGAGACCCTAAAGTCTTGCTTTTCTTCTACTCATACATCAAAAGCTCCAGATGATACATATCCTAGTACGTTTACA
The DNA here is from genome assembly GCF_000001405.40 of Homo sapiens. Classification (NCBI taxonomy): domain Eukaryota; kingdom Metazoa; phylum Chordata; class Mammalia; order Primates; family Hominidae; genus Homo; species Homo sapiens. The sequence continues at coordinate 36,506,803 of NC_000006.12, forward strand.
GTAAACCCAAATCAGAGGCTGTAAAGCATTAACTTAAAAGACTCACACAGAGTTGTAAAAGGCACTCCCATGTGGATCAAGTGGCAGAGGATACAGTACAGGACTTAATCAGAATTACAGGGAATTCAGTCTCAACTAGAATTGAGGTCCTAACGTGGACCTAAAACAGTCACAATTTCTCAAAATTACCATCAATTTTCCAAGTAGTAGTAACTTATATGATCAGGGACATCTGAATTTATGATACATGATTTGACATATGCTTTTCTAGGATGAACTGAAATTTTACTACATAGTTGTCAACGATTTCATAGTGCTCAAATGGAAGTGACTGTCATAAAGATAAACTTCTTTCTGTCATGAAGGACAAATCTAGCCCAGGACAAATCTAGCCCAGAACTGTTCCCAGGAGTTTTTCCTCTACTACTTCTGCTTGCTTGTCCCATACTCATCCCCAGTGACCTTCCCAGTAGACCTCTAAAGACCCCTTTCAACCTCTGCCTTCACACACTTGGTACCCACTCATTCATCTTGCCTCACCAGACAACACAAATCACAGGCAAACCTGGGAAGGTATTTTTATTCTCTACATACTCAAAGTGTGAGAATCTCCTATCTGTTCTAATTTGGTTACAAGGGAAACAGCTCTTCTAGGCCCAGTTAGAACGAAAAGGCTAACGTAATTGTTACCACTTACTGAAATCACTGGGGAGGCTGTGGTTCAGATTCCTATAAAATTCTGTCCTATGTGCTTTTTTCAGTCCTGTGCAAAGACCAAAGTCAGAAAGTTTCACATGGCCCTATGGGGAAGAAACAAGGTGATAGATGGATGAGTATTCTTGGAGGTAGAACAGAACATTACGTTCTGCTCCTTCCAGCATCCATTATAGCTCTACAGCCAAAGTACACTGCTCCTTCTTTTATGATAGGAAAAATCATGTAATTGCAGATAAATTTTTTAATCCCAAATCCTATTATACTAATAAAACTATTTTCATTTCTGCATATCATCTTTGGTTTTATCCAAATACTGATTTTTAAACATAGCTGACCCCTCCATAGCATCTAGAGACAATTTTACTACTTCTTGTACTCAAATATTCCTCTGTTTCTATATGGTATTCAGAATTTTTTTTTTTTTTTTTTTTTGAGACATGGTCTTGCTGTGTCACCCAAACTGGAGTACAATGGCGTGATCATGGCTCACTGCAGCCTCGACCTCCCAGGTTCAAGCAATCCTCCCAACTCAGCTTCCTGAGTAGCTGGGACCTCAGTTGTGTGCCACCACGTCCGACTAATTTTTTTTTATTTTTTGGAGATACAAGGTTTCCCTGTGTTTCCCAGGCTGGTCTCAAACTCCTGAGGTCAAGTGATCCTCCCATCCCAGCCTCCCAAAGTTCTGAGATTATAGGCATGCGCCACCACACCTGGCCAAAATTACCACTTTAAAAGTCTACATAATATTCAGTTTACTTGGGACTTCATTGTTTACCTTACCATCCCCCTAATACTGGATGTGCATTCCATTTTCAATTCTTAGCTCTCATATAACATGGATTATCAGGTCCCCTCTGACAGAGTCTGTATTCCCAGACCTAACCGGGCATGATTCAGGATGACCTTAATAAATGGTTGTTAAATGAAGAGTAAATCTTTTCAAAATTGTTCATATAGCTTTTCCTCCTCTTATAACATTGGAATAAATTCCAGGAGTAAACTGTTTCAAAGACAAAGGGAATAAATATTATTGGATAGTCCTTGATAAATGCTATTGCCATGAGATCCTTGGGCTTCTAGCCAGAAGCCTCTGTGGTCATTGATGCCTTTACCCGAGTTTTGCTCAGGTCCGCTGGGCTCATTCCGCCCACTCAGCCTGGCAGGCTTGTGCTACCAGCGCGGATCCCAAGCCTGCCAAGGGCAAGAAAAGCACAGAGTGGCAAGGCGTGTGTGAGTGAGTGCGGGGTCCAGCCACTGCACACAGCCAGGCACACCGGTGGCCACTGCACACAGCCAGGCAGAGCAGGTAGCTCCAGGTGCCAGCATAGTTGCTGGCTCCATGCAAGCCTGCAGCTGGATGAGATGCACTGCAAGCGGCTTCTGCTGTGGGCACCTGCATCTGGACGAGGGGAATGCAGTGGCACCTGGAAGCTTGGAGATGCCAGAAACCGCAGAGCCCTAAAGGGGGTGTCACAGCACTGGCTCAGGAAGCCCCTAAGTCTGGGCTCCTGGAAGGGCCGCCGCTCTTCTCTCCTTCTTGTTGCCTGCAACACGGCGAGCAAGGGAGACATATTTCAGCCCTGTTTGTGTTACCGCTCTTTCAGCCCCACCATTTGACAGGTCCCAGGTTCTTGTCCTGCATTCAGGAACAATGAGGTATACGGACAACTGGAGCATGAACAAGGTGAAGAGGAGCTTTACTGAGCGACAGTACAGCTCTCAGGAGACCCAAAGTGGGTTGCTCCTTTCCGCAAGCAGGTCATCCTGACATCTGTGCAGCCCTCAGTGCAGAAAAGACCCAGAGTGGGTACCTCCCAGACGCAGGCAGGTCATCCCATCTGCCGGGGTTCGGTAAGGGTGGTGAGAAAAATTGTAGAAAGAAGCAAACCTTCTTAGAAGGCTGGGAAGTTTTACAAAAGCTTCAGAAAAGGATTTGGCCGAAAGCAGCCAGATTCTCTTATCCGGTGCCTGAAAGCTTAGGTTAGATAACAAGGGGATGTAAAGAAACTGATGTAGATAAGTTAGTTTACTTAGGCCTCGGAACCTGGACTTTAATAAATCGAGGCGCAGGACTGCTCTCTCCGGAGATGAGGTGGGGGTGGGGGGGTGATGACCATGTTAATTACCCACAATGACTCAAGGCCTTTGTCATTAAATCTGTACTAAATAGTTGCCCGCAGCACCAGCTTGTCAGGGCCGAGGCTGCTACAACTCTTTCTGTAGGCAGTCCACTCCCCTAGCCCGCTCTTTCACTGGATATCTGTGTCGGAGTCCATTTTTTTCATCTATCGCTCGGTCGCAGTCTGCAGTTTGGACCTGGCACCCATCAAGTCTGTAGCCCTTAGGAGACCCGGAGTAGATAGCTCCTTTCTGCAGCAGGTCGTCTGACCATCTGCCAGAGTGTGAGTCCAGGGTTTGTATGGGTTTCAAAAGAGAGAAAGTACGTGCTGATTGGTCCACAGGTGGCCACAGGCAGGCCCGGAAAAACCACCGCAAGTTCTTACTCTGGGCCACAGACTCCAGCCCGAACTGACAGCTTGGCCCTCAGGCTTCAGGCCATCCCTGGCTTGAAGGTGGGGCTTCGCCAGGGACCCACCCCTTTCCACCCAGGAGCCTCTCTGCCTCTTATAGCCATCAATCATTTTGTCCACAGCACCCAGGCTGTTGGTGCAAAGGGGCATCTACAGACCTGCACCCAGGTGCTCTCCTCCCCTGCTTGGCCTCCCTCTCATGCTTCTTGGCACCCAAAGTCCAGAGGGAGCTGAGGCTGCAGGGGGCTAGTGTGTCAGCACCGCCCCAAGTGTGCGCACACCTGACCAGGTCTCAGTAGAACCCAGGCTCGGCCTCAACTTTGCTCTGAAATTGGAGTGGACACCAGGAGCACAGAGAAGTCAGGCAGCAGGAGCAGGTACTTCCAAGCTCATGGGCTTCTGGGATGCCCAGGTCTGCAGCTGTGGTTGGGCAACTGCAACTGTGCCTGGGAGGGCAGGGCTCCCGCTTGTTCCCAGCTCCTGCCAGCTCCATGGAGCACACAGCCCTGACCGCACCTCCCCCACTGCAGCTGGCATCTTCCCAGCAGAGGCTCCAGACAGGCCACCGCTGCCATTATGACCATGCTGTATTCCAATCATAAATCTCTTAACTTTATAATTTTCATAAAGGAAAACACACACCTTCTATGAGTCAGGCACCTTGATCAATGCTTTGTGTTGTCTCATTTAAAACTCCTAAACCACACATCACAGACTCAGAGCTGTTAAATGGCTTGCCGTTAAAATGGCGGAACCAAAAGCAGAAATCAGCCCATGCTCTTCCTCCCAGACCAGGATTACTTTACCCTGCCATCTTATCTCATCTGGAAAATGAGAGTACAGATATCTTTCTGGCAGGAATGGGCATTAATGCATGTAAGACTCCCAACACAGTATCTGGCATATAACTAGCCCTAAGGAAAAAGTAGGTGTCTTAGGGTGGCAAAATTTTAAGATGGAGAGTTGAAATCAAAAATGTAAGAGGGAATCCTGATGCTCAGAGATCTACCTTGCTCAGGGTTACACAATCAGAAGTGGTGTGGCCAAAATTTGAGCCCAAATGACTTCAATGTCTGTGGTCTTTCCAGAATACCACCTTTCTCAAGGACATCATCAGGCTTAAACATACAAATTTTCCAAAATACAAGGCTACAGGAGCCCTGCTCAGATGGGTCAAATTTTATTATGTTTTGTTTTAAAAGAAATCCAATTAGGTTTGGATGTGTGTATGTACATATGTACACAGCAAGGTAAACTGCCAAACAGGGACAGCTTTGAGCCTATTAAACTCAGTATCTTTTTTTTTTTTCTTCTTTTTCTTTCTGAGACAGAGTCTCGCTCTGTTACCCAGGCTGAAGTGCAGTGGCGCCATCTTGGCTCACTGCAACCTCTGCCTCCCGGGTTCAAGAAATTCTCTGCCTCAGCCACCTGAGTAGCTGGGATTACAGGTGCCCGCCACCACATCTGGCTAATTTTTTTGTGTTTTTAGTAGAGACAGGGTTTTACCACCTTGGCCAGGCTGGTCTTGAACTCCTGACCTCATGATCCACCCACCTCGGCCTCCCAAAAAGCTGGGATTACAGGCGTGAGCCACCACGCCTGGCCTCAGTATCTTTTTTTGCAGATTTGCAAGTAACTTACTCTACAAGCCAAGGAAGTTTATAGTTCTCATGATTACATATCTTACCTGGACAACTCTAAGAAAGGACTAAGAAAAACTGTTTTTGGCTGGGCACAGTGGCTCACGCCTGTAATCCCAACACTTTGGGAGGCCGAGGCAGGTGGATCACCTGAGGTCAGGAGTTCAAGACCAGTCTGGCCAACAGGGTGAAACCCCATCTCTACTAAAAATACAAAAATTAGCTGGACATGGTGGTGCACGCCTGTAATCCCACCTACTTGGGAGGCTGAGGCAGGAGAATTGCTTGAAACTGGGAGGCAGAAGTCACAGTGAGCCAAGATCACATCACTGCACTCCAGCCTGGGTGACAGAGTGAGACTCCACCTCAAAAACAAACAAACAAAAAAAGCAAGAAAGAAAGAAAGTAAAACTTTTTAAAAGCAGTTCCTGGAGCAAATGCTATTCAAGCCTAGCCTTTCAGGGAATTCTATAGCTATTCTGAATATGCAACAGGAACTCAAAACTCCTACATTTTTAGGACTATAATCTATGTGGCTGAACACAAATCAACCTGCTTATGAGAACATTTTGCTACAAGTGTGAGCTAGCATAATATAAAGGGCAAACCTGCACCTAACAGGATCCCCCATTCCTCTTCAGTTAGACCGAATCCTCAAGTTCTTTAATATGGTTGCTGGATCTGAACATAGACTACAGGGGACAAAGAAGCCAGCACTAAGCTACCTGGGGCACCAACCAGGGCATCTGAACTTTGAATCACACAAGGTAGGGCCAGTGCTTTATTAAACATATATCTGACATTAATGACACAGGAAAATATCTAGCATTAATATTTTAATGTTTACACAGAATACAAAGCTATTTACTTTTAGGATGCCAACTTTATATAAATGATTGACACAAACAGAAAGGCATCAAAGTGATTACAACAAAATGGTTATCTTTCAGTGATTAGATTATAGGTAATCTTTCTTCTTTTTTTTTTGAGATGGAGTCTCGCTCTGTTGGCCAGGCTGGAGTGCAGTGGCACGATCTTGGCTCACTGCAACCTCCGCCTCCCAGGTTCAAGCTGATTCTCCTGCCTCAGCCTCCCGAGTAGCTGGGATTACAGGCACGTGCCACCACACCCAGCTAATTTTTTATTTTTAGTAGAAATGGGGTTTCACCATGTTGTCCAAGCTGGTCTCCAACTCTTGACCTCAGGTAATCCACCTGCCTTGGCCTACCAAAGAGCTGGGATTACAGACGTGGGCCACCGCGCCTGGCCAGCGTAATTTTTCTTCTTTAATACTGTCTGTAATGTTCAAATTTTCTACCATGTTTATGCATTATTATTATTATTTTTTAGATGGAGTCTTGCTCTGTCCCCCAGGCTAAAGTGCAGTGGTACGATCTCAGCTCACTGCAACCTCCGCCTCCTGGGTTCAAGTGATTCTCCTGCCTCCACCTCCCAGGTAGCTGGGATTACAGGTGCCCATCACTACACCCAGCTAATTTTTGTATTTTTAGTAGAGACAAGGTTTTATCATGTTGGCCAGGCTGGTCTTGAGCTCCTGACCTCGTGATCCACCCACCTTGGCCTCCCAAAGTGCTGGGATTACAGGTGTGAGCCACTGCGTCTGGCCTTTTTTTTTTTTTTTTGAGAAGGAGTCTCGCTCTGTCACCAGGCTAGAGCACAGTGGCATGATCTCAGCTCACTGCAACCTCCACCTCCCGGGTTCAAGTGATTCTCCTGCCTCAGCCTCTCAAGTAGGTGGGACTACAGGCACACTCCACCACGCCCAGCTGATTTTTGTATTTTTAGTAGAGATGGGGTTTCACCATGTTGGCCAGGATGGTCTCGATCTCCTGACCTCGTGATCCGCCTGCCTCGGCCTCCCAAAGTGCTGGGATTATTACAGGCGTAAGCCACCATGCCCGGCCCCGGCCTTTTTTTTAACCAGGCTCTTCCCATATCCCCGTCTCTGCTACACTCTCTAGCCTTTGATGTCCACTATTCTACTCCACTTCTGCACATTATAATGAAGAAAAAAGCAGGTGGTGGCTCACACTTGTAATCCCAGGACTTTGAGAGGCTGAGGTGGGAGGATCACTTAAACCAGGCAGTTTGAGACCAGCCTGGGCAGCAAAGCGAGACCTCATCTCTACTAAAAATTAAAAAAAAAAAAAAAAAAAAAAAAAGGCCAGGCTTGGTGGCTCACGCCTGTAATCCCAGCACTTTGGGAGGCCAAGGCGGGCAGATCACAAGGTCAGGAGATCGAGACCATCATGGCTAACACCGTGAAACCCCGTCTCTACTAAAAATACAAAAAATTAGCTGGGTGTGGTGGCGGGCGCCTGTAGTCCCAGCTACTCGAGAGGCTGAGGCAGGAGAATGGTGTGAACCCGGGAGGCAGAGCTTGCAGTGAGCCGAGACTGCCCTAGTGCACTCCAGCCTGGGCGACAGAGCGAGACTCCGTCTCAAAAAAAAAAAAAAAAAAAGGTACAGTGGTATGCACCTATAGTCCCAACTACTCAGGAGGCTGAGGCAAGAGGATCCCTTGAACCCAAGAATTAGATTGCAGTGAGCTATAACTGTGCCACTGCACTTCAACCTGGATGACAGAATGAGACCGTCTCAAAAAAAAAAAAACAACTTCAGGTTTTTCAAGGACAGCAAAGCAAAAAAGTCACCAAAAGACTTCAAAGAAGAAAAATACCCTAGAAAATAAATTTACTTTTCACCTTACAAGAAAAATTCAGTCAAGACAACAAGTCTGCTTAACAGAAAACAACATTCTAGAGTTTTAGAGGTGAACGGGATTTTAGGGGTTTCCTAGATCAGTATTTTCACTTTACGGATAAGAACAGTGAGATCCAGGTGGTAAAGAGATTTGCCAAGGGTTATCTAGCAAGTTAGTTGGCAGCACAGGGATTATCTTCTAATTTGCTGTAAGTTTAGGAACTAGGCAACTACGCTTATCTGCATGTCTAAAAATAAAAATAAACAGGCCATTTAAGAGGCTGGGCAGGGGCGTGGTGGTGCATGCCTGTAATCCCAGCTACTTGGGAGGCTGAGGCAATGAGAATCGCTTGAACCCAGGAGGCGGAGGTTGCAGTGAGCTAAGATCGCGCCACTGCACTCCAGCCTGGGCAAACAGGGTGAGACTTCATCTCAAAAAAAAAAAAAAAAAAAAGAGGCTGGGCAGGACTCTTCTTTAAGCAGAGAGCATGATTTGGAACCTGGACTTTGTTACAGGTTCTTGTTGTTACTGCATTTCCTGCTTCTTGGCTGGGTTCCTCATTAACTGATGAGGTTGCCCAACAGAAGGGCTCTAGATAGGTGATGTATTAGTAACACAGTTAATTATATGCTAAGAGAAGGTGACTATCTTTGGCTTTATTACAAAATTGCCCTCTACATCAATTTTGCTCTTATTTTCAAGTTTCCTTTATTTTTAAGAGAAATGTTCAACCAAATTACAGAACCATAGCCTTTCAGAGAAAGGAAGTGACAGCAAACTTACCTGTTTAAAAAAAAAAGGAAAATCATGACAAGGCAGGTCACAGCTCGCCCACTGGGATGACCACAGGGGTGCAGGTGTTAAAGCAGAGGCTGCTCAGATCAGTAAACGTGCATAGTTCATGCCAATGCCCCCCCAATACCTTGCTGTCCAAAAGAAGGTTGTCTGGTTTGATGTCTCTGTGGATGAATCCAAGTTGGTGAATAGAGTCTATGGCTAATACTGTTTCTGCTATATAAAACTGAGTCTCCTCTTCTGTCAGAGTGTCTTTTTTCATCAACAAGGTCATCATGTCCCCTGGAAACAAGAAGATACAAAGCCACCACACACACACACACACACACACACACACACACACACAACATACGAGTGAGTACCAATTTTCAGATATGTCTTCCCTATCTGCCAAAATAAGGCGGCTAAACAGACCTCTTCTGTGTGCCAGAGATAGACCCACATGGCCAACATGGGAAGAAATGGGATTTTCACACCTAAGCTAGCTAAGGTTGACCACTAAGCTGTGATTTCTATTTTACTTTTGAGAGAAAAAGAAAATTTCTCCCACACTTTAAAAAACAACTGTATTTGCTTAGGATAATTTTTTGGACTCGGGGTAAAATGCTACTTTACTTTTCACTTTGCCTGAACAAGTATCTGCAAGCTTTTCTGCATCTGTAACTAAATGGCACTTCCACATACAATCTATGTATTGTTATAGAGAGGCTGAAATGCCAAATAAAAATGTAAACACTCGGGCAGGCTGAAAACAAGCTTTCCAACTTCTATTCACAGAACACAAACAAATAAAAAGGAAGGACTTGGGTAGCAAAGCATTAGTCAACAAAAGCTAAAAATGAACTGAAAATGCTATACACTAGAATGTGCAATAACTGCCTCCTGGAAGAGTACAATGAACACCTCTCAAGGTCAGTGCTTTTTTTTCTCTAGTGCGTTATTATAGGTATTTAAATGGACACTAGTACCCTTTATGTAACTTTTAAAACACAGTATCAGTATTCTAGCAGTTAAAAGGTAACCTCGTTAGTTTTCTGCAAAGTCAAAATTTCATCATTTCTAATACCAGCAACATAAAATGGCAGAAAAAGATTCAGGTCCTAACTCAACAGTGAGAAATGCAAAGAAAATATGTATAAGGAGTTTAAAACTAAGAGAAACAGTAAAGATTCAGTTTAGACCTCACATAAAGTCACTTATGTTAGAAAACAAGGAAAAGAGAAAGAAACCTCTGATTTTAACAGAGCATCATGCTGCTTTTTCAGTTTCATTTCATTTAGAACATTATGTTTTGTATTATTGGAGAAAAGTAGCTATTTTTCCCTCAGGCAAAAATTAAACCATTTATTAAAGTGCTCTTTTTCAGTCCAATACTTAAAAAATATGATTTCCTAATCACTCCTGGCAGCCCTTCAATCTGGAGACCCACCAGACACATGGAGACAGTGCACTTGGGCTGCTACCCCAGTAAGGTAGCTATACGGCCTTAGTTCTGTGGCTCAGGAGAGCAGTCAATGGGGCCTCGCCTGTGCAAGTTTGCCCAGATGATTGGAGAGCTCAGGCCAGATGCTCTATGGCTCTGCAGGCCAGCTCCACCAAGTGCAAAGGGCAGGGTCCAGGAGACATGAGAAGCTACGGAAGATGGTACAGGTTGAGGCTTGAGGACACGTTAGGAGCTGGTAACCAAGTTGGCTCTTACTCTTATTTAAGAACTAGCATCTAAATGTTAAAAAAGTTTCTCCTCATTCTACCAGACTCTTTTCTAACATTAATCAACTGTTTATTTTTTATTAAATGTGTTTCTTTATTAAAAAGTATTGATGACCCTAAATCTAAGGGTTGTCACAAAATCAAAATATTATGCCACAATTATAGGAACAAAAAAGAAAAAAGTTCTCTCTCTTTTTTTTTCCCACCAGAGTTTGCTCAGAGTTCATCTGCTCACTGACAAACAGACTGCTTTCCTCAGAACAGATGGCATGTTCTGTTCTGGGTTTACTTTGGAGCTGTCTTAGGAGATGCTCATGCTGAGTTACATAAAACTTAAAATTTCAGAAATGAGAAATTTTTTCTGGCTACTAATATGGGTAACAAAAAATTCACTCCTTATTAATATGTTATACAAAAAGAAACAAAAATTTGGAGCAAAGGATGTTATAGCTTCAATGTTGTCACTTGGGTTATTGATCATATATGATTCCCATTGACAGGAGAGCAGGCAGAGCACCCTAATTTATTCCTATATATTTTAAAAAGAAGAAGAAAAGAAAGAAATGTCCATCTGAAATCATGTAAATGAATTAACAGGTTACTTTTATGGTACTAAGATTGTAGAAAGGCACCCCAGCACAAGACAGGTTACTGACTTCCTTTATAGACCTAAAAAAGGATATAGAAAGCAACTTTGTGAGCACATTTAAAAGTAGAAAGGAGGGTTAATCGTGATGTGAGAGAAAGAAACCACAGAACAAAAAGAAAAAATGACCTTTCATCGTCAAGTAATTACCTCCAGGCAGGAACTCCATGATTAGGTAGAGGTTTAGCTTATCCTGAAAACTATAGAACATTTTCACAACCCACAAACTGTCTGCCTCCACTAGAATGTCACGCTCCGCACGAATGTGGCCAACCTGGAGGTATATGCATTTGATTAATGACAAAGCTTGCTCTGCTTTATTAGATTGTATATTTGCTTAAACAATTTAAATACTGTGCTTAAATACTGTTTTGAGTATTTAATCGTGATGATATAAAAGATCCAATTTCTGCTTAGGCAAACCTACTAACTCAAAATTGACAACATTTGACTTCAAGGTATTCAGTGATGAAAACTTGAGTGATGAAAGGCTTTAAAAAATGGCAAAATGAATGGCTTTAATGCAAATAGCAACTTTAACACTGCTATAAACTGAATCTCTGATTAGTTAAAATTACTACTCTTTTGCATAGAGTTTTGTCTAATAATCTTTTATGATAAAAATAAGTCCCCAAAGTGAGACTCTCTTCCAAGTTCTTCCTCGGGTCTGCACTAGTATCTGCAACAACAGTGAGCTCACTGACAAATTCTAGAATGCTATGATACCACAGCATTTAGTTCACTGCTATGTGCTCAATCAATCCTTACTGAATTGAAATACAAGAACACCTATGAAAAGTTGTAGATTCAAATTAATGACATTTCCAATTTTATACTTTTACTGAAATACCTATAAAGGACCAAGTTGTAGAAAGTTTCAGAGAACCGGAATTATTTTGTTAAAGCAATGCTTTATTATCAAATTTACCTTATTTACTTTAAATGCAGAACAGTAATCAAACATCACTGCATATTATCAAATCCCCCCCACACACACTTTTTTTAAAACAAGATGGGGTCTCGCTCTGTCACTCCGGCTAGAGTGCAGTGGCGTGATCATAGCTCACTGAAGCCTCAAACTCCTGGTCTAAAGTGATCCTCCTGCCTCAGCCTCCTAAGTAGCTAGGATTATAGGTGTGTGCCACCATGCCTGGCCCCTCCCCTCTTTTTTAAGTGTCACAAGGTCTAAATTGGGTTGATTCAGATCTAAATTTATTAAGACTCAGTCCAATCCCTGAATAGTGGTTTTGGTCTTAACATATGCTACAGGTCTTGACTTTTTACAACATGTTCTGAAGTAAAACATGTACCAAGGTTCACAAATTGGCAAATTTAGTCCATGGCTGTTGGCAAATTTAGTCCATGGCTGTTGTTTGGTTTAATACAATGTTTGATATGATGCTTGTTTTATTGACATGTCTTTAGGGAGACAAGGCACTCTTCCATTACTCTTCCATTTCAACACCCTCTCCCCTGGTCTTATATCTAACTTGCTTCAGGCTTCTATGCTAACTCTTGGAGGCCCAGAGGCATTTGACTTTATGTATTTGAGTTTTCAGTATCTACTAAAATCATTCTTTGGGGAATTTTTTTAAAAGCTGCAACTGTACAGAAAACCTACATCTTTACATCTGTACTTATGGTATTGGGGTGGGAAAAAATGGACAATAAGGGTGAAAAGAAACAGTGCTATGAAACACAATGAAACCAAGTAAAGCATCTGCCTTTACTTGACCTTAATACAGAAGCAAAGCTTTTGGGAAACAGTAACATTGCTTGCTGCCCCACAGCCATGGCTAGGACCCAGTCACTACAAGACATTAATACAGTAGAAGGCAGCCTTCATCTGCCTGTCTCCCCTGGCTCCCATTAAGCTCCCTACCTACTGCAGGGAGCCAGAGAAAAGGAGAGGCACTACAATTACCACTTGTCACTCACCCTGGAGGACACAATGGTGCCCATAACATTTCCTGTTTGTCAAGGGGAAAGCTACCATGAGCACACCTTGCCTTTCTCTTGAGGCTGAAACAGTAGCAAGAAACCTCATGGTTTGAAAGTGGAGTTGGCTGAATATAGATTAAGGGAGGGAAGAGTCTGAGGTGCAATTTATACAAAAAGGTTCTCTTTCCCCTATTCCATAAATATTTAATAAGGTGGGGGGTGCTAGTTGCTATCCTGTGCCCTAAGAAAGCAGAAATAAAAGCCAGTTTTTTGTCCCATCAATAACTGTATACTGGCATCACAACTGAAGGTTTTCCTTTTGCACTGGAAGAGAAACATCAGAAGCTAGTTAGATGTCATGTCTTACCCTTTAAATTTTTCCAGGTAGCAAAAATTTCCACCACGTGGAGCAGAAAAATAACCTGAACTCTCAGTGGGTAGCTTTAATTCCTACCCAGTTTATTTAGTAAAAGCAAACAAAAAAACAATTTTGCCTCTGTACCTCTACTTTGTCAGCCCTACCCCAAAATGGTGATGAATTTGCACTGGTCTACTTCCATCTTTTATCTAGCACAAAACCAATGCATGCTTCTTCAAGATGGCTAAGCCAGGTAGAGTCTGTGGCCAGAGACTTTAACTGGCTCATAATGAGATCTGTTAAGTTGAGGAGTTGAGTTCTCAGCTAAGGTGAGCTAAACAATTTAAGTTAATGTACCATTTAATCCATAAGTTAATGCATCATTTAAAATGTTAATTCTAATAGTTTCTTTACTTTCATTTAGGAAAGTTTTAGAAAGTGATTTTGAAGGCACAATATTTGCGAAAAGGCTTTTTACACATTATGTCTGGATCATCCTCTGTTAGAAACCATGCGGGGCACCTGGTATACATAAAATTACTAACTGAAAATCATATGTACTTTGTTTTGCAGTATTACTCTGACAGTTAATATTTAATAAAAAGAGGTCTTAAGCCTTGGTTAAAACTGTAGGAAACATACCTTGCAAAAACAAAACTTACTCATGAGATGCAAACATACTAATTAATGCAGAAGCTTTATATTTTCCTTCTCAAGATTAACTGAAACTTTTTCAGTGCCTACACACCCATACCACACACTAATTTGTAGATAGTATGTAAGTAGGCCGGCCTACTATGAATTTTGAAAAAGGTTGGCGTTAGCATAAACTATAGTGTCTCAAGACTTACCGCCCAGGTATTTGATACTCCCAACTGAAATTCCTGGGAGTCTAAAGCTTCTCGGTAACACATGAAAATTTGAGAGAAAATAAAAATTCCAAATTTTGGGGTGGCATTTAAATGAAGACAGGGAAGACCAGTGATTATATCTCCTCTCAAGAGGTAGAAAGGATTGGATGTGGGGCCAATCTCCATCCCCCCTCTTTGGCCCTAAATTAGGAGTTCTCCTTGTCACAGGGTCTCCATGTTCCTATAACATCAAATCTTTTACAGGACATTTGCGGTCATCACCCACTGCAATCTTTTCTTAAGCAACCAGCTACATTAAACTAGATTTATAGAAAGTCTATTCTTGCTTTTTAAAATATACTTTCCAATATTTAAAACCTTATTTATTTTGCATAAGGCACTTTATAAATTGATTTGCAAACCAGGTTTTGGTTTTAGAAAGTATCCTTTATCATTAAAGGAGAATTTGCATTGTTCTGTCATTTGCATTGTATTTTTCAAATTCATTCAGAAATTAGAAGGCTGGTCTTTTTCAGGTACCGATGAGCTACCTAGAAGACTCAACTTTGGTTTAGGTAAACAGAATGAAGCATATAAAGACACATTTTAGATTATAAATTCCAAATTCTAATTCCTAGTCCTTAGTTATGAGATATATATACAATTTCTATTTCTCAGCATTTGGTAAGAAACACACTACCACACCACGTACGACCTCAAAAAAAAAAGGCTCTCACAATAAGGACATCTTGTGATCAATTGGAAGACACAAGTAAGAGCTGCTTTTGGAACAGATTTTCAATTTTTAAAAGATTGCATATAACCTACAGGCATTATTTGTGATTTTAAATATGAACTGCTTCTTTGTAGGGGGAAAAAGGTAGTATTATATATATAGTCATACATGACAGAGCTAAAGAAAACTGTAATAAAAATATATATTTCAATTAAACAAAAAGAAAAGTTTTAGGAGACAAAAATTAATAAGCTAAAAGCACTGCTACAACTGTGCTTTACCTGCTCTTTTTCAAGCATATCTGCTTTACGGAGTATTTTCATTGCATACACATGTCCCGTATCTTTCTTCTGAACAAGCCGTACCTAAAAAGTTATAAAAGAAATGCCAAGTCAAAAACTCGTACTACCAACCTAATGCTTTCATGTGTTATAGGATGCAATAATTAACTGAAAAAGTATTACAATTTTAACATGAGCAACTAGTAATAACAAAGCAGAAGAAAATGCTTTTCAGTGTTCCAAAATGAATACATTACACACAGTAAAGTCGATGCTGGAAACATCCTCAAATACCTCTACATCTGAACAGCTTTGGTTCCTTAGTTGAACAAGCCAATCTAATTTAAAACCTTCAATTTCAAATTTAAGGACTCGTTACACCTCTGACACATGTCATCCAGTCAGCTCAGAAAATCTAAGTAAATGATTACAATGATGTTTAATTAAAACAAAAGTAGCTGTGCATGGTGGTGTATACCTGTAGTCCCAGCTATTTGGGAGGTTGAGGTAGGAGGATCGCTTGAGCTCAGGAGTTATGAGCTATGGTGCATTATGCTGATCAGGTGTCTGAACTAAGTTCAGCATAATATGGTGACCTCCCAGGAGCAGGGTGGCAGAGGGGGGGCCCACCAGGTTGCCTAAGGAAGGGCAAACAGGCCCAGTTCA
The DNA here is from genome assembly GCF_000001405.40 of Homo sapiens. Lineage (NCBI taxonomy): Eukaryota > Metazoa > Chordata > Mammalia > Primates > Hominidae > Homo > Homo sapiens. The sequence continues at coordinate 36,522,400 of NC_000006.12, forward strand.
GAAATGGAGCAGGTCAAAACTCCCATGCCAATCAGTAGTGAGATCGTGCCTGTAAACAGCCACTGCACTCCAGCCTGGGCAACACAGTGAAACCTTGTCACTTAATCATAATAATAATAACAAAGTAAAACTTCATGCTTAGGAAAAACGTCTGGAAAGAAAAACAAAAAATTCAGGCCAGGCGCGGTAGCTCACACCTATAATCTCAGCACTTTGGAAGGCCGAAGCAGGTGGATCACCTGAGGTCCAGGAGTTCGAGACCAGCCTGGCCAACCTGGTGAAACCCCGTCTACTAAAAATACGAAAATTAGCTGGGTGTGGTGGCAGGTGCCTGTAATCCCAGTTATTCGGGAGGCTAAGGCAGTAGAATCACTTGAACCCGAGAGGCGGAGGTTGCAGTGAGCCAAGATCAAGCCATTGCACTCCAGCCTGGGCAACAGAGCAAGACTCTGTCTCAAAAAAAAAAAAAAAAAAAAAAAGAAGAAGAAGAAAATTCAAAATGTGTAATTAGGGAAATTGTGTTTTATGTAGTTTTCCTTCTCTTTTATGTTTTCCAATGTTCTTAAAGAAAACAGATAATTTTATGAAGAAAATTTACAACCAAAAGAAAAATTTCACTGCAAGTTCCTGCATGTCCTCCCCTCTTCTCCCAAAATAAGTAGGTTTTCTTCTCCCTGAACCTTTCTTCATGTTTTTCCTAATTGAGTACCACAACCCTTCCTTGCCAAACAGAAAGCTCTTTCAGAGGTGGTACTATACTTTTCCCTCTTTCAAGAAGCCAATAGGAATTCTGAACACTGAGGGATCAATCTATCACCTGTGCCTCTGAATACTATTCACATTTCCCCGGGGTACCAGGTTTTTTGTTTTTTTTTTTTTTTGAGATGGAGTCTTGCTCTGTCACCCAGGCTGGAGTGCAATGGTGCAATCTCGGCTCACTGCAACCTCTGCCTCCTGGGTTCAAGCAATTCTCCTGCCTCAGCCTCCTGAGTAGCTGGGATTACAGGCACGTGCCACCACACCCGGCTAATTTTTCTATTTTTAGTAGAGACAAGGTTTCACCATGTTGTCAGGCTGGTCTCGAACTCCTGACCTTGTGATCCGCCCGCCTTGGCCTCCCAAAGTGCTGAGATTACAGGAGTGAGCCACCGTGCCTGGCCCCGGGGTACCAGGTTTTAATAATATACTGCTCCTTTTATACTTGCAATTATTGCGTCAGTAGGTCATCCAGTTTGGGCATTTTTCATTAACAGGAATGACCTTGCATGGGCTCTTTCAAGCTCTCCCCAACAGATTGCTCTTGTGCCCAAGCAGGATCATTTCCAAGAATTGCGGGGACAAAGTCGCAAATGCTTTCAACTCTCCACCACTACCTATATAACTCCTTTCTGTAAATCCTCCCTCCTAGGGTCATCTTTTTAGAGCTGTATCAATCTGGTGGGGAGAAATAAAGGGTGGAGATACACTATTAGTTTCCTTCTCGAGAGGCAGTGCAGTACTGGGAAAAGCAAGCTCTTTGAGTTCAGGAAGTAGAGCCCAACTTTTGGTCCCAGTACTCAATGGCTGTGTGATAACAAGAGACATTATATATACCTTTAGAGTCTTAATTTCACCATCTATAAAATGGGTTACTGTCCTGATTATGGGAAAAAAGCAGCCTGTAAATAATAAATGTTGATTTCCTTCTACCTTTCAACTCTCCCCCTAAGTCAATATTTAAACACCAACACCATCTCTGGCAAAACAGAGAACAGAGATCTGGGACTGCGGAGAGAAGAAAAAGAGAAAGCAGACAGACAAAGCAATTAGGATGTGGGGCTGGCATGCCTGACTCATTTAATTCCATATATTTGTTATATCAACAATCATGACTTAATGGTATGTTAGAAGCTTTGAAGTTTTGCAATATTTTTCTACTTGACAAGTAGCTGTGATTTTTACCTCACCAAATGCTCCTCTGCCTATTACTTTTAAGGACTCAAAATCTTCCAATCCAAGTCTTGTTCTCTTCAAACGAAGAAACTCTGTTTCCTTCCGAGCATGTGCTGATCTCCGGAGTCGTTTCTAATATTTAAATAAAAAAGGGAGGAGACGGGAAGGAACTGAAATTCTGAAACTCTGTAACAAGTCATGTTTGTGACTTACCCAGCTAGAAAACAGGTCCAAGTGGACTAAGGATAATCTTTTCACATATGAAATCACCCCAGAAGGATCCTTAAGAGGTCACTTCTCCCTTTCCTGGCATTTAGACACAACATCCAAGCCACACTGAACAGATGGGTGCCTCCTCTGGGAACTCTGACTAACCTACTTCAGCAATCCACTATCCTAACATTTTTGGTGAAGGGAGGGATAAATAATCAACAATATTTTCCTTTATCCTGTTTAATATAAATTAAAAATGTGTTCTTATCTTTCCCTCTGGCTTAAACACTGTATACTCTAACTTTCTGTTATTTCTACAAGTATTGGGTATTTTTCACCACCGTCCTGGGTTCTGCAAGCCAGTCCTATTTTTGAAGGCATTTCCACTACCATTTCAGTTCCTTGCACAGTCCCTTGTTAACTATATTTTCTCCTACTGTATCTGTGGGCACTGGGTGGAAGGGCTGATTTGAGATGGATATTTTGCCTTAATAAAGATTTCAGGAACATGACACACCGGGGCCTGTCGGGGCATGGGGGGAAAGGGAGGGAGAGCATTAGGACAAATACCTCATGCATGCGGAGCTTAAAACCTAGATGACAGGTTGATAGGTGCAGCAAACCACTATGGCACATATATACCTATGTAATAAACCTGCATGTTCAGCACACGTATGTATCCCAGAAAAAGTAAAATAAATAAATATTTCAAAAATTTGCCCTACTCCTACGGAGACTTTTCAGTGAATTCTATAAAAATGCTACAACTTGCTCTTTTAAAATTTAATTTGATTTCATCCCTGCTTTCTCTTGGAATTCTAAATCTAGTTTACTATAACTGCATCTAGAGAAGCCTTCCTCTCCTAGGTACTTAATAATTAATCTGTCCCTCTGAATTAACACCCAAATCCGGAAGCACACTACCCCTCAAGTTCCTCTGTTATTGAGCCAAAACCCTTCTCATGTGTACCAAGGCTAACAACTCACTGGACAAGATACAACCTGCCACGCTGGGTTTTAAGGAAAACATTGCCAATATTAATTACCTCCTCATCTTTTAGGCCTTCTTCTTCCATCACCTTTTCTAACTTCTTTTGTCTAAAACAAACAAAAACAAAAGACATGAAATCACATCTGAATGATAACTTTCTGAAAATTCTGTAACTTAATACTGTAGTAGATTTTTAAAAATGACACAAACAGGTAAATCTCAAAATGTCTCATTAAAACAAAAAAAATTAAGTTACTAAGACAAGTAAAAAGATTTCCATCCTTTGTTAGGCCTACTTTTTTTTGGCGGGGGGAGGGGGGCAGGTTGCGAGGAGAGGAGACAGAGTTTTGTTCTGTCACCCAGGCTAGAATGCAGTGGCGCAATCTCAGCTCACTGAAATCTCCACCTCACAGGCTCAAGCAATCCCACCTCAGCCTCCCAAGTAGCTAGGACTACAGGCGCGTGCCACCATACCTGGCTAATTTTTAAATTTTTTGTAGAAATGAGGTCTCATTATATTGCCCAGGCTGGTCTCAAACTCCAGCCTGACCTTCCAAAGTGTTGCGATTACAGGTGTGAGCCACCATGCCCCGCCCTTAGGTCTACATTTTTTAAAAGACTGTCTAAGATGTTAATGCAACAAAGACTCTTGTTTCAAAAAAATGTCCTCTCTTGGTTTTGGGTGTTTTTTTTTTTTTTTTTTTCCAGTTATTTCCTCCTTACCAAACCACAAAACAGCTGGTATTTGATAAACTCTTATATCATGCTGTTTCTTTCCCTCTCTCTGACTGAAGTCTACTTCCTTTATTTCTGCATCTTCCTCCTCTTCCCTGCCATGAGGAAAGGGTAACAAACAACAAAGTTAAAAGCAGAATTTGGAAATTTAAGGGGAAAAAGTGATCAAAAAGGTGACTGGCACCACTATCAAAACTCCATATATCAGGCTGGGTGTGGTAGCTCACGCCTGTGATCCCAGCACTTTGGGAGGTGAGGCAGATGGGTCACTTGAGGTCAGGAGTCCAAGACCAGCCTGGCCAACATGGTGAAACCCCATCTCTACTAAAAATATAAAAATTAGGCCAGGTGCAGTGGCTCACGCCTGTAACCCCAACACTTTGGGAGGCCGAGGCGGGTGGATCACTTGATGTCAGGAGTTCGAGACCAGACTGGCCAACATGGTGAAACCTGGTCTGTACTAAAAATGCAAAAATTAGCCAGGCATGGTGGCATACCCTGTAATCCCAGCTACTTGGGAAGCTGAGACAGGAGAATCACTTGAACCCAGGAGGTGGAGGCTGCAGTGAGCAGAGATCACACCACTCACTGCACTCCAGCCTGGGTGACAGAGTGAGACCCTGTCTCAAAAAAAACAAAAAGGCCGGGCGTGGTGGCTCACGCCTGTAATCCCAGCACTTTGGGAGGCTGAGGAGGGTGGATCATAAATTCAGGAGTTCGAAACCAGCCTGGCCAACATAGTAAAACCCTGTCTCTACTAAAAATACAAAAATCAGCTAGGCGTGGTGGCGAGCGCCTGTAGTCCCAGCTACTCAGGAGGCTGAAGCAGAAGAATTGCCTGAACCTGGGAGGCAGAGGTTGCAGTGAGTCAAGATCACGCCACTGCATGCCAGCCTGGGTGACAGAGCAAGACTCCGTCTCAAAAAAAAAAAAAAAAATATATGTATATATATATATATTTATATGTATATACACATGTATACATATGTATATATGTACACATGTATACATATATACATATACACATATGTATATACGTATATATACACACATATATATACACACACATATATGTAATATATGTATATATATTAGTACACACACACACACACACATATATGTATATAAAAATTAGCTGGGCATAGTGACAGGTGCCTGTAATCCCAGTTACTTGGGAGGGGCTGAGGCACAAGAATCACTTGAACCTGGGAGGCAGAGGTTGCAGTGAGGCGAGAGCACACCAGTGCACTCCAGCTCAGATGTCGGAGTGAGACTCTGCCTCAAAGAAAAAAAAAACCTTCAGACATCAAACTTTTGGAATACTGAACTTTAGAAAGTACATGCAGTAATGTTTTTGATCTATAGTCTCATAAAACTAAAAGAAGCAAGTAAAACTTCCTTACAACCAATTCCACAGAACCTTCATTTATTCAGCACAATAAATGAAAGCACATGGGCTAGAATCTCTCCTCCACCACTCATCAGCATTCCAGATAAACAGGCAATGTGTACAAACAGAGCAAAGAAGGATAAGACTACAGTATGCTGGCCAGGTGCGGTGGCTCACGCCTGTAATCCCAGCACTTTGAGAGGCTGAGGCAGGCAGATCACGAGGTCAGGAGATCGAGACCATCCTGGCTAACACAGAGAAACCCCATCTCTACTAAAAATACAAAAAAAAAAAAAAAATTAGCCAGGTGTAGTGGCCGGCGCCTGTAGTCCCAGCTACTCGGGAGGCTGAGGCAGGAGAATGTTGTGAACCCAGGAGGCGGAGCTTGCAGTGAGCCGAGATCGCACCACTGCACTCTAGCCTCGGTAACAGAGCGAGACTCCATCTCAAAAAAAAAAAAAGAGTGTACAGTATGCTGCAGAAATAGCATGTAGTCCATTGTGGCTGACGCACACAGCACTACAAATGCCACACCAAGAAGGTTGGATCTCATTCTGTAGACAACTGAGTGCTAAAAGAGGCTTGTGTGCAAAGGAGTGATGTGATAAGATTTCTATTTTAGAATGGTAACCAGCAGTAATGAGGATCTGATGGACTGGCAGGGAAAGCAACTGAGAAAGAGGCTAGTTGAGAGTTATTGTAATGATTCAGATGTACAGTAAAGATCTGGAACTAGGGCAGGAAAACTAGAATGAAGTGAATAGAGCTATTGCAAATATGACCAACTGGCAATAGGAGTCAAGAGAAAAACCTTAGAATTTCCTGTCTAGAGGGATATGATGCCACTAATCAAGACAGGAAACAGAGAGAGGAACACGAACAGTTCTCCCAGTTCCCAGAATATTTTGGGATACATGTGCATCTATGCGTGCACATGTATTAGAGAGAAAAGGCTGTACTCTTAGTAGTTTCGGGAGTGTAAATTAATTCCATTGCAAGTGGTTAGGTAGTTGAAGCAGAGAAGAACAAGAAAAGTCAAAGCATAACATGCTAGGCAAAAGCTCTAAGAACACAGCTGTGGTCAGCTCTTTTTGTGCCTTGAGTACTAAACACCATCATACGTCCTGACTACACGTTTTTGAATGACTACATCAGAATGGGCTACCAGTCCAATGCACTATCCACTGTGTCACAAAAGTGGCTCCTTCTAATTATATTTTAAACCTAAATACAAACTAAGAGGTTTTCCACAGGTTTACTGAAGTGTAATTAAATTGGTTGCAGAATACCTGCCTGAGAGTGAAGTTAACTCCTTGAACACAATCAGATTATTTCATTAGAGAAAGTATCCAGAAAAAAAAAGCCTATCCATGATAACAATTAGGACCAGGTCCACAAAGACCTTGAGGACACCAAAAACAGCAAGGACAGCCTGAAATGAGACTTAAAAATGACATCCTCTGTGAGATGACATCAAAGGAATTACTGTTAACTTGGTTAGATTCATGGTGGCATTTGCATTATGCAAGAAAATGGCCATATTTTTGGAAATGCATACTTGACAGTATGTAGGATTAAAATGACAGATGTTTGGAATTTACCTTAAAACACAATAGCAAGAAAAAACAAAATGGGATAGATGAAGAAAATGTACCAAAGCCCTAAAATTATTAAATCTGAGGGATGAATATATTGAAACGGGGTCACTATATTATTCCACCTATGTTTAAAATTGTTCATAATGAAAAAGAATAGCAGGACTCTCCACACAGGCATGTTCTCTGGTAGCAGTGCCAGGTTAACTAACACTCCAGCCCTTGGTGGAGCCACTCTTCCCTTCAATTCCAATGTTCAAAACCAGAACCCTAGGAGAGAGACGAAGCCACTTTCACACTTAGAGGCCATATCCAGCCTCACCCCAGTGATGCCTTCCATGTGTTCCATTTAGTTGCGTGTGTGTTCATTTCTTATATGAGAGAGTGGTAAGTCCTTCTGAAGGCAGGGACTATATCTGAATTCCCTATGTCCACTAAGAATAGTGCTTTGTACACAGCTACTTTCTAAATGTATGCTGCTAAATTTTAAAAAGTCAGAATGTATAGCAATGTGCAGACACATTCATGACTACTACTTACAATTAGCCCCCTTTTCTAATCTAATTTAGGGTCCCCTCTTGGCATAGCCTGATTTGGAGGTAGCAGGGATGAGAGAATAGGGCTATTCCACCCTAATTGAAAACAGACAGTATTTTGGTGAGACACTGAAAACCAGGAAAAATAGTGTATTTAACAGAAATAGGGCCAGGCATGGTGGCTCACACCCGTAATCCCAGCACTTTGGGAGGCTGAGGCTCGCACACCGCCTGAGGCCAGGAGTTGGACACCAGCCTGGCCAACATGGTGAAACCCCATCTCTACTAAAAATACAAAAATTAGCCGGGCGTGGTGGCACGTGCCTGTAATCCCAGCTACTCAGGAGGCTGAGGCAGGAAAATCTCTGGAACCTGGGAGGCAGAGGTTGCAGTGAGCTGAGATCGTGCCACTGCACTCCAGCCTGGGTGACAGAGCGAGATTCTGTCAGAAAGAAAAGAGAAGAGAAGAGGAGCGACAGATCGAGATTCTGTCAGGAAGAGAAGAGGGGAGCGGAGGGGGAGGGGAAAGGGCTGTGATTACATCTCCATGATTAAAATTCAGAAAATGTCTAATAAATACTTTTTTTTTTGAGACAAGAGTCTTACTCTGTCACCCAGGCTGAAGTGCAGTGGTACTATCTCGGCTCACTGCAACCTCTGCCTCCCGGGTACAAGTGATTCTTCTGCCTCAGCCTCCCGGATAGCTGGGATTACAGGTGCCCACCACCACGCCCAGCTAATTTTTGTATTTTTAGGAGAGATGGGGTTTCACCATGTTGGCCAGTCTGGTCTCGAACTCCTGACCTCAAGTGATCCACCCACCTTGGCCTCTCAAAAAGTACAGGGATTACAGGCGTGAGCCACCACACCCGGCCTTTTTCCTTTTTTTCTTTTCTTTTCTTTTTTTTTTTTTTTGGAGACAAGAGTCTAGCTCTGTTACCCAGGCTGGAGTGCATGGCACAATCTCGGCTCACTGCAACCTCTGCTTCCCGGGTTCAGGTGATTCTTGTGCCTCAACCTCCCGAGTAGCTGGGATTACCGGCATATGCCACCATGTGTGGCTAATTTTTGTACTTTTAGTAGACACGGGGTTTCATCATGTTGCACAGGCTGGTCTTGAGCCCCTGACCTCAAGTGATCCACCCACCTCGGCCTCCCAAAGTGCTGGGATTACATGTGTGAGCCCCTGTACCCAGCCAGAAATACCCTAAAATTAACACTACACAGATTCTTTAAAATCTCAACAAATTACTTCAGTTCTACACTCTGGTTTGATATCTGGTCAGTGAAGAACATCAGGAGGTCTGGACTTACTCATTCTTGAGGCTTAAATAAAACTGACACTGGATCACTAATAATAATCACATATTTCTACTTAGTATTAGATAAGACCAAATGAGGAATTTCTCCAGTTAAGAAAACATAGATGAGAAAATCTAAGAGGAGTTGCAGAACATAGAAATTCTCAGTAAAATGTATGAAAGACTTTGTTTGATTTGGGAAGAAAAAAGCTTACCATTATTACCTATTAAATTAGGTGTTTATGGTTTTAATTAATCCACCTAACTAGTATTCATGAAGAAAAGAAACAACTGAAAATGTTTTGTAAAAAGAAATGCCGGTTTCTTCAGATTTGATTTCAAACTGCTATGAATTATCTAAAACATTGTTTTTTAATGAAAAAGTAGACAACTGTCAATACCTACTAGGTACCTAGGATCACATACAGAGAGAATACAAAGAGAGCTGCTGCTCCTAGAGAAGGTCACAACCAAAGCTGCCATTGAAGGCAAAACACAGACTGAAGGAATAGAGCAGATGCACTTGCCCTATTGAGTGCTTATGATCTAACAGTGGTATTAACAGGAGACCATCAGGTGGCATTCTGCAGCACTGTGTGATGGACACTAGATTCAGGGGGTTTAATTATTTTTAAACCAATCTGTAGAAGCTACTATATTGTTTCTATGAAACTGCTCAAAATTATCATATTTTATGTTTACACAGGAAACAATTCCCAAATGAATTTTATTCTTTCTTCTATCTCTGGGCTTTGGACACGTATGGCCTTGCAGTAAGCCCTTTGTTTCAACTATAAACTAGTGTTCTTTATGATGGAACAGGGAAAGAGTTGCATAGCAATGCTAGGAATAACAGATATTTTAAAGGTACCTAGACAAGACACAAAATAAAAAAAATGAAAATTTGTATTACAACTTGGTCTCAAAATTTACTAGCCCAATACTTATTATTTCAAACCTCCATCATATATTATCTCTTCATTATCAATTATCTCATATCATCAAAACTGTTTATTTATCAAGGTCCTGCAATGTGTCCCTCCAGAACATCAAAAAGGTTGCAAACTCAGGCCAGGCAATCATGGCTCATGCTTGTAATCCCAACACTCTGGGAGGCTAAGGATGGCTTGAGCCCAGGAGTTTGAGGCGGCAGTGAGCGAGCCATGATCACATCACTGCACTCCAGCCTGGGTGACACAGTGAGACCTTGTCTGCATAAAAAAAAAAAAAAAAAAAGGTTTTAAACCTTGTTTCTCACAATCCAACTTAGTTTACTTCTGAGGTAACTCTTGTCAATCACTTTTTAAAAAATTTTCTAGGAACAATAAAGCCTGAAAGTCTTATTGAGCTGTATCAGTAAATCCAAAACCTACTAGCAGCTCATACAAAAAAGAGGGTACTAGCCGGATGTGATGGCTCACACCTGTAATCCCAGCACTTTGGGAGGCCAAGGCGGGTGGATCACTTGAGGTCAGGAACTCAAGACCAGCCTGGCCAACGTGGTGAAACCCCATCTATACTAAAAATACAAAAATTAGGCCAAGCACAGTGGCTCACACACTCTGGGAAGCTGAGGCGGGCAGATCACCTCAGGTCAGGAATTCAAGACCAGACTGGCCAACATGGTGAAACCCCGCTTCTACTAAAAATACAAAAATTAGCCAGGCATGGTAGTCCATGTCTGCAATCTCAGCTACATGGGAGGCTAAGGCAGGAGAATCACTTGAACCCGGGAGGCAGCAACTGCAGTGAGCCGAGATTATGCCATTGCACTCTAGCCTGGGCAAAAGAGCAAAACTCCGTCTCAAAAACAAAATGAAAATACAAAAATTAGCCCGACATGGTGGCGTGCTCCTGTAATCCCAGCTACTCGGGAGGCTGAGGCAGGAGAATTGCTTGAACCCAGGAGGTTGCAGTGAGCCAAGATGGCGCCACTGCCCTCCAGCCTGTGCAACAGAGTGAGACTCCATCTCAAAAAAAAAAAAAAAAAGGGGTACACAACAAAAAAAGATCTACAAGGATATATTAATTCTGAAAGGCTGAAAGTACTAGTGCATTGTTGTTTTTCTTAAAGAGATGGCGTCTTGTTCAGTTGCCCAAGCTGGAGTGCAGTGGCACAATCATAGCTCACTGCAGCCTCAAACTCCTGAGCTCAAGAGATCCTCCCACCTCAGCCTTCTGAGTAGTTAGAACTACAGGTGCACACCACCACACGTGGCTTACTGTTCTTTAATGAAAAATAATGGCAATTTGATAAGCAACCAAAAACAAACATTCTAACCCTCTTAAATATCTAACATTCTCTTCTGTCTTTTGATTAATTTGGTCTTTCAAAAAAAGCAAAACCACCAATGCTGTATTTTTAAAATTTTGTTTATTTTTATATAACCCTCACTGCTTCTGGAACCACTGAAACTTTTAGAAGGCTTTTCTATCTTAAGAATCCAAAGAATGCAAAGCACTGCTGTCTGCTCATTTTGGGGTATAATCTTAGTGTTAATCACAATGTATCATTTATTAATAATGTAAATAAAACCATACATCATCTTGTTCCTGCAGAACGTGATACATACCAACAATAAACCATAGCTAGGGCAGAACCAGTAGGATAAAACCCAGAGGACTACTACTAAACAAGTGGCTAAATCAAAACTCATAACCATTTGCTTTATAATTACAACCCCAGTAGCTATGATTTCAAGAAGTGACTGTATTTGAAATAACTGTCTCCACAGGTTTCACCTGCCTAAAGATATTCTGAACAGATTTACGTTTGAATTCCCCATGATCCTAACACGGGACACTGTGCAGACACTTGTTTACTCCAGTGAACAGCAGCTAGCCACCACCAAGCATAAAAAATTTGACTATTCCACATACAGAACTGCATATTTAAGGTCAAATTATATATCCCATGTAAATTATCACTTACACCCTCATGAAGAACAGGATTGCAAAGATCCTTATCAAAATATTAGCATATCAACCCAGCAACATAAAGGAGATAATACAATGTCATCAAGAGGGTTTTACCCCTGAAACGTAAAGTTAGTCTAACATTCAAAAATCAGTCCATGTAACTCACCATATTAAAAGAATAAAGGAGAAAAACAATATGACCATTATGGAGATGATGAAAAAGCATTTGAAAAAAATTCAACACCCACAAAAAAAATCAAAACAAATGACAAAAATAAAAAATAATAATAAAAAGAAAAAATTCAACACCTACTCATGATAAAAATTCTTAGCTCCTCAGCCAAATTGGAACATAGGCTGAGTGCAGTGGCTCACACTTGTAATCCCAAAACTTTGTGAGGCTGAAGCAGGAGGACTGCCTGAGGCCAAGAGTTCAAGATAAGCCTAGTCAACATAGTGATATCCTGTCTCTACAAAAAGGTAAAAAAAAAATTAGCCAGGTGTGGTGGCACATACCTATATTCCCAGCTACTCGTAAGGCTGAGGTGGGAAAATCACTCGAGCCCAGGAGGTCAAGGCTGCAGTGAGCCATGATTGTGCCACCTCACTCCAACCTGGGTTAAAGCAAGACCCTGTCTCTAAAAAAAAACAATAAAAAAATTTTTTAACCCAAATTAGAACATAAGGAAACTGCCTCAACCTATAAAGGGCATCTTTAGTAAAACAGTGAGCACGTTTGCTCTTAAATCAAGAAGAAAACAAAGATATCCACTCCCACTACTTCTATTCAACATTTTATGGAATTCCCAGCTAGTGCACTAAGGCAAGGAAAAAAAAAAAAAAGGTGAATAGATTGAAAAGGAAGTAAAACTGTCTCTACCTGAATATCACAAGATTGTTTACATAGAAAATCCTAAATATGCAAATTAAAAAAAAATCTAGACTAATTAGAAAGTTACAGAATACAAGATCAATATACAAAATTCAGTTATATGTCTATATATTAGCAGCAAACAACTGGACAGTGAAATTCTAAATAGCATCCAGAAAACCCCCAAATATTAGAAATAGATTAACAAGACATGTAAGATGCACACACTAAAAATTATGAAAACACTGTTGAGAAAAACTAAAGAAGACCTTAAAAATGGAGACATGGGCCAGGTGCAGTAGCTCATGCCTGTAATCCCAGCACTTTGGGAGGAGGCGGGTGGATCACCTGAGGTCAGGAGTTCGAGACCAGCCTGCCCAACATGGTGAAACCCCGTCTCTATTAAAAATACAAAAAATTAGCCACGGTGGTGGCAGGTGCCTGTAGTCCCAGCTACTTAGGAGGCTGGAGCAGGAGAATTGCTTGAACATGGGAGGCGGAGGTTGTAGTGACCTGAGATCACACCGTTGCACTCCAGCCTGGGCAGCAATAGCAAAACTCCGTCTCAAACACACAAACAAACAAGCAAGCAAACAAACAACAAGAAAAACAGAGATCTGCAATGTCCATGTAACAGAAGACTCAATATTGTTAAGATGTCGATTCTCCACGAACTGATCTACAGAGTCAATATAATTCCAATAGTAATTCCAGGCCGGGTGCAGTGGCTCATACCTATAATCCCAAAACTTTGGGAGGCCAAGGCGGGTGGATCATGAAGTCAGGAGATCGAGACCATCCTGGCCAACATGGTGAAACCCCATCTCTACTAAAAATACAAGAATTAGCTGGGTGTGGTGGCGTGTGCCTGTAGTCCCAGCTGTTAGGGAGGCTGAGACAGGAGAATAGCTTGAACCCAGGAGGCAGAGGTTGCAGAGAGCCAAGATCACGCCACTGCACCCCAGCCTGGCAGCAGAGCAAGACTCCGTCTCAAAAAAAAAAAAAAAAAAGCAACATAATTCCATTGGGCTTTTCCGTAGAAATTAATAACTTGACTCTAAAATTTATAATAAAATGCAAAGAACACAGAATACTCAAAGCAATCTTAAAATAAAATGACCAAAGCTGGAGGACTTACACATTACCTGACTTCAAAACTTACTACAAAGCTACAGTAATCAAAACAAGGTGAGACTGGCTAAGGACAGACAAGGAAATCAATGGGACAGAAAAAGAAAGCCCAGAAATGAATTCACACCTATATGTCACTTGATTTTCAAGAAAAGTGCCAAAGCAATCTCATGGGGGAAGATCTTTTCCACAAATGTTGCTAAAATAACTGATATCCAAAAGGATAAAAATCAATCTGAACTCCCCACCTCATATCATACACATCTATTAATTCAATATGGATCACAGAACTAAATGTAAAAACTAAATCTAAAAAACTTCCAAAATGGAACATAGGAGAAAATCCTTATGACTTGGGGATAAATAAAGGTTTCTGGCCAGGCACCGTAGCTAACGTAAGTCCAGCACTCTGGGAGGCTGAGGTGGGAGGACTACTTGAGGACAGGAGTTCAAGACCAGCCTGGTCAACATAGCAAGACCTTGACTCTAAAAAAACAAAAAATTTTTTTTAATTTTAATTTTAATTTTATTTTTTTTGAGACTGAGTTTCGCTCTCGTTGCCCAGGCTGGAGTTCAGTGGTGTGATCTCAGCTCACCACAAACTCCGCCTCCTGGGTTCAAGCGATTCTCCTGCCTCAGCCTCCCGAGTAGCTGAGATTATAGGCATGCGCCACCACCATGCCCAGCTAATTCTGTATTTTTAGTAGAGACGGGGTTTCTCCATGTTGGTCGGGCTGGTCTCGAACTCCTGACCTCAGGTGATCCGCCCACCTCGGCCTCCCAAAGTGCTGGGATTACAGGTGTGAGCCACCGCACCTGGCCCAAATTAGTTAATTTTTTTTTTTTAAAGAAGAAAGGTTTTTTAGAAAGGTCACAGAATACAATAACCATTAAAAAAAAAATGCCAAATTTTATTTCATCAATATTTAAAACCTCTGCTTGCCTAAAGATTTTGTTAACAAGATGAGCAAGAAAGCCACAGACTGGGAGAGATTACTTACGAAACATACACATGACAAAGGTCTGATATGTAGGACAAACAAAGAACTCCTGCAACTCAATAATAAAGACAACTCCATTTTTTTAAATGCTCGAAAAATCTCAACAAACATTTCACAAAGGAAGATGCACAAATGGCCAAAAAGCACATAAAAATGTTCAACATCATTAGTCATCAGGGAAATGCAAAATAAAAATCACAGTGAGAGATCATTAAATATCCACCAAAATAACTAAAACACTGACAACGCAAATGTTAGTAAAAATGTAAAGTAAATAGAACTCTCATATATTAATAATATTTTGGAAAAAGGTCTAGCAGTTTCTTATAAAACTAAACATATAGCTATGTACATGATTCAGCAATTCCACTGAATCTCTCTAGATGTTTATCTGAGAACTGAAAACAAATGTTCACAAGATTGGTACAAAAATGTTCATAGAAGTTTATTCAAAATAGCCAAAAACTGAAAAGAACCCAGGTGTTTATCAATAGGAGAATGGACAAACAAAGATATAGTCAGAAGACAGAATAGTACCAACAATAAAAAGGAACAAATTATTGATGCATATAGCAACACAGAGGAACCTCAAAAATATGCTGGCCAGGTGTGGTGGCTCACACCTGTAATCCTAGCACTTTGGGAGGCTAAGGTGGGAGGATCACTTGAACCCCGGAGTTCGAGACCAGCCTGGACAACAAAGTGAGACCCTGTCTCTACAGAAAATTTTAAAAATTAGCCAAGCATGGTGGCATGCACCTGTAGTCCCAGCTACTTGGGAGGCTGAGGCAGGAGGATCGCTTGAGCCTGGGAGGTCAAGGATGCAGTAAGCTATGATAGTGCCACTGCACACCAGCCTGGGCAACAAAACAACACCCCGTCTCGACAAAAAAAAAAATATGCTAAATGAAAGATGCCTTGCTCAAATGAGTACATACTACATGTTTCCATTTATGTGTTCCACTTGTATGAAATAGGCAAAACTATGATAGAAACAAAATCACAACCAGGCACGGTGGCTCACGCCTGTAATCCCAGCACTTCAAGAGGCTGTGGCAGGTGGATCACGAGGTCAGGAGACTGAGACCATCCTGGCTAATACAGTGAAACCCCGTCTCTACTAAAAATACAAAAACAAAATTAGCCGGGCTTGGTGGCAAGCGCCTGTAGTCCCAGCTACTCGGGAGGCTAAGGTGGGAGAATGGCGTGAACCTGGGAGGCGGAGCTTACAGTGAGCCGAGATCACGCCACTGCACTCCAGCCTGGGCAACAGAGTGAGACTCCGTCTCAAAAAAAGAAAAAAAGAAAAAAAAAAAATCACAACAGTGGTTGTCTTTGTCTAAGGTTGAAGAACCAAGAGGCATGAAAACTTTTTCTGGGAGACGTAATGTTCTGTTTTGATAAAGGTTTAAGTTATACAAGTGTATGCAATTGTCAAAACTCATAAAATGGTACCCTTGAACTTGTGCATTCCATTGTATATAAATTTTACACCCTTCCCCAAAAAGTATAAATACTGAATTCTAGTTAATGTTATATAAGCAGAAATATTCAGAAGTATACTGATGTCTACAACATACCTTGAAGTGAGGCAAAAAATTAAGATGGATTGGCCGGGCACAGTGGCTCACGCCTATAACCCCAGCACTTTGGGAGGCCAAGAGGTCAAGAGATCAAGACCATCCTGGCCAACACAGTGAAACCCTGTCTCTACTAAAAATACAAAAATTAGCTGGGCGTGGTGGCGCATGCCTGTAATCCCAGCTACTCGGGAGGCTGAGGCAGGAGAATCACTTGAACCCAGGAGGCAGATGATGCAGTGAGCCAAGACCACGCCACTACACTCCAGCCTGGGTGACAGAACAAGACTCTGTCTCAAAAAAAAAAAAAAAAAAAAAGGAAATTAAGATGGATTAATGACAGATACAAGAATGGATAGATGGATATGCAGTTAAACAAATATAATAAATAACCATTATAGACTCTAGATGATATATATGTATATATTCACTGTTTATTACAAGTTTTCTGTACTTCTGAATACTTTCATAGTAAAATATTGGGAAAAATTTTTTTTTAATTATGAGTTACAGCCAAGCAGTGGCTCATGCCTGTAATCCCAGCACTATGGGAGGCCGAGGCAGGTGGAATGCCTGAGGTCAGGAGTTCAAGACCAGCCTGGCCAACATGGTGAAACCCCGTCTCTGCTAAAAATACAAAAATTAGCCAGGCGTGGTGGCTCACACCTGTAGTCCCAGCTACTGAGGAGGCTGAGGCACGAGAACCGCTTGAACCCAGGAGGCAGAGGCTGCAGTGAGCTGAGATCATGCCATTGCACTCCAGCCTGGGCAACAGAGTGAGATTCGATCTCAAAAAAAAAAAAAAACCAATAAATAAATTATGAGTTACTAAGTGGACAGTATACACCAGATCAGTAATAACAATAGCTGATACTACCACCATTAACTAAGTGACTACTATGTGTGAAACACTATGGTACATACTCACATATGTTATATCTAATCCCCAACACAATCCTGCAAGGCAAGTAGTATTATCCCCATTTTCCTGATGAGGGAACCAATTCACAGAAAGACTAAGGAACTTATTAGAGCTTCATACAGCTATTCAATGAAACTGGCAGGACTCTAAACCCAAGTCTGACTCCAAAAGGGCTGCTATTCCATTATACCACTCTGCCTTAACAATCAACTCCTTGGATTGGGCCTAATTTTTTTTTTTTTTTTTTTTTTAAGATACAGAGTCTCAGTGTTGCTCAGGCTGGCCTCAAATTCCTGGGCTAAAGCAATCCTCCCAACTCAACCTCCCAAGTATCATTTTTTTTCTTGGATTTCAATAGAAGTTTGTGTTATTGACTTGTAGGCATAAGTGGGTTAATGGCAGGGACTTTGAAAAGCCCTTTCACTGTCATTCCATTATGATAGTCTATAATAAGGCTGCTACTATTCTTGTCTCCTTTCAGCATTATAAGTGTTTTACAATACGAGAAAGGAATGCCACAACCATGACACAATTTTTTCAAACAAAATTCTTTACCTCATTTCTCGTTCTTCATGTTGAGCGATAAGGTTGCTATAAAAATTCTCCAGTGTCACTTTGGTCATTGTCACCCTTTCCTTTGTGTGGTTACTCATGGATGAGCAAGGTGTTGAGCCTGTCATTGCCATGGCTGCTAGAAACAAAGAAAAGAAGAGGTGTTAGATTTGGAGTTAGAATCCACCCAGTGTGCACTCTCCTACCCTATTGGTAGGAATGTAAATTGGTGCAAGTTTTCTGGAGGACAAACAGGTAATATGTAACAAAAGCCAGAGAAAGAGAATACTTAGTGAAAATAAATATAAATTACTGTCCTATGACCCAGAAATCCCACCCCTAGGTATAAAGACTAAAGAAACCGTCACACAGGCTTCTAAAGTGACATACACAGGATGTTCAGCACAGAGAGGATGTTCATCATGCCTTAATTTGTGTTATGGGAAGTTGGAGGCACTTAAGTAAGAAAATAAAGAGCTGTGGCTGCATAGGAAATACCATGCAACAACCAGAAAACCAGAAGCAACTTTACCTGTACCTGTAAGTCACACAAATATATCTTTTTTTTTCTTTTTGAGATGGAGTTTCGCTCTTGTTGCCCAGGCTGGAGTGCGACAGGATGATCTTGGCTCACCGCAACCTCCACCTTCCAGGTTCAATCGATTCTCCCACCTCAGTTTCCCGAGTAGCTGGGATTACAGGCATGCGCCACCACACCTGGCTAATTTTGTATTTTTAGTAGAGACGGGGCCACCTCGGCCTCCCAAAGTGCTGGGATTACAACTGTGAGCCACCGCGCCTGGCCCACACAAATATATCTTTATTTATTTATTTATTTGTTTGTTTTTGAGAAGGAGTCTCGCTCTGTCGCCCAGGCTGGAGTGCAGTGGCGCGATCTCCGCTCATTGCAACCTACACCTCCCAGGTTCACGCCATTCTCCTGCCTCAGCCTCCCAAGCAGCTGGGACTACAGGCGCCCACCAATACACCGGGCTAATTTTTTGTATTTTTAGTAGAGACGGGATTTCACCATGTTAACCAGGATGGTCTCAAAACTCCTGACCTCATGATCCGCCCATCTCAGCCTCCCAAAGTGCTGAGGATAACAGGCGTGAGCCACCGTGCCCAGCCCACAAATATATCTTTAAAACATATTAGTGCAAGTGCATATTGCATTTTTAAAAAGAGAACAAGATCACAATACCATATAGATAAATTAAGAATATATAGTAAACCACACGCCTGTAATCCTGGCTTCCTGGGAGGCCAAGACAGAGGTCTGCTTGAGTCCCCAAGTTTAAGACTAGCCTGGACAACATAGTGAGACCTAAAAAAAAATATACAGTATGCATACAGTACAATTCTTTGCCATCTAAAAATCTACCTTGAAGAAATCAAAGACCCATAAAAATTCATCACAAGGAGGTGCAATGCAGCATTGTAATCACAAAGGGAAATTAGGGATAACTTGAATATACACAATAGAATTAATTCAGTATGAAAAAGCCCTTCAATAAAATAATGTGCAGACAATTAAAATATGTCCAAATAGTTAATGTCAGAGGAAATGTTTCCACTCTAAGTCAACAGAACACATTACAAAGCAGAATGTATATCACGATCTCAATTTTCTTTATGTGTTTACTGTATATGCACATAATTATTAGAAACATATCATCAAAATGTTATTAGTGGCTTACCTGTAGGTAGTGGGAATAGAAAATGTTATTCTTGCTTGTGCTTTTTCCATGTTTTTCTTTTTCTTTTTTTTTTTTTTTGAGATGGAGTCTCACTCTGTCGCCCATGCTGGAGTACAATGATTCAATCTCAGCTCACTGGAACCTCTGCCTCCCAGGTTCAAGCGATTCTCGTGTCTCAGCCTCCCAAGTAGTTAAGATGACAGGCACCAGCCACTGTGCCCAGCTAATTTTTTTTTTTGTATTTTCAGTAGAGACGGGGTTTCACCACACTGGTCAGGCTGGTCTCAAACTCTTGACCTCAAGTGATCCACCCAACTTGGCCTCCCAAAGTGCTGGGATTGCAGGCATGAGCCACTGCACCCAGCCCATGTTTTTCTATATTTTCTTCCATAAGCATATACTGTTACCAATAACTTTTTAAGTTTATCCACAGTTAAAAGAAAAATCTATGATTAAAAATGGTAATCTGATACATATATGCTCTGACACAGCCTTAAGGTATTTGATAAATGTTTGCCGTTTATTTGAATTTACAAGTTAAAATAAAGTTTTAAGTCTTAAAATAAAGGGAACAATATGACAAAAAACCTGAATCACGATTCTAGTGGTAGAAGCAGCAATACCTTAAAAACAAGAGATCTTAATTTCCTCATTTTACACAAGAAAAAAACACCACCAATGTGTTTAGATAAGTTATAGAATATTTTTTTCCTAAATTTAAAATATTGTTTTCAACCAGGAGTGTGGCACACACCAGTAGTCCTAGCTACTCCAAAGGCTGAGGCAGAATTGCTTGAATTGGGAAGCAGAGGTTGCAGTGAGCCGAGATAGCGCCACTGCACTCCAGACTGGGCTACACAGCGAGACTCAGTCTCAAAAATAAATAATAAAATCGGCTGAGCGCGGTGGCTCACGCCTGTAATCCCAGCACTTTGGGAGGCCAAGGCAGGCGAATCATCTGAGGTCAGGAGTTGGGAGACTAGCCTGACCAACAGAGTGAAACCCCGTCTCTACTAAAAACACAAAAATTAGCTGTGCGTGGTGGCAGGCGCCTATAATCCCAGCTACTCGGGAGGCTGAGACAGGAGAATCGCTTGAACCCGGGAGGCAGAGGTTGCAGTGAGCCGAGATCATGCCACTGCACTCCACCTGGGTGACAGAGCAAGATTCCGTCTCAAAAAAAATAAATAAATAAAATAAAATCTTGTTTTCCTCCAGATATTTCAGCTAACCTGTATTATCACACTTGGCCAAATTGTTCACTAACATTGACTTGCTCCAGCATTGGCAATAGCGCTCAATTTTTTTTTTTTTGAGACGAAGTCTCGCTCTGTCGCCCAGGCTGGAGTGCAGTGGCGCGATCTCGGCTCACTCCAAGCTCCGCCTCCCAGGTTCGTGCCATTCTCCTGCCTCAGCCTCCCGAGTAGCTGGGACTACAGGCACCCGCCACCACGCCCGGCTAATTTTTTCTATTTTTTAGTAGAGACAGGGTTTCACCGTGTTAGCCAGGATGGTCTCGATCTCCTGACCTCATGATCTGCCCATCTCAGCCTCCCAAAGTGCTGGGATTACAGGCGTGAGCCACCATGCCCGGCCAATAGTGCTCAATATTTTATTCTTACCATTCCTACCTCTCATATGATCTACTTCTCTGTCTCTTCATCCCAATATAAAGCTGAGTAAAAATTAGGAGAGGCTGAACACTGTGGTTCATGCCTGTAATCCCATCACTTTGGGAGGGTGAGGTAGAGAGATCATTTGAGCCCAGGAGTTCATGAGTCCAGGAATTCAAGACCAGCCTGGGTAACATAGCAAGACCCTGTCTCTACTACCCCCCACAGCTGCAGCAAAAAAGAATCATGAGAGTCAAAGGGCCATTTTTCTTTTTTTGGAAATGGAGTCTCACTCTGTCGCCCAGGCTGGAGTGCAATGGCACAATCTCGGTGCACTGCAACCTCCGCCTCCTGGGTTCAAGCGATTCTCCTGCCTCAGCCTCCCAAGTAGTTGGGACTACAGGGACATGCCATCACCCCCAGCTAGTTTTTAGTAGAGACGGGGTTTCACTATGTTGGCCAGGCTAGTCTTGAACTCCTGACCTCAGATGATCTGACTGCCTGGGCCTCCCAAAGTGCTGGGATTAGAGGCATAAGCCACCGCACCCAGCCAAGGACCATTTTCAAAGATAGTGCATTTTAAGAAAAGTTTTCAGGTTTTCCCCCTTAATATTTAGTAGCTTTTTAAATTGTTTTGTGGATTAAACTAAGGCTTATAAAACACTTGTTCAAAAAAGCCTTAAAATTATTTAAAAAGCAATTATTTAAAAAGATACGCAGACAAAAATCACATAAATAATTCCTTCAGAGCAGAGATTCAAAACTAAGACTCTACTTGAGAGTCAAACATTTTGATTCATCATGTGCCAAAAAGATCAGTAAAAACAAATTTAAGACACTGCATTAAGAGCTACCTTACTATAAAATATCACATTATTTTTTATGGGGAAGTTTCGACTAATACCAAAGCAAACTCAAATGTTTTAGAGTATCACTAAAGGAATTAAAAAAAACAAAAACAACAAAAAAAAAACCTCTGTTTGGTTTGTGAAGCTTGGGTGTGGTTCCTTATTTGTCAGCCTGTACCCCCCCCTCCACCCACAATGAAAACCACATGCACTCTAAGTGTGTTTGGTGAAGAAATTTAAAAACCAGATGTAAAAACATGTCAAAAGCAAGTGAGAGTTTTGTACTTCCTTGTCTGAAAATTCCTGAAGAAATTGCATATATGTAGTTACATTTTAACAACTGAAATTACTTCAACATAAAAATGTAACAATTTGCCAGGGCACTGGTGCACCCCTGTAATCTCAGCACTTTGGGAGGGAGAGGTAGGAGATTGCTTGAAACCAGCCTGTGCAACATGGCAAAACCCCCGTTGCTACAAAAAAATACAAAAAATTGGCCAGGTGTGGTAGCACACACCTGTAGTCCCAGCTACTCAGGAGGCTGAGGTGGGAGGATTGCTTGAGCTGGAGAGGCAGAGGTTTCAGTGAGTTTGGCTTGTGCCACTGCACGCCAGCCTGGGACAGAGCAAGACTCTGTCTTAAAAACAACAACAACAACAACAAACACAACACAACAATCTGCTAGTATTTAACCCTAAGGCAAACAGTGCCTTCCATATAACAGGCAGTTGAGTAAGTTAATGATTTTTAGTTGTCAACAAAGCTAAAGAATAAAGATGGCCGGACACGGTGGCTCATGCCTGTAATCCCAGAACTTTGGGAGGCTGAGGCAGGTGGATCACCTGAAGTCAGGAGTTGGAGACTAGCTTGGCCAACATGGTGAAAGCCTGTCTCTACTAAAAATACAAAAAAAATTAGCCGGGTGTGGTGGTGGGCACCTGTAATCCCAGCTACTTGGGAGGCTGAGGCAGGAGAATCGCTTGAACCCTGGAGGCACAGGTTGCAGTGAGCCAAGATCACACCACTGCACTCTAGCCTGGGTGAGTGAGACTCCGTCTGGAAAAAAAAAAAAAAAAAAAAAAAAAAGAATAAAGACTACATTTACACTGATGGATATATCAAAAATGCTTTGACTAATTTAAGTAGCTGGCTTGCATTACTACCTAAACTTTTAAAAAGATCAAAAGGACATTAAATGAACTCAAAGATGCTCAAATATTAGACCAACAAATTCTTAAGCAGAGTGTTTTTCAACTTTTAGAGTTTCTAATATAATGATAAAGACTGCACTCTCCTTCCCTTTGACCTTTCTTTAAACCCTCCTCCACTTCCTCTATTGTAATATAAAAAATTTAGCCTAATTCTAATATCCTTTAATCAAAAGATGTAATTAATATTGCCCTATAGCAATTCATAGATTTACTGGGTCAACCAACTTTTCTTAAGACAGGACTATCCATCAGGCTTTCCACAATTCAAGCCTTCCTGCCCTGACCTAGAAGCCATTGGAGGCCTTTGCCCCATTTGTTTCATTCTTCAACTCTGAAGAATTAGGAAATAATAGGTGGCTGAGGAATTCTTCAAAGTTTTAAAAAATTAACAAAAGGAACTGATCCTCATAAAAGTCAGGTGTAAGGCCTGCAAACTCAAAAGGAAGTCAAATGAAAACCATTATGTGATTCAATCTATATGGTTATGCCTGGCTAACTGACTGACTTTACAATGGTACTCTGTGATCACTATAAACAACCCTCTCTCAACAATATGGACTTTATTTCTTTGCGACTGACAATCCATTATCTTTCATTTGGACGATTCAACATTGGAGCTAAGATTATTGCTTAAGTCGCATGTCTAATCTCTCCCACTGAACTGTAAATCCTACTAAACTGTAATCTCTACCTACACTAGAAAGCAAGCACCATGTCTTATACTTGTTTTAATATTCTTCCCCCATTTCATGCACAGTGCTATGCACTTAGCACCTTAAGAAAGATTAACTAGGAAATATACTCATTTTTGATGTCCATTCCTAGGAGTTTATGTGTGATGGGGGATAGGGCTGGGACATGAAATGGTTTGCTATAGCGTTCTCTCCTCTTAGGAGGAAGCTGGTATCTAACGTTTAGGGTGGGGAGGAGAGCCTGTTATCGAGGTGGTGGTTGTTTTATGTTTAGGGAAACCAAATATATTGCCTGGCTAATTCAGAGGCAGGGTGAGCTCAAAGGGTGGAGACACTCAGGGTCTACTTCACTCCAACCCTCCTCGGTGCATTTCAAACAGAACAAGTTTCTCTCCGAGTCTTTTAGTCGTTTCAGAATGAACTGAGAGATCTGGTCTCTCTGCCGGCCGTTCTGCCCGCTTTCTGACACAGACTTTCCTCTAAGCCCTTACCGACTTTTTCCTCTGGCTGTTGCTTTTCCACTCTCTTCTTAAGAATTTTCCCTGCCTTTTCCTGTGATTTGAAGCTTATCTGAAGCCCAGTATCCTAAGACTAACGGAGAAAGGAGCCGACTCAAAGATACCACACCCCAAGGGGGGCTTTCGACATCTCTGCCTCAGACCACAGTTCACAGACCCCAGAAGAAGGAAAAGGAGATAAAAACCGGTGATGACCGAGATCCCTGAGGGACTGACTGGTGGCAGGGAGCAGACAAAGGTGGCAACATGGAAAGGAAAGCCTGGCTCCCGCTCCAACTGCAAAAGGAGAAAGATAAAGGATGGGGTGGAAAGGCTGGGACTGGAAAAATGTGGAGAGGGCCAACAAGGGGCATCTGGAGACGGGGGAAGAAGGGGGTTAAGGAGAGGGGCGGAGAGAGGCCAAGAGGCTGAGAGGTTAGGGCTTGAAAGAGGGCGCCGGCGAGCAGGAGAAAGCCCAAGAAGGAGTCGGAGGTTGGGGAAGGAGGAGATAAAGGAAAAACCCCGGGATGGAGTGAAGACGGCGGCAGCAAGCAACTCACCAGAGCCCAGGGAGAGGCAGGGCTGGGGACGGCGGAGAGCCGCAGACGCCCCTTCGGCCAGTAGTCTCGACTTGAAGGCTGGCGAAGCCCCGGCGGCGGCAGCCAACGAGCCAAAGACGGGAGGGGACGCGTGAGGGACTCTGAGACAGGGGGCAACAGGCGGTTACGGGTGAGGACAACAGGAAGCGTTCCAACTGCCGGAAAAGACGCGAGCGCTGAGGGGCCAAGGCAGCCCGGTCCCCCGCCGCGGAGACGGGCTGGCGCGGCAGCCCGGGGCCGAGACTACGCATGCGCGACTTCCCGGAGCGGCCGGGATTGCGGAACTGCGCTTGCGTGGCCCCGCCCTGCCCCTCCCTTCACCCCCTGCCTAGGGCTGGCTGGACCTGGGTGAGGCCAGATGTGTGAGTGTGAGGCGGTCTCGAAGTAGGCTGGGCTGAGGGGGAAGTTCCATTGTTTTCTTTTGTTTTACTTTTTACTTCGAAATAATTATGGACTCACAAGAAGTTGCAAAATTAATACATACAGGTTCCCTATACCATCACCCACCCAGCTTACCTCAACATTTTTCTTAAGATACAACATTCTCAAAGCCAGGAAATTGACATTCGCACAATACAATTAACTAAACCAATACAATTAACTAAACCAATACAATTAACTTCATTACAGACCACACTCGGATTTAACCTGTTGGGTATGCAGTCATGTGCGTGTGTGTGAGTGTGTGTGTAGTTCTATGAAATGTTGTCACCTGTATAGTTCCCACCCACCCCCCTACCCCGTGTAGAACAGGTCTGCTGGAGCCCTTGGCCCCCCTCCTCTTCCTTAAAGTAAGGACCTTACCTGGGATAAGGTGAGCTCTCATAGGTTTGGGAGGTTACCCAGCGGGCGACCCAGTGTGGACAGAAGAAGGTGCTTTTCAAGGCCACCCAACTCTTATTCTGTACTACTTTTGGGGGTAAAGAGGTCCCAAGTTTAATAGCCTTTGGGCACTTGTCGTTTCTTGAGAATGGAGCACAAAGCCCTCAACTACAAAGTGTCAAGCTCCTGGAAACTAAGATGAACGAGACATGGTCCCTGACTGCCTGCAAAGGGGCCATCTAGGGAGAGAAGGAAGCATGTGCTGCGAGTTATTCATTCATTTCATCTTCAAAGCCCAGTTTCCTTTTGTCTAGCCTCTTAACAAAAATCACTTCTCGCCAGGCGCGGTGGCTCCTGCCTGTAATTCCAGCACTTTGGGAGGTCCAGGTGGGAGGATAGCTTGAGCCTAGGAGTTTGAGACCAGTCTGGGCAACATAAGGAGAATCCACCTCTAAAAAAATTTTTGTAATTGGCCAGCATGGTGGCAAGTGCCTGTGGTCCCACCTACTGTGGAGGCTGAAGCAGGAGGATTGATTGAGTCCAGGAGTTCAGGGCTGCTATGAGCCATGATCATGACACTGCACCCCAGCCTGGGCAACGGAGGGAGACCCTGTCTCAATCAGTCACTACATACATATCAATCAATCACTTCGCCTTTCATTCTCTCTGCCCAGAGGCCCTTCTCCCCAAATGCCTGTTGTCAAAGTCCTACCCATTCTTAAGCTTTTAATAATAGTCCAAGATGTCTGCATAATGCTTTACAGTTTACAAACAACTTTCACTTATTTAATCTCACTTGGTCCTCACTTTGGCAGTGACACACGAGGTTTTGCAGATGAAGTAATTGATACTTAGAGAAGCTAAGTGACTTGTCTGAATTCCCACGGCTAGTAAGCCAAGTAGCCAAGAGGGGAACCCCATTTTCTGTCTGCAAATCCAATGTTCTTTCTCCTCTTCTCTTTCCTCCTTCCAAAGCCCAGCTCAAACCTTATCTTCCTCCTGGAACTTTCCCAGTTTCAGAAGAGGAATTTCACTCTCTCTTCTCTCTTATATATATGTTTTTTTTGGTGGGGGGAGGGGGGTTGTTTTTGTTTTGTTTTGAGACGGAGTGTCGCTCTATCACTAGGCTGGAGTGTAGTGGCACGATCTCGGCTCACTGCAACCTCCACCTCCCAGGCTCAAGTGATTCTCCTGCCTCAGCCTCCTTAGTAGCTGGGACTACAGGACTACAGGCACGTGCCACCATGCCCAGCTAATCTTTTCTTCTTCTTCTTCTTCCTCTTCTTCTTCTTCTTCTTCTTCTTCTTCTTCTTCTTCTTCTTCTTCTTCTCCTTCTCCTTCTCCTTCTCCTTCTTCTTTTTTTTTTTTGAGACGGAGTCTTGCTCTGTTGCCCAGGCTGAAGTGCAGTGGCGCGATCTCTGCTCACTGCACGCTCCGCCTCCCGGGTTCACACCATTCTCCTGCCTCAGCCTCCCGAGTAGCTGGGACTACAGGCGCCCGCCACCAAGCCCGGCTAATTTTTTGTATTTTTAGTAGAGACGGGGTTTCAC
Organism: Homo sapiens; assembly: GCF_000001405.40. NCBI lineage: Eukaryota > Metazoa > Chordata > Mammalia > Primates > Hominidae > Homo > Homo sapiens. Next base: position 36,549,601 of record NC_000006.12, read on the forward strand.
CATGTTAGCCAGGATGGTCTCGATCTCCTGACTTTGTGATCTGCCCGCCTCGGCCTCCCAAAGTGCTGGGATTACCGGCGTGAGCCACCGCGCCCGGCCTTTTTTTTTTGTATTTTTACTAGAGATGGGGTTTCACCATGTTGGCCAGGATGCTGTCTATCTCTTGACCTCGTGATCTGCCCACCTCCGCCTCCCAAAGTGCTGGGATTACAGGCGTGAGCCACCGCACCCGGCCCTTTCCTCCTATATTAATTTATCTGTACCACAACTCAAATAAGCACTAAAGTTTTCCTCAAAACAGCCCAGCCAAATTATGCTGCTCTTTCTGCAGGAACCCAAAAGGTGACATTTTACCAAGATTCCAATAACTATAATGGACGTTTGTCATTCTTTTTGGCCACTTGAGCATCTGAATCCCTTTCCTATCACCAAAACTGAAATCACTTATACCCATCCCAGACTGTGAGTTGGAAATTAGAAAGATCTGACCTGCATAATTTTGATGTTGTCACATCCCCGTGTTTGTTTGTTTGTTTGTTTGTTTTTTGAGACGGGGTCACCCAGGCTGGGGTCACCCAGGCTGGAGAGCAGCGGCACAATCATAGCTCACTGCAGCCTCGAACTCCTGGGCTCAAGCAATCCTCCTACCTCAGCCTTGTGAGTAGCTGGGAACAAAGGTGCGTACGACCTTGATCGGCTAGTTTTTTGTAGAGTCAGGCCTCACTATGTTGCCCAGGCTGGTCTCAAACTCCTGTTCTCAGGTGATCCTCCTACCTCAGCCTCCCAATGTGCTGGGATTACAGGCATGAACCACCTTACACAGTGAGTCGAGCTTTATTTTAAATTTCGATGTTTTATTCATCGTGGATTTTTTGCATTAATTTTGATTTTTGAAAAACCTTGCATTAAAATGGTCTTTATCTTGATTACTGAGTTTTTTGTGCCCAAGGTGAGTGTCTTGCTCACTTGCTCAACTCACCCGTTCTTTGTTCCAAGGGAATCACCTGCCTCTCCTTTATCAAGCTGACCTATGATTGCTTCACCAGCCAAAACTGAGCCACTTGGAAAGAACCACAACTCTTTTTAAAAACAGGCATCTTACCCCTTAGCAGTGTGTGCCCCACCTATTGGGGCAGTGGCATCAATTGCCTCTGAATATTCCTTTCATAAGAAGACAGGAACTATGCTTGGGTGCCTGCTAGCCCAGTGCTTCTCAAACTGTAACATGCACATAAATCTCCTGGGATTTGGTTAAAGAGCAGATCTGGCTAAAGTCTGGGGCAGAGCTGAGATACTGCATTTCAAACAAGCCCCCAGATGATGCTATCACTGCTGGTCCATGTACTACACTTAGAGTAGCAAGGAACTTGAACATATATCCAAGTAAAAAGTAAGAAGGAGAAAGTGCCCATAATCCAGCAGCCGTAGGTCCCAACCAAGGCCAAGACTAGGGTGAAGCATGTGAGGGCATAACATTTAAGAAGACACTCACTTTCAGGTTCTACTCCTGCATTTGCAGAACCCTGAGAGTGAAGGCAGCCTTACATTGAGTGTCCTAGGAACCTTGCTTGCCTTAGCCTGGTCCCACCCTGGTAACATAACCACCAAGTAATATTTTGGTGGGTATTCCTCCAGACTATCTTTTTTTTTTTCTTTCTGAGACAGGGTCTCGCTCTGTCACCTAGGCTATAGTGCAGTGGTGCGATAACAGCTCACTGCAGCCTTGACCTCCTGAGCTCAAGCAATCTGCCTGCCTCAGCTTCCCAAAGTGCTGGGATTACAGGTGTGAGCCACTGCACCTGGCCTTGAGACTAGTGTGCATGAGTGTGTGTGTTTTGTTTTGTTTTGTTTTGTTTTTGAGACGGAATCTCGCTCTGTCACCCAGGCTGGAGTGCACTGATGTGATCTTGGGTCACTGCAACCTCCACCTCCCGGCTTCAAGAGATTCTCCTACCTCAGCCTCCCGAGTAGCTGGGATTACAGGCGTGCACCACTATGCTTGGCTAATTTTTGCAGTTTTAGTAGAGAGGGGATTTCGCCATATTGGCCAGGCTGGTTTCAAACTCCTGACCTCAAATGATCCACCCGCCTCAGCCTCCCAAAGTGCTGGGATTACAGGCGTGAGCCACCGTGCCCGGCCGTGTGTGTGTATTTTAAAAGAGTCTCACTGGGTTGCCCAGGCTGGAGTGCAGTGACACAGTCATGGCTCACTGCAGGCTCAACCTCCCAGGCTCAAGTGATCCTCCTGCCTCAGCTTTCCAAGTAGCTGGTCTACAGACATGCACTGCCGCACCTGGCTAATTTTTAAATTTTTTGAAGAGATGGGGTCTCCCTATGATGCCCATGCTAGGCTCCTGGATTCAAGTAATCCTCCCACCTTGGCCTCTGAAAGTGCTGGGATTACAGGCATGAGCCACTGTGTCCAGCTGAGACTACTTTCTAATACACATATAAATGCATGGAATCATAGTATATATGCTTATATTGTATGTAATTATATCTACACATATGCGGTATTATACTGTTATTTGTTCATTTATATCTAAATTGTGATGTTTTAAATCTTCAAGCTCTATTTAATCTCACAAATTCATTTAATCTTGTTCCTCTAAAATATACCCAGTGGCTTTCTCTGAGTGGAGGAATTGTGAGTGGTTATATTTTCTTCTTTATACTTTTCTGTACTTTCCAAATTTTCTACACTGGACCCCATAACCTTTTAATTAAGTTTTTATTTTTATCAAAGTAATACATGTACAGACTTGAAAAAGATTAAATGATCTACAAGACTCATAATGATAAACAGCAATTCCTTGCCCCACCCACTCCCACCAGATTCACTCAGCAGAAGCAGATGCTTTACAAGCTTTTAGTTGTTCTTCTGCCATTTATCTCCTTGTTTTGAAATAACATTGCTATTTCTTAAGTTTTTATTTTTTAATCTTTTTAATTTCCTCAATTAAGATGAGGATTTAACTCACTTATACCACAACTTCTTCTACCACTGCCATCCCTTTTAAATCAATAGTCAGTGTTTACAATTGTGTCAGATTATCTTCATGTACCACTTTTTGTTTTCCCTGGAGTTAACAATAGCTTCAGTTTTTTCTCCTACATAATTTCATTTTTAAATAGCTATCACTGACTTCTCTGCAACCTCTTTGTCAAAACTGAAAAAATGTTCTCAGGTTATGGTCAAACTCACAATTCATTATCAGCTCCATTTTTTTCTCCAGGGTCATCCTCCCTGGAGCCCTCTGTATTAGTCAGGGTTCTCCAGAGAAACAGAATCACAGGGCTATATAGAAATTATGTAGAGAATATATAGAGATACAGAGATTTGTTTTAAGGAATTGGCTCATGCAACTGTGGGGGGTGGAAAGTCTGAAATTTGCCGGGCAGTCTGGAAACTGAAAAGAGTCGATGTTGCAGTTTTAAGTCTGAAATCCACAGGGTAGGCCAGCAGTCTAGAAACTCAGCTGGGATTTCTATGTTGCCATCTTGAGATAGAATTTCTTCTTCCTCAGGAAACCTCAGTTTTTGCTCTTAAGGCCTTCAACTGATGGGGTGAGGCCCACCCACATTATGGCGGGTAATCTGCTTAATTTAAGTTCAAATGAGGACAGGTGCGGTGGCTCACGCCTGTAATCCCAGCATTTTGGGAGGCCGAGGTGGGCAGATCACTTGAGGTCAGGAGTTCGAGATCACCCTGGCCAACATGGCAAAACCCTGTCTCTACTAAAAATACAAAAATTAGCCAGATGTGGTGGCGCATGCCTGTAATCCCAGCTACTCAGGAGGCTGAGGTAGGAGAATTGCTTGAAACCCAGGGGCGGAGGTTGCAGTGAGCAGAGATCATTCTAAGCTGGGCGACAGAGCAAGACTCCGTCTCAAAAAAAAAATTAAATAAAGTCAAATGATTATAAATGTTAATCACATATAAAATATACCTTCACATCTACACTAGCGTTTGACCTAACAATTGGGCACCATAGCCTAACAAATTTGACACATGAAATTAACCACACTTTGTCCTCCTAAATAATCCCTCCCCAATCATGTTTTGTTTTGTTTTGTTTTCTCTTTAGTGTCCCCACCTCCTACTTAATTTCATGGCCCTCCCTTTATTTATCAAACATAACTTTCAGCAGGTACTCCTAAGTAAATTAAGACAACCCACCATCTGGGCAAGGTGGCTTACACCTGTAATCCTAGCACTTTGGGAGGCCAAGGCGGGAGGATCGCTAGAGCTCAGGAGTTCGAGACCAGCCTGGGCAACCTGGCGAAAGCCCATCTCTATGAAAAATGCCAAAAAAAAAAAAAAAAAAAGGATGAGGGTGGTGGCTCAAGCCTGTAATTCCAGCACTTTAGGAGGCTGAGGCGGGCAGATCACTTGACGTTAGGAGTTCGAGACCAGCCTGGCCAACATAGTGAAACCCTGCCTCTACTAAAAATACAAAAATTAGCCGGGCATGGTGACACACGACTGTAATCCCAGCTACTTGGGAGGCTGAGGCAGGAGAATTGCTTGAACCCAGGAGGCAGAGGCTGCAATGAGCTGAGATTGCGCCACTGCACTCCAGCCTGGGTGACAGAGCTAGACTCCATCTCAAAAAAAAAAAAAAAAAATTAGCTGGGCGTGGTGGTGCACGCCTGTACTCCCAGCTACTTTGGGGGCTGAGGTGGGAGGATGGCTTGAGCCCGGGAGGTCAGGGCTGCAGTGAGCTGAGATTGCACCAGTGCACTCCACCCTGGGTGACAAAGTAAGACCCTGTCTCAAAAAAAAGAAAAAAAAAAAAAAAGACAACCCATCAGGGAATTGCGCTAGGGTAGACAAAGTATTAAAAAAAAAAAACCAACTGGGGCCAGGTGCGGTGGCTCACACCTGTAATCCCAGCACTTTGGAAGACCGAGATGGGTGGATCACGAGGTCAGGAGATCGAGACCATCCTGGCTAACACGGTGAAACTCCGTCTCTACTAAAAATACAAAAAAAATTAGCTGGGCGTGGTGGCTGGCACCTGTAGTCCCAGCTGTGCGGAAGGCTGAGGCAGGAGAATTGCTTGAACCCGGGAGGCGGAGGTTGCAGTGAACCGAGATCGCGCCACAGCACTCCAGCCTGGGCGACGGAGCGAGATTCCGTCTGAAAAAACTAAATTAATTAAAAAAAAAAATCCCACAGGGTGGATGGGAGAGTCAGTGGGCACATCCTCCACCCCAAGCCAGCTGCCTCCTCACCTCCATTTATTTCCCACTGTTCTAGGAAACACTGTTCTAGGAGGGAGAGCGCTGAGCCCAGGCAGTGTATATACTCCAGAGTAACTGCCAATGACCAAGCCTGACCAGGAGAAAAAGAATTTATTTGCAGCTCAAGCCCTTCAGGGAAGCACTAGTATAATTAGCTGGGCCTGCAACAGCTGTCTGGCTGGCCATTTTTATCCTGATGCTTGAACTACAAGCCTGGAAACCTCTGAGTAAAGAAAGCACTAAATGCAAAAATAGCATTTCATGTTGTTCCTTGGTTTCAGACTTGGAGATATAGCAACCCAGAAAACAATGAGAGCTTTGACTATATGTTTGTGCCTGCTTAGAGATTTTTTTACTTTCTTTAAACTGAATGCTTAAAAATGGGACGAAAATAATTGAGAAGTCTTAAGAGATACACATTTTAAATTAATTTTTTCCAAATGACTGTGTGTGTATGTTGTGATGAGTCAATGTTTCTTTGGGAATTGAGGGTGAAAAATCTCGAAAACTAATAAAGGATGTGAAGTGTGTCAGGTCCAGTGCCCAAATGACACGTAACTTTTCCCACCTACCCACTGGGGATTGCAGATATTAGGAGGGAGGGAATATATGCATATACACACACACACACACACACACACACACACACACACACACATATAAGTATATATACACACACACATATATATATATGCAAATGTAGACTGAAGGCCTTAGGGGGGAAGGAAAGAGAATTATAATTTCTGAATAAAAATTATAGTTCTGAAAAATTCTGAAAGCCAGAAGTGAAAGGGATAAGATGTCCATTGACCTAATTGTGCTTAGATGGGAACCTCCCTGTAAAACGGAGTTTCTGAGGCTCCCACTGTTGAAAAAAACTGGTGGGGTGGAAAGCTGCACGAATCACAAGATTCTCAGGCTCCCTTAGGAACGTGCTAAATCTTCCATATTTGCAGAGGCCCCAGAATTGTCCTAACTGCCATCTGATAACTGATCTCATAAATTTCCTAAAAATGGAAGCATTTGGATCCCATTTGTTCCAAATAGAGGTAACAGCACACACACACACACACACACACACACACACTCTCTCTCTCTCTCTCTCTCTCTCTCTATCTCTCTCTCTCTCTCTCTCTCTCTCTCTCTCCAAAGTGTTTTATATCCATAAATGTGCAGAGTGCTGGGTTAGGTAAAAGTTACATGTTTCTTTGTTGCAGGACTTCTCAGGACCTTTAATTGCATTCTGACCTTCCATCAGGAACACTTATTATACAGGATTTCCCAAATGTATTTGAGATGCTTTGTGGAGAATGATTAACATTTCCCTAAACTCATTCTTTCAGGAACCTGGATCTAGATAATCACCATCAGGGTGTGGGCTCAAGAGAAAAGGGCCAAGAAGATCACCTGCTAGTTCTCATGTAGTTACAAGTCAAAGGAGCAGAAGGAGACCCAACTGCCTGTTACCGTCTCCTGGATGTCAAAAATGACCTCGTAAATTTCCTTTTCATTCTAAATTGCTAATAATGGTTTCAGAATCCAATCATATCAGAGCTAAGAGGGAACCTAGAGATCACCTCATGTAGTCCTTTTATTTTACAGATGTTGAAACTGGTCTAAGGAGAGGAATTAAGTTGCGCAAAATTACAACGTTAATTAAGTTACAAAACTTGGTTAGAATCAGGTTCCCTGACTTCCTGTCCACTGATTTTTCTCCTGCCCTGTGGTACCTCCTGGTATGACTGGATCCACAGACTAGCAATGGGCTGTTATCGCACAATTTTGACAAATTTGCCTATAATTAAAAATGAGATTTAAGCCTAGCTGATGGCCTGTATTATCTCAAACAAATCTCAATAAGACAAAACTTCAATATGACAAAATATTCTAGATAGTCATTGGTATTTGAAGCAGTAGAATTTGATCTGTGATTTCAACACTGGATTTTTTTTTTTTTTTTTTTTTTGTGACAGTCTCCCTCTTGTTGCCCAGGCTGGAGTGCAATGGCACAATCTCAGCTCACTGCAACCTCTGCCTCCTGGGTTCAAGCAAGTCTCATGCCTCAGCTTCCTAAGTAGCTGGGATTACAGGCGTGTGCCACTACAGCCGGCTAATTTTTTGTATTTTTAGTAGAGACAGGGTTTCACCATGTTGGCCAGGCTGATCAACTTCTGATGTCAGGTGATCCACCCGCCTCAGCCTCCCAAAGTGTTGGGATTACAGACGTGAGCCACCGCTCCCAACACAGGATTCTTAATTTGTCTCTGAACACAGTCTTATGATGTCATCCTTGAAAACTGCACTGTGGGTCATAGAGATGTCATGGTCCATCTCTCTTTTTAATGTTTTCATATTCTTTTAAAGAATAGATCAAGGATTATAAAAGATTAAAAGTGAAAATCTCATTTCTACCTCTGTCTCGCATCCTTTCATTGTTCCCCTTCCCTCTCTGTACAGTTTCCCATTTGTTTTTGTGTATCCTTCTGGAGTTCTTCATGCAATTGGAAGCAAATATAGATACAGAGACTTATGTTTCTCATTTTTTTTACACAAAATGGCACAATCTTTTTATTAGGCAAGTCTCTTCCCCTTTGGAGCCTCATTTCCTGATTTCTGAAGAAAGGAGATTGCAGGCCTTGAGCTGTGGCCCACGCCTATAATCCCAGCACTTTAGGAGGCCAAGGCGGGCGGATCACGAGGTCAGGAGATCAAGACCATCCTGGGTAACACGGTGAAACCCCGTCTCTACTAAAAATACAAAAAATTAGCCGGGCATGGTGGCATGTGCCTGTAATCCCAGCTACTCAGGAGGCTGAGGCAGGAGTATCACTTGAACCCAGGAGGCGGAGCTTGCAGTGAGCCGAGATCGCGCCACTGCACTCCAGGCTGGGTGACAGAGGGAGACTCCATTTCGAAAAAAAAAAAAAAGGAGGTTGCACCAACTCTCCACAGTCCCTTCTCTCTGAGATTCTCAGATGCTGGGGATACATCAAGCCCCTGACACTCACTCTGCTTCTCTCAACAATGTTTAGCTTTTTGGAAAGTCACACTTGTATGGCTGGTTTTGTCAGTGACCTCAAATTTAAGCACCCGGGGTGTGGTTTGCAGACATTGGTATTTCATGCTTTAAGAAAATCCAGTACACAAATGTCAACATTTCCAAAGCAAATTAGGGAGTGTCTGTTTGCGTTAAAAATGAACCTTGCAAAAATGATTCATCAAAAGTTTTTTTTCCTGTATTTGCATATATTTTTTCACTAAATAAATAATACCTGGTACAAAATTCAAAAGAGTATACAATGAAAACCTTCCACCTTGATCCCCAGCCACTGAGCTCCCTTCCCCATGGGTCACGTCTTACCAGTTTCTTCTGCATCCTTCCATATTCTTTGCATATGCAAACATAACTGTACATATATATTTTTTTAAATAACACTCTAAACATACAGTTTTGCACCTTATTATCCTTTGCTGAAAAATATACTTTGGAAAGCCTTCCAGATCATCAGGAGAAATAGAAATGCCTCAGTCCTTTTTTTTTTTTTTTTTTGAGGCGGAGTCTTGCTCTGTAGCCTAGTGCAGTGGCGTGATCTTGGCTCACTGCAACCTCCGCCTCCTGGGTCCCAGTTCAAGCAGTTCTCCTGTCTCAGCCTCCCGAGTAGCTGGGACTACAGGCACCTGCCACCACGCCCGGCTAATTTTTTGGATTTTTAGTAGAGACAGGGTTTCACCGTGTTATCTAGGATGGTCTCGATCTCCTGACCTCGTAATCTGCCCGCCTTGGCCTCCCAAAGTGCTGGGATTACAGGCGTGAGCCACCGCGCCTGGCCAATGCTCAGCTAATTTTTGTAGTTTTAGCAGAGACAGGGTTTCACCATGTTGGCCAAGCTGGTCTTGAACTCCTGACCTCGTGATCCGCCTGCCTCGGCCTCCCAAAGTGCTGGGATTACAGGTGTGAGCCACTGAGCCCAGTCCCCTTCTTTTTTTTTTTAAGGGCTTCATAATTTTCCATTGACAGATAGATCAAAATGAATTTTATCTAAATGGGGCTGTTTTTCATAGTGAACTCAACTATTCCATTGACAATCTGATTTAATTCCTGCAGCCTTATTTTCAGTTGCACTCTATTGCAGGAAACAAGATACTCTCAGGGTGCTTCCATCTGTGCACAGTGCACAATGAGCAGGCATCAGTGTCTACAAACAGATGTGCCAACAGAAACTCACAAGTGTTTTCACCTCTGAAACCTTAGGATTGAATCTCAGATTAGTTAAAGATCCTCAGTTTAATCTTCCTAATTTTTAGAGTAACTTTTTCCATTTCCTGATTTTTAGAATGAGCTTCCGTCTCTCTTTCTCTCCTCATTACTGAAAGTGGAACAATCTAATGCTGCTTTTCTGTTTTTCTTTTCGGCTCCAAGCTTTTGAAACCAGCCCCATTCTCCAAGGTTCTTACTTAACTCACTGAAGACTACTAGCAGCTTTTACCCTATGCTGGTCCTCACCTCTGCCCTCAAAACTTCTCCACAGTCACATTCAATATCAGAATAGATATTGAAAGAAAGAATTTTGATCAGAGGCCGGGGATGATGAGATATTGATCTCCCAGCCCTCAGGGCAGCCAAGGGGCTCAGGCAGCCTTGAGTAGCCTCATCATTCATTTACCTCTGGGGATGTACAAAGGGTATGATTTTTCATGTGTGACCGTGAAAAAAGTTGAGAAGCTCTAATGAGCACCATGAGAGGAAACACTGTCGTTAGTGTTTGGCACATGCTGTGTTCTCAGTTAATATGTGGTTGATTGATTGGCTAGTTGAATGACATAATCAGGAGTTACGTACTCAATAAATAGTAGATATTATGACTATTGTCATGACTATATCTTCTCGCTGTTCTTTGTGCCTCAACCCAAAGGAAGAAGAATACAGGATATCCAACAGATATTTTACTAATTAATTACTATTACTATTATTTGTCTATTTATTTGAGACAGAGTCTCACTCTGTTGCCCAGGCTGGAGTGCAGTGGCACGATGCTGGCTCACTGCAACCACTGTCTCCCACGTTCAAGCGATTCTTCTGCTTCAGCCTCCCGAGTAGCTGGGATTACAGCCGTGTGCCACCACACCTGGCTAATTTTTGTATTTTTAGTAGAGATGGGATTTTACCATGTTGGCCAAGCTTGTCTCGAACTCCTGACCTCAGGTGATCTACCCACCTTGGCCTCCCAAAGTGCTGGGATTACAGGCATGAGCCATCGCTCCTGACCTATTATTATTACTTTTTTAGAGACAAGGTATCACTCTGTCACCCATGCTGGAGAGCAGTGGCACTATCATCACTCACTGCAGCCTCGACCTCCTGAGGATCAAGTAATCTTCCTGCCTTAGCCTCCTGAGTAGCTGGGACTACAGGCACTACCACCGTGCCTGGTTAATTTTTTTTTTAATTTTTTGTAAAGACAGGGTCTCACTATGTTGCCCAAGCTGGTCTCAAATTTTGACCTTAAGCAATCCTCCCACTTCTGCCTCCCAAAGTGCTGGGATTACAGGCATGGGCCACCACACCTGGCCCAGTGGATATTTTATAATTCTAATCCTAGTTGACGTTTTATTTCCACTTACTTAAAATACTCACTTCCCTTAGTTCTGGGACATGGCACTCTCCTGCTTTTCCTCCTACCTTCTGACTCTTCACAGATTCTTCTTCTTCCAAGGGCCTTTAAATGTTGGGGTTTTCCCAAGTTTGGCTCTTCAGCCTCTTCCATCTCCCTGAGCTGAGTCAATATTTCCCAAGACTCAAGAAGACAAACTATTCTGATGAATCCCAAATTGACATTTTCAGCCCATACTCCTCTTCTGAGCTACCAGACCCATGTACCCAGCTGCCTACCTGTCCTCTCTTCATGAATTGACTGAGATGAAACTGACTATCGAAAGGAATGAGAGCTTCAAATAGAAACACTGGAAAAGTATAGGAAGATGACATTTTTCTTATACACCTGGAATTTGTAACCACTGTAATGACTAGTTCAAATCCTTTCTGCCTTCTTCAGTTCTTTGGTTTTGCCAACCCTTCCAACCCATCCACACTCCTGATGCCCCTCCCCAGTTAGCAGATCCTACCATGTCACAGAGAAAGTAGAGGCTGTAGACAGCTCCCTCTTCTGCCACCAAGTCTACAGGCATCTGCATCCACTCTCATTCTTTTCTCCTCCCTTTTAGGCCACACTCCTACCTGGTCTATGGCTTGTGTCACTTCCTCGCTCTTTAGGAGTCTCCATCCTGTCTTTTACCTTCCCTCTGGACAGGCTGCTTCCTCCTGATGTTTGTACGTGTGCAAAGACTCCCTATCGGAAAAGCCTCTTCCTTCGACCTCAAGTCCAGCTTTCACTACTGCCATTCACCACTTCTTTCACAGCCAAGTTTCTGGGAAGAGTTTTCTCCATTTACCATCTCTTATTTCTACACCTTCCATGTGTCTCGACCTCCTGCAATTTTGACTTCTGGCCAGGCACAGTTGCTCACACCTGTAATCCCAGCACTTTGGGAGGCCAAGGGAGGCAGATCACGAGGTCAGGAGTTCGAGACCAGCCTGGCCAACATGGTGAAATCTTGTCTCTACTAAAAGTACAAAAATTAGCTGGGCATGGTGGTGCACACCTGTAATCCCAGCTACTCGGGAGGCTGAGCCAGGTGAATTGCTCGAACCCAGGAGGCGGAGGTTGTAGTGAGCGGAGATTGTACCCCTGCACTCCAGCCTGGGTGACAAAGCAAGACTCCATCTTGGGAAAAAAAAATTTTTTTTGCTTTCTTCCCACAACTTGCTCCAGCTGTACTTGACAACGTCAGCACCAATGTCCTCCATGGTATTTCAATGGACTCTTCTTGGTCTTTATTTTGCTTGGCCTCTCTGCAGCATTTGCCACCATGGACCAGTCCCTTCCTGAAGTTCTCTGTTTACTCATCATCTTCCTCATGACAATGTTTTTAAAATGGTTCTGAGTGGCTCACCAGGTAATTGCCAGCCCAGGGACTGGATTTTCTTTCTACCTTCACAAACATCTAGTTATCTCTAACTCACCCTTCAGGTCTCTGCTCAGGGAGCCCTTCCCTGTCCCCCTGGACTGGTTTGCGTGGTTTCCTGGGCTTTGCCAGAGCAGCAATTATCACAGATTGCAATTAGATGTGCTAGGGTCATTCTATACCCCCAGATTTTCCCCTGGGTTGTATTTAATTTCCAAGGACTTCGCTGATGGCAAGACATAGGGGAGGGAGGCTTTCTGCTCCTGCATATCATCTGTTATACTGGCTGAGCTGAAATGTACTGAACGAGAACAATCTTCACACACACTAGATTAAAGTGATCTGAATGTTCCCCCTCATTCTCACAAATTTTCATTTTTTCCCTGTTTCTTTGTTAATGGACTATTTGCATGCAAATTTCCCTGTGTTTTTCCAGACATTGTCCAAAGTCATAATTGTAAATTATTAAAGCAGCAATCCCCCAGGTGGCCTGATAGTGGCCACACACCCTCCTTGTACAAGATTTAACCTAACAACCACTGAACACGCAAAACAGTTTTCAGGGAATTCCTCTCATCCCCATTCCTAATTCCCTGGTGCAGTTATTGCGGGGGCACAGCACAGGGCCTGGGAGCCACAAGCTTCTGAATTCTCCAGTCACGTTCCCCTCAGTCCGAGGACCTGATCTCATCTGGAGGTAGATTCCTGCAAGCCTCAAATGTTGTCTTTGTGCATGAGTCCTTTCTCTTTCCCACAAGATCATGGCTCAAAAACCAACAAAAGTCTCCTTCCTCTTTGGGTTCATGTTGTCCTAAGCTGAGACAATTTAGTTCACTGGGGGAAAGCCGTGGAGAAAAGAAAATCCTGGGGATGAAACCCATAGTTAATATTCTAAAATAGCATCATGACACAGTGCATGTACTGTGGATATTGAGAATCTAGGGAAAATGGGCTTTGAGACAACAGACAAATCCAGAACTGCCCCATGTTCTTAAGAGGTAGACAAATAGGTATAGCAGGAGGAGAAAGGATCATTTTGCCAGAAATTAGAAACAGGAAGTCTTGGCCAGGCATGGTGGCTTATGCCTGTAATCCCAGCACTTTGGGAGGCTGAAGCGGGCAGATCATGAGGCCAGGAGTTAGACAACAGCCTGGCCAACATGGTGAAAACCCATCTCTACTACAAATACAAAAATTAGCTAGGTGTGGTGGCAGGTGCCTGTAATCCCAACTACTCAGGAGGCTGAGGCAGGAGAATTGCTTGAACCCCAGAGGCAGACATTGCAGTGAGCCGAGATTGTGCCACTGCATTCCAGCCTGGGTGACAGAGCAAGACTCTGTCTCAAAATAAATAAATAAATAAATGAAAAGAAAAAGAAAAAGAAGGTCTGTTTCATCTTCAGTATTACAAAGAGGAATTTCTGAAGAGAAATGTGAATATTTTGTGATTGTTGAGTAGCAAAAGGTATGAGTCATTTGTAAATATTAACAAAAATAAGACATGTACTGATGCCTAAATGTAGCTAGCAACAAAGTTAATAATCACCCACAGGTCTCCCTTTAATTACCTAATTAATCTAATTGCCTCCTACCATCTTTCGGCCTTTCTCCACCACATACCCCATTTATTGTTTCTTACCCAAACAAAACCCAGTCACTCTAAACAAAAAGCCCACAGATAACCAAGAGAAGCCACAAGGTAGGGAAGGACTCCTATCATGTTTTCTTTGAAACCTGTGTTAAGATACCTCCTTTTTAAGAAACTCAAACCCTGGGAAGAGAATGTAAGTGGAAGCTTTTCTGCAAATACTATTGGTTCTCTAGGGGGAAGGAACCGACCCCAGGGGCCTCTTGCTTTTAGATAATCCCTCAGGACACAGCAGAACAACTGCCAAGAGTCGGCCTGCATGTGACTAAGAACTTGAAGCTGCAGGATACTGTCTATCCAGCTGCCTTCTCTCCAAAATGCACCTTGAAATCTGCCTTCCTTAGGCTAACTGAGAAAGACTAGAAAGGTGTGAAATGGTTAAATATCTTTTCTTATTGACATCCACATGGTAGAAATCTGGCCTTCTGAGGCTCCTGCAAATGACTCTCTCCCATAATACTCTATCTGCCTTTGTTTTTTTGTTTGTTTTTTTGTTTTTTGAGACAGTTTTGCTCTTGTCACCCAGGCTGGACAGCAGTGGTGCAACCATGGCTCCTGGGTTCAAAAGATTCTCCTGCCTCAGCCAAGTAGCTGGGACTGTAGGCGCCCACCACCATGCCCGACTAATTTTTGTTTTTGTGGGGTTTTTTTCTTTTTTCCTTTTTCTTTTTTTTTTTTTTTTTGAGACGGAATCTCTCCCTGTTGCCCAGGCTGGAGCACAGTGGCAGGATCTCGGCTCACTGCAACCTCTGCCTCTTGGGTTCAAGCAATTCTCCTGCCTCAGCCTCCCGAGTAGCTGGGATTATGGGAGCCCACCACCATGCCCGGCTAATTTTTGTATTTTTAGTAGAGATGGGGTTTCACCATGTTGGCCAGGCTGGTCTCGATCTCCTGACCTCATGATCTGCCCGTCTCGGCCTCCCAAAGTGCTGGGATTACAGGCATGAGCCACCGAGCTCGGCATAATTTTTATATTTTTAGTAGAGACAGGGTTTCACCATGTTGGCCAGGCTGGTCTCGAACTCCTGACCTCAGGTGATCCTCCCACCTCCGCCTCCCAAAGTGATGGGATTACAGACGTGAGCCACCATACCCACTGCGCCTGGCTGTCTTTGTTTTTGGATGCTCTATTTTCTTGTTCTCACTTAGTCTTCTTTCTGGAGAGGCAGCTTTGGATAAACCAAAATAATTAGCCTCTAGAGAGAGCTAGTTGCAGAGCTGAAGTGTAAATGAACTGACAAAATAATTTTTCCCCATATTATGTTCTTATTTCAAAACCATGATTAAAAACTGGCTTCTGGCTGGGTGTGGTGGCTCATGTCTGTAATCCCAGCACTTTGGGATGCCGAGGTGGGCGGATGACCTGAGGGCAGGAGTTCCCGACCAGACTGGCCAACATGATGAAACCCCATCTCTACTAAAAATACAAAAATTAGCTGGGTATGGTGATGGGTGCCTGTAATCCCAGCTACTCAGGAGGCTGAGCCAGGAGAATTGCTTGATCCTGGGAGGCGGAGGTTGCAGTGAGCCAAGATCGTGTCACTGCAACCAGCCTGGGCAACAAGACTGAAACTCCGTCTCAAAAACAAATAAACAGGGCCAGGTGCAGTGGCTCACGCCTGTAATCCCAGCACTTTGGGAGGCCGAGGCGGACAGATCACAAGGTCAGGAGTTCGAGACCATCCTACCCAACATGGTGAAACCCTGTCTCTGCTAAAAATACAAAAAAATTAGCCAGGCATGGTGGCAGGCACCTGCAGTCCCAGCTACTCGGGAGGCTGAGGCAGGAGAATGGCGTGAACCCAGGAGGTGGAGCTTGAAGTGAGCAGAGATCGCGCCACTGCACTCCAGCCTGGGCAACAGAGCGATACTCCATCTCAAAAAAAAAACAAAAAACAAACAAACAAACAAAAAAAACTGGCTTCTAATTGAAGTGTTTAATTATTTATTATCATTATTATTATTACCAACAATCATGTATTGAGTGCCTGCTCCATGAACATTGTGCTAGGCCCGTCAGTTAGGTTGTCTCAATTGATCTTCTGACAACCATGAGAAATAGGAATTTTTGCCCTTATTTCAGAGATTAGAAGCTGAGTGTCAGAAATGAATGGCAGACAGACACAGATTAACCAGAAAGCGAATGAAGCTCAAGCCTCAGGCACTCTTCTTTAGATAGGCTCTATTCAAGGCCCTATACCTAATTCTGTATCCATCATTTTGTTTTTTGTTGTTTTTGTCTTTTGAGACAGGGTCTCGCTCTGCTGCCCAGGCTGGAGTGCAGTGGTGCCATCTCGGCTCACTGCAACCTCTGCCTCCTGGGTTAAAGTGATTATCCTGCCTCAGCTTCCCAAGTAGCTAGGATTACAGGCATGCGCCACTACACCCGGCTAATTTTTGTATTTTTAGTAGAGACAGTGTTTCACCATATTGACCAGGCTGGTCTCAAACTCCCAAGCTCAAGTGATCCGCCCGCCTCACCCTCCCAAAGTGTTGGAATTACAGACGTGAGCCACCATGCCTGGCCTATCTTCTTAAGAGGAGCTTTCAAAATTGCATAAGCTTTAGTCCCCACAGAATCTGGATCTGTCCCTGGTGTGGAGCCAGTATTTGAACCCAGTATTATCTGACTTTGAAGTCTCTTTGCACAGTAGTACTGTTCATCATGAAATAGAAGAGTGAGAAAATACGACTTCTGCTCCCTAAATCTGCTGTAACTTGAACACTCCAATAAATTTAACAGAGCTCTCTGTTAAAATATTACTTGCATCACCCCTTTGAAGGGTCAAATATGTATCAGCAGATATTTATTTATTTGTTTATTTTTGAGATGGAGTTTCGCTCTTGTTGCCCAGACTGGAGTGCAATGGTGCCATCTCGGCTCACTGCAACCTCCGCCTCCCGGGTTCAAGTGATTCTCCTGCCTCAGCCTCCTGAGTAGCTGGGGTTACAGGTGTCCGTCACCACACCCAGCTAATTTTTTGTATTTTTTAATAGAGACAGGGTTTCACTATGTCGGCTAGGCTGGTCTCGAACTCCTGACCTCAGGTGATCCACCCACCTAGGCCTCCCAATGTGCTGAGATTACAGGCATGAGCCACCGCACCTGGCCCAAGCAGATATTTATTTATCACCATGTGCCTGATGGGATGAGAGAGCCCCTGTGATACAACGGTTCAAAGGACAGACTTTGGACCTGGCCCTCTGGGTTGGAACCCCGTTTCTCCTACCTCATCCTTAGCAGTGTGTGCTTAGGCAAGTTATTTAACCTCTTCGTGCCAGAACTTCCTCTTGTAAAAAATTGGTGCAATAATAGTTCTTACCTCATAGGGGTTTGTATGTGTCTGTGTGTAAATGTATTAAATTAGTTTTAAAAGAGTTTTCCAAACTGCAGGTCAAAACCCATTAGTGGGTCGTAAGATTGATTTAACAGATTAACCAGAATTTTTAAAAAATAAAATAGAATTGGATGGAATATAATAAAATACAAGAATTCAGAATGTGTTACATAGTCAGGGCAGGTAATTATTTTCTGAAAGCTTTTATTTCTGTTGTGTATGGTATGAAAGTATGTGCAGGCTGGGCACAGTAGCCCACAACTGTAATCTCAGCACTTGGGAGGCCAAGGTGGGCGGATCGCTTGATCCCAGGAGTTCGAAACCCTCCTGGGCAACACAGCAAAACCCCATCTCTACAAAAAAATATGAAAATCAGCCAGGTGTGGTGGTGTGCACCTGTAGTCCTGGCTACTCAGGAGGGTGAGGTGGGAGGATGGCTTGAGCCTGGCAAGTTGAGGCTGCAGTGAGCCAAGATTGCACCACTGCACCGTGGCCTGGGTGACAGAGCCAGACCCTATCTCAAAAAAAGAAAAGAAAAGAAAGTATATGAGTATGTGTGTATGCATGAGTGTACTGCATTGCTCTGTAAACTGTTCTTTTTTTTTTTTTTTGAGACGGAGCCTCGCTCTGTCGCCCAGGCTGGAGCGCAGTGGCGCCATCTCGGCTCACTGCAAGCTCCGCCTCCCGGGTTCATGCCATTCTCCTGCCTCAGACTCCTGAGTAGCTGGGACTACAAGCGCCTGCCCGGCTAATTTTTTGTATTTTTAGTAGAGATGGGGTTTCACCATGTTAGCCTGACCTCGTGATCCACCCGCCTCAGCCTCCGAAAGTGCTGGGATTACAGGCGTGAGCCACCGCACCCGGCCTGTAAACTGTATTTTTGATTGTGAGTCACCATCAAAAAGTTTGAACACCTCTGAATGAATACAGTTAAAGCAATTAGAAGTGTGCGGGACACCTTGTAAGAACTCACTAAATGTTAGTTATTACTAGCCTGCTAGACACGGGGGAGCAGCCATAGGTATGCTTAATGTAGTCAAAATACTGTATTTGTGTTATCTGTTAGCTCATGTAATTCTAATATGCTTTTAAAAATAATGGAGTTTTTTTGTTTTGTTTTATTTTGTTTTTTTGAGACAGAGTCTCACTCTGTCACCCAGGCTGGGGTGCAGTGGCGCAATCTCGGCTCACTGCAACCTCTGCCTCCTGGATTCAAGTGATTGCCCTGCCTCAACCTCCCGAGTAGCTGCGATTACAAGCATGCGCCACCACGTGTGGCTAATTTTTGTGTTTTTAGTAGAGATGGGGTTTCACCATGTTGGTCAGGCTGGTCTCAAACTCCTCAGCTCAGGTGATCCACCCCACCTCGGACTCCCAAAGTGCTGGGATTACAGGCGTGAGCCACTGTGCCTGGCCAAAATAATGTTTTATTATTATAAAATCATGCATGTTCAGGATAAAAAGTTAGAAAAAACCAAGCAGGCAAAAATAAGAAAATATCATTGTCACATTACCAAAGATTCCACTGCTAACAGCTTAGCATATGTCACTCTGGACCTCTTTTCTTTCTTTTGAGATGCAATCTCACTCTGTCACCAGGCTGGAGTGCAGTGGCATGATCTCAGCTGATTGCAACCTCTGCCTCCCGAGGTTCAAGTGATTCTCCTACCTCAGCCTCCCGAGTTTCTAGGATTACAGGTGCCTGCCACCACACCCGGCTAATTTTTGTATTTTTTGGTAGAGACGGGGTTTCACCAATATTGGCCAGGCTGGTCTCGAACTCCTAACTTCAAGTGATCCACCTACCTCAGCCTCCCAAAGTGTGGGGATTACAGATATGAGCCACCACTCCTGGCCTGGACCTTTTTCAGTGCACATTTTTTTAACCCAAATAAAATCATAAGCTTTGTACTATTTTGTAACCTTTCTTTTTTGGTCAACAAACTCTCTCTTTTCACTCTTGTAAACTTTCACTTTGTGTAATATCTATACCATATTCAAATTTCCCCCAAAATGTCCTTTATTAGTAGTAGTAGTAGTATTTTGTTTGTTTTTTGTTTTGTTTTGTTTTGTTTTGTTTTGTTGTTTGAGACGGAGTCTCGCTCTGTCGCTCAGGCTGGTTGGAGTGCAGTAGCGCAATGTTGGCTCACTGCAAGCTCTGCCTCCCAGGTTCACGCCATTCTCCTGCCTCAGCCTCCTGAGTAGCTGGGACTACAGGCGCCCGCCACCACACCAGGCTATTTTTTTTTCTTTTTTAGTAGAGACGGCATCTCACCACGTTAGCCAGGATGATCTCGATCTCCTGATCTTGTGATCAGCCCGCCTTGGCCTCCCAAAGTTGGGGGGATTACAGGCGTGAGCCACCGTGCCCGGCCCCAAAATGTCCTTTAGATCAAATCTGTTGAAATCAGTTTTTGTTGTTGTTGTTGAGACGGAGTCTCTCTGTTGCCCAGGCTGGAGTGCAGTGGCACAATCTTGGCTCACTGCAACCATCGCCGCCCGGGTTCAAGCAAGTCTCCTGCCTCAGCCTCCCGAGTAGCTGGGGCTACAGGCTTGCGCCACCATGCCCAGCTAATTTTGGTATCTTTAGTAGAGACAAGGTTTCACCATGTCGGCCAGGCTGGTCTGGAACTCCTGACCTCAGGTGATCCGTTCACCTCAGCCTCCTAAAGTGCCAGAATTACAGGCATGAGCTACTGCGCCCGACCTGAAACCAGTATTGATGCAGGACTACTCGTTGATCTGATTGTCATGGCCTTTAGTCTCTTCCAATCCTTTTGTCATGATATTGACTTTCCAAAAGACCAGGCCAGCTGCCCTGCAAAATAATGTTTCACCTTCTGGATTTGTCTGTCTGCTTACTTGTGACAAATATTTATTTTATACCCTATGTTTACTGAAAATTAAACGTTATGGGCCATGCGTGATGGCTCACGCCTGTAATCCCAGCACTTTGGGAGGCCGAGGTGGGCAGATCACAAGGTCAGGAGTTCAAGACCAGCCTGGCCAAGATGGTGAAACCCCGTCTCTACTAAAAATACAAAAAAAATTAGCCGGGCATGGTGGCAGGTGCCTGTAATCCCAGCTACTCAGGAGGCTAAGGCAGAGAATTTCTTGAACCTGAGAGATGGAGGTTGCAGTGAGCCGAGATGGTGCCACTGCACTCCAGCCTGGGCGAGAGAGCGAGACTCCGTCTCAAAAAAAAAAAAAAAAAGAAAATTAAAGGTTATATCTAAAGGTAAAAGAGATTCAATTTAAACATTATGGCTAGACTGTAGTCTCAGTGGTGTTGTCTATTCATATATATCATCAGAAGATACCTAATGTCTAGACTCGCAGGGGTGTCCAAACTTTTGGCTTCCCTGGGCCACACTGGAATTAGAAGAATTGTCTTGGGCCACACAAAAAATACCCTAATGATAGCTGATGAGCTAAAATAAAAATCACACACAAAAATATCTCATAATGTTTTAAGAAAGTTTTCAAGTTTGGGTCGCATTCAAAGCCATTCTGGGCAGGTTGCATAAACTTGGTCTAGAGCCATTACTGATGCTACAATTGAACTGCACTTAGGGGAACAATAGTGTGTTTCCCACTATACAGTTGCATCCACTTCACCCTCAATTTGAAAGTAGAAGTGAAACAATGTGGTATTAACTGGCACTGTTTGTATGTCTAGTTCTCTATTAACCATTCATTTATTTTATTTTGTTTTATTTTATTTTTTTTGACAGACCAGTTCTCGCTTTATTGCCCAGGCTTGACTTGAACTCCCAGGCTCAAGTGATCCTCCTGAGTAACTAGAACCACAGGCATGTATCATTGCCCAGCTTCATTTAATTTTTAGCAGCTTTATTGTAGTATAATTGACACACACCAGCCTGGGTAACATAGTGAGACCCCCATCTCTCTCTTTTTTTTTTTTTTGAGATGGAGTTTTGCTCTTGTTGCCCAGGCTGGAGTGCAATGGCGCAATCTCGGCTCACCACAACCTCTGCCTCCCAGGTTCAAGTGATTCTCCTGCCTCAGCCTCCCGAGTAGCTGGGATTACAGGCACCCGCCACCACGCCCGGCTAATTTTGTATTTTAAGTACAGACAGGGTTTCTCCATGTTGGTCAGGCTAGTCTCGAACTCGCGACCTCAGGTGATCCACCCGCCTCAGCCTCCCAAAGTGCTGGGATTACAGGTGTGAGCCACTGCGCCCGGCCGAGACCCCCATCTCTAAATTAGCCAGGTGTGATGGTGCATGGCTGTAGTCCCAGCTACTCAGGAGGCTGAGGGAGGATCGCCTGAGCCCAGGAGTTTGAGGCTGCAATAAGCTGTGATCGTGCCACTGCACTCCAGCCTGGGTGACAGCAAGACCCTGTCTTAAAAATAATACTATAATAATAATAATAACTGACATATAAAGAATGGCACATTTTAAAAGGGTACTGTATTCATAATTTTATATTGCTGATGTAACAAATTATCACAAACAGTGGTTTAAAACAGTACAAATTTATTATCTTACAGTTCTATAGGATTAGAAGTTCAACACGGATCTTATTGGGTTCAAATCAAGGTGTCAGCAGGGCTGCATTTCTATGCTGAGGCTCTGAGGCAGAATGTATTTCTTGCTTTTTCTTGCTCTTAGAGGTTGCCCACATTCCTTGGCTCATGGCCCCTTCCTCCATCTTAAAAGTCAGCAATGTTGCATCTCTCTGACTCTTCCTTTTTTTTTTTTTTTGAGACAGGGTCTCACTGTTGCCCTGGCTGGAATGCAGTAGCACAATCACAGCTCACTGCAGCCTTGACCTCCTGGGCTCAAGCAATCCTCCCACCTCAACTTCCTGAGTAGCTGGGACTACAGGTGTGTGCCATCATGCCTGGCTAATTTTTGTATTTTTTGTAGAAATGGGGCTTCACCATGTTGCCCAGACTGGTCTCAAACTTCTGAGCTCAAGTGATCCACTAGCCTCAGCCTCCCAAAGTGATGGGGTTATAGGCATGAGTCACCACAAATGGCTTTCAACTCTGTTTTTGAAGCCTTTCAACTAATTGAATCAGACCCACTCAGACAATTGGATAATCTTTCTTACTGAAAGTCGACTGATTATGGAATTTACAGCTACAAAAGACTGTCACAGCAACACCTAGATTAATTTGGCTGAATAACTGGCACTATAGCCTAGCTAAATTGACACTTCAAAAGGACGATCACAGGTACAATTTGATAAGTTTTGACATACAGGCATGCACTGCGTGACAACATTTCAGTCAAAGACAGGCCACATATAAGATGGTGGTCTGGACGGGTGTGATGGCCCACGCCTGTGATCCCAGCACTTTGGGAGGCCGAGGCGGATGATTTACCTGAGGTCAGGAATTCAAGACCAGCCTGGCCAACATGGTGAAACTCCATCTCCACTAAAAATACAAAAAAATTAGACGGGCATGGTGGCACATACCTGTAATCCCAGCTACTCCAGAGGTTGAGGCAGGAGAATCACTTGAATCCAGGAGGCGGAGGTTGGAGTGAGCCGAGATTGCACCACTGCACTGTAGCCTAGGTGACACAGTGAGACTCTGTCTCAAAAAAAAAAAAAAAAACCACACACACACACAAACACACAAAAGATGGTTGGGCGTGGTGGCTCATGCCTGTAATCCCAGCCCTTTGGGAGGCCGAGGCCGGTGGGTCACCTGAGGTCAGGAGTTCAAGACCAGCCTGGCCAATATGGCGAAACCCCGTCTCTACTAAAAATGCAAAAATTAGCCGGGCATGATAGCAGGCACCTATAATCCCAGCTACTTCAGAGGCTGAGGCAGGAGAATCATTTGAACCTGGGAGGGGGAGGTTGCAGTGAGCTGAGATCATGCCACTTCACTTAAGCCTGAGCAAAAGAGCAAAGGTCCATCTCAAAAAAAAAAAAAAAAGATGGTGGTTTCTCCCATGAGGTTATAAAGGAGTTGAAAAATTCCTATCACCTAGTGATGTCATGGTCATTGCAATGTTGTAGCACAATGCCTTACTCATGTGTTTGTGTGATGCTGGTGTAAACAAACCTACTTATAAAAGTAGCATGCCTGGCGCTATGGCTCATTCCTGTAATTCCAGCACTTTGAGAGACCGAGGCAGGAGAATGGCTTGAGTCTAGGAGTTTGAGACCAGCCTGGGCAACACAGGGAGACCCCATCTCTACAAAAACAAAACAAAAAAAAATTAGCTTGGCCTGTTGGTACATGCTGTAGTCCCAGCTACTCAGGAAGCTGAGGTGGGAGGATCCCTTGACCCCAAGGGTTCGAGGCTGCAGTGAGCTATGATTGCGCCACTGCTTTCCAGCCTGGGCAACAGAGTAAGACCCTGTCTCTTAAAAAAAGAAAAAAAAAAGGTATAAAAAGTAAAAAAAAAAAAAAAAAAAGTTATAGTAAGGTAAGGTTAACTTATTACTGAAGAAAGAAAAATAAATAAATAAATCTAGTGTAGCCTAAGTGTACAGTGTTTATAAAGTCTGCAGTAGTGTCCTAGGTCTTCACACTCACTCATTGACTCACCCAGAGCAACTTCCAGTCCTGCAAGCCCCGTTCCTGACACATGCCCTACAGAAGTGTGCAATTTTAAAATCTTTTTTACTGTGTTTTTGTGTACCTCTCCTGTGTTAAAATATGTCTAGATACACAAATACCATTGTGTTAAAATTTCCTGTAGTATTCAGTAAGTAACATGCTGCATAGGTTTGTAGCCTAGGAGGAATAGGCTATACCATATAGTCTAGGTATGTGATAGGCTATACCATCTAGGTTTGTGTAAGTACATTCTTTTTTTTTTTTTTTTTTTTGAGACAGAGTCTTGCTCTGTCGCCCAGGCTGAGTGCAGTGGCACAATCTCAGCTCACTGCAGCCTCTGTCCCCCAGGTTCCAGCGATTCCCCTGCCTCAGCCTCCTGGGTAGCTGGAATTACAGGCACTCGCCACCATACCTGGCTAATTTTTGTATTTTTAGTAGAGACGGGGTTTCGCCATATTGGCCAGGCTGGTCTCAAACTCCTGATCTCAGATAATCTGCCCGCCTTGGCCTCCCAAAGTAGTGGAATTACAGGTGTAAGCCACCACGCCCGGCCTGTGTAAGTGCATTCTATGATGTTCCCACAATGAGGAAATCATCTGACAATGCATTTCTCAGAATGTACCTCCGTCCTTAAGCAATGCATGACTCTGTGTGTGTGTGTGTGTGTGTGTGTGTGTGTGTGTATTCCATCTCCCCCAATAGTTTTCTCTTGCCCCTTAATAATTCTTTGCTTCAGCTGAGTCTGGCCAAGATGGTGAAACCCCGTCTCTACTAAAAATACAAAAAGTAGCCAGGTGTGGTGGCAGGCGCCTGTAATCCCAGCTACTTGGGAGGTTGAGGCAGGGGAATCACTTGAACCCAGGAGGCGGAGGTTGCAGTGTGCCAAGATTGTGCCATTGCACTCCAGCCTGGGCAACAAGAGTGAAACTCTACCTCAAAAAATAAATAAATAAATAAATAATAATAACAATTCCTTGCTTCTGTTCCTCCCACTCCACATCCTCAAATAGCCACTAATCTGTTTCCTGTCACTATATATTAGTTTGCATTTCTAGAGTTTTATGTAAATGGAATCATGCACTTTTTTTGTCTGACTTCTTTCACTCAGCATATTTTAAGATTAATCAATGTTGTTGCATATAATAGTAGTTCATTCCTTTTATTGCTAAGTAGCATCCCAAATATGCCATATTATCCATTTACCTACTAAAAGATATTTGAGTTGATTCCCTTTTTTTTTTTTTTTTTTTTTGGCTATTACAAGTAAAGCTGCTATGAACATTCATGTACAAGTCTTTGTGTGGACATATGCTTTAATTTCTCTTGAGCAAATATCAAGAAGTAGAATGCCTGGGTCACAAAGTAAGTGTATGTTTAACTTTTTAAGAAATTGCCAAACTGTTTCCCAATGTGGCTGTACCATTTTACATTTATACCAGCAATGCTTGAGGGTTTCATTTCATCCATATCCTCACCAACACTTAGTATGGTCAGGCTTTCAAATTTTAATTTGACCTAATAGGTAGGTCACCTCATGATTTAAAAACCTATGGACAATCCTTGCTTGAAGGTTTGCAAAATGCTTGCAAAAAGCTTACAAAATGCTGATATTATATTTCTAACATTATTTCTATATTGATTACCTGGCATTCTTTGATAAAATAGAGCCTTATCTTATCCACTGACATGATATAGTTACCCTAAATATATTTCCCACTGTAAAGGAAGGTAAAATGTCTAATTCTTTCTTTTCTAATTACCAGTTTTCAAAATAAAGAGTTGTTTTAATCTTCACACACCTTTTTGATTCAGGTGGGTCATTCTTTTTCTCCCTCTCTCTTTTTTTTTTTTTTTTTTTGAGACAATCTTGCTCTGTTACCCAGGCTGGAATACAGTGGTGTGTGATCTTGGTTCACTGTAACCTCGACCTCCTGGGTTCAGGCAATTCTCATGCCTCAGCCACCCAAGTAGCTGGGATTACAGGCGTGCCCCACCATGTCCAGCTAATTTTTTGTATTTTTAGTAGAGATGGGGTTTTGCCATGTTGGCCAGGATGGTCTCGAACTCCCGGCCTCAAGTGATTCACCCGCCTCGGCCTCCCAAAGTGCTGGGATTACAGGCATGAGCCACTGTGTGTGGCCCTTAATTTTTATTTTTTTATTTTTATTCTTTTTTAAGACAGAGTCTCGCTCTGTCACAAAGGCTGCAGTGCAATGGCACAATCTTGGCTCACTGTAGCCTTGACCTCCTGGGCTCAAACAATCCTCTCACTGAGACCAGCACACCCAGCTAATTTTTGTCTTATTTGTAGAGACGCGATTTCACCACATTGCCCAGGTTGGTCTTAACTCCTGAGCTCAAGCAATTTACCTGCCTTGGCCTCCCAAAGTGTTGAGATTACAGGCATCAGCCCAGCTTTAGGTCATTCTTGTTTTCTCCTTTTGCATACAAAATATATGACAATGAGACTCAAAAGAGTTTAAAGAAGTTGCTCGGCCAGGCATGGTGGCTCACGCCTGTAATCCCAGCACTTTGGGAGGCCAAGACAGGCAGATCACGAGGTCAGGAGTTTGAGACCAGCCTGGCCAATATGGTGAAACCCCATCTCTAGTAAAAATACGAAAATTAGCCAGGAGTAGTGGCACGCACCTGTAATCCCAGCTACTAGGGAGACTGAGGCAGGAGAATTGCTTGAACCGGTGAGGCGGAGGTTGCAGTGAGCCAAGATTGCACCACCACACTCCAGCCTGGGTGACAGAGCAAGACTCCTCGAAAAATAAAAATAAAAAAGGAGTTTCTCAAGGTTTTAATCCCAGCCAACAACCAAGAATCCTGATAAGAATTTGCTTCTAAAATAAAAGCTCTCGGTTGGGTGCGGTGGCTCACATCTGTAATCCCAGCCCTTTGGGAGACCAAGGCAGGATCACTTGAGATCAGGAGCTCAAGACTAGCCTGGCCAACACGGTGAAACCTCGTCTCTACTAAAAATACAAAAATTAGCCGGGTGTAGTGGTACACGCCTGTAATCCCAGCTACTCGGGAGGCTGAGACACGAGAATTGCTTGAACCCAGGAGGCGGAGGTTGCAGTGAGCCAAGATCCTGCCACTATGCTCCAGCCTGGGCGACACTGCAAGACTCTGTCTCAAATAATAATAATAATAATAATAAATAAAATAAAAGCTCTCAGTTGCCAAGGTATTTTGAAGATTTGTAGCTGCATGCCTGTTACTGGACACCTGCTTCCTAGTAACATGGTCAGAGGCTAGTGAGAAACGTCTCACCTCCCTGCCGTGAACTCCCTCATCTCGGCAAGGCCTCTACAGTCCTGTGTCTCACAGGCTGTTGTGTTCCCCTTTCCAGCACCTGCTGGTATAAGGCAGAAACTGAACACTGTTACCCAACAGGCCTTTCTCATGAAAGCCCTGTTCATTGATTTCTGTTTTTCTTTCAGAAATTAGAATTAATTAGACCTCCTGGGCTCTTTTCCAAGCAAAAATAGAGGTAGAAAGTAGTGGCTGGGCGCGGTGGCTGATGCCTGTAATCCTAGCACTTTGGGAGGCCGAGGCGGGTGGATTGCCTGAGCTTAGGAATTCAAAACCAGCCTGGGCAACACGGTGAAACCCCGTCTCTACTAAAATACAAAAAATTAGCCGGGTGTGGTGGAGTCCGCCTGTAATCCTGGCTACTCGGGAGGCTGAGGCAGAAGAATTGGTAGAACCCAGGAGGCGGAGTTTGCAGTGAGCTGAGATCGTGCCACTACACTCCAGCTTGGGCGACAGAGCAAGACTCCATCTCTAAAAAAAAAAAAAAAATTAGCAAGTGGCAGAAAAGCAAGGAATCTGAGAGAGGGACTAGATGGTGGAGTCAGCAAGGGACTCAGAATCTAAGTGGGAGGGAGTTTCTGAGCCTGCCCTGGCTCAGAAGGCTGTCCATGGGAAAAAAAAAAAAAAAAAGAAGAAGAAGCTAAAGGGTGGACAGGGTGATGGGAAGGCTCTGGAACAGAGGTAGCAATTATTAAAATATTTAAATAGTTGTGTGTTCATTGGTAGACAGCAGCTGCTCTGAGACCTCAAGCCAGTGCTTATCTTCCACCCACCCCCGGCACCCAGTCTCTTCTCTTGCCACCCTCTGATGACTGTTTTGATTAGTTAGGATCCAGGCTGAACTGTGGTTAAATATTTTGAATAACTTCCCTGGGTGTGGACACAAACCAGACTGGAATTCTAACTAGTGTGACCTGGCAACGGTATTCTTTTTTTTTTCTTTCTTTCTGAGATGGAGTCTCCCTCTGTTGCCCAGGCTAGAGTGCAGTGGCGCGATCTCGGCTCACTGCAACCTCCTCCTCCTGGGTTCAAGTGATTCTCCTGCCTCAGCTTCCCAAGTAGTTGGGACTACAGGTGCATGCCACCAACTCGGCTTTTTTTTTTTTTGTATTTTCAGTAGAGACGGGGTTTCACCACATTGGCCAAGCTGGTCTCAAACTCCTGACCTCATGATCCACCCGCCTCGGCCTCCCAGAGTGCTGGGATTACAGGTGTGAGCCACCGTGCCCGGCCTGGCAACGGTATTCTAACTTGAACACAGTGTCACCAACCACTGTTTGCGAACATTCAGACAGCATCAACTCTGTCTACCCTTGGGTCATAGACTTTTAGGTACTGGTGATATCATATGTCTTTCCTACTGTTGTGATCAAAAGTTTGAAAAATCCAGATTAGAGCATTCCAGGTAGAGGGGACTGAATGCAGGGATACACAGCTTGTTTCTGGAGAGGAAATACGAGATGCCTTGGAGGTAGGCGGGGGCCAGGTATGAAGGCCATGAGGCCCATGGTCAGTCGAGAGTGACCAGGAGGCAGTGACACTCTGATATGGGACACAGAATGGAAAGATAGTGAATTGGAGGTCTGAAGCACGTTGGGGACATGAGAAAGAAGCATGTGTGTTGGATATATGGCTCAGGGGTCGGGGAGAGCCCCCACTCCTCCAAAGATAAAGCAGAGAACAGAGGTCCTGAAAGCAGATGAAGTCCCTCATGGAGAGAGCACACGGGGAGCTGGGAAGGGGCACGGGAGGGAATCCCGCGGGCCCCCTGCATTAGCAGGCAGAGGAGGAAGAGCACTCTGGAGGGCACTAAGGAAGAGGAGCCAGAGAGATGGGAATGTGGAAACTGGGAGGGAGAATTAACAGGCTGAGATGCTGTGAGTCCAGTAAGATAAGGACTCAGACATCTGCTGGGCCCCAGAGGCAGTATGGGTCTATGGTTAGGTAGCCTGACTGCAGGGGTCTAATCTGGCTCTGGTAATTCTGAGCTCTGTGACCTTTGGCAAGTGTTTTAATCTCTTGTGCCTCAGTTGTTTTCCTCTATAAAATGGAGATAATAACATTTACCTGAGTTTCAAGGATTAAATGAGTGTGTGTGTGTGTGTGTATGCATGAGTGTGTGCATGTGTAGAGGAGAGAGAGAGAAAAAAAGATAGAGACAGAAAGACAGCCAGAAAGAGAGGGAGATTGAGAGAGAGATGCTCTGAACCAGGTTTAAAAAGTAGTAAATGAGCCAGGCGTAGTGGCTCACACCTGTAATCCCAGCACTTTGGGAGGCCGAGGCGGGTGGATCACCTGAGGTCAGGAGTTTGAGACCAGCCTGGCCAACATGGTGAGACTCCGTCTCTACTTAAAATACAAAAAATTAGCCGGGCCAGGTGTTGCACACCTGTAATCCCAGCTACTCAGGAGGCTGAGGCAGGAGAATCTCTTTAACTCAGGAGGCAGATGTTGCAGTGAGCCGAGATTGCACCACTGCACTCCAGCCTGGGGTAACAGAGTGAGACTCTGTCACAAAAAAAAAAAAAAAAAAGTAGTAAATGGGCCAGGCACAGTGGCTCATACCTATAATCCCAGCACTTTGGGAGTCCAGTGTGGGTGTATCACTTGAGGTCAGGAGTTGGAGACCAGCCTGGCTAACATGGTGAAACCTCAGCTCTACTAAAAATACAAAAATTAGCCAGGCATGGTGGCAGGCGCCTGTAAACTCAGCTACTTGGGAGGCTGAGGCAGTAGAATCGCTTGAGTCTGGGAAGTGGAGGTTGCAGTGATCTGAGACTATGCCACTGCACTCCAGCCTGGGTGACAGAGTGAGACTCCATCTCAAAAAAAAAAAAAAAAAAAGAAAAGAAAAAAAAAGTGGTAAATGCTACACACAAGCTTATGCGAAATTATGACAGCTATCACTTGCTGGGCCTGAGTTTTCTTGGCTACAAACTAAATTAGTGTGTAAACTCTAGAAACTCAGGAAAAAAAGAAAGCCATACTGGAGCTAAACAGACAAATATCTTTCAAAACACAGAATTAAGCACACACTAAAGATTGTGACATCCTGACATCTCCACTCTGCCCTCTTCAGTTGCTTCTTGTTGTTGCTTTTGAGGCTAAACTTACTTCCCTGTATTTGTGAGTTCCAGAGTGCAAGCTAGGGTCACCGAAACAAAGGTTTCTCATCTTCCAGCTGCACAAGCAATCCTTTTATTCTAGCCTGGATCCTTTGCCAGACCTCTCTGTAGGTCTGAGAACCAAATAAGGTAACACACACGAGGCAGGCATTGAAGTCCAGGCACCACTGAGTGGGAAGGGAGGGTGGGGCTGAAATCAAAACGGGGAAGAGTCTTGGAGCTCAGGAACTGTGCTGCCTCAGGGGGCCCAGCATGCGAGGAAGGACGTCTGTCCATGTAACATGGTGTTCCTTAGGGCTCTCTGGAGGAAAGGGGGGGCTGAAAAAGCAAACACACACCCCCAGAGACACCAAACGCAGGCAATTTCCAAGCATTGTTGCTTTCTTTTTTTCTCTCTCTTTTTCTTTTTCTGAGATAAAGTCCCTCTGTTGCCCAGGCTGGAGTGCAGTGGTGCGATCTCAGCTCACTGCAGCCTCCCTTATGGCTGGGCTCAAGCAATTCTCCTGCGTTAGCCTCCCGAGTAGCTGGGACCACAGGCACGCACCACCACGCCCAGCTATATATATATATTTATTTATTTTTGGTAGAGACAAGGTTTTGCCACGTTAGCCAGGCTGTTCTCAAACTTCTGAGTTCGAGCAATCCACCCACCTTGGCCTCCCAAAGTGCTAGGATTACAGGTGTGAACCACTGCATGTGGCCCAATCATAGCTGCTTTCTGCTCCTCAAGTGGACACCAGGCTCCAGAGTCTCACCTGGGATTTGAATCCCACCTTCACCCATTTTTTTTTTTTTTGAGACGGAGTTTCGCTCTTGTTCCCCAGGCTGGAGTGCAGTGGCACAATCTTGGCTCACCGCAACCTCCGCCTCCCAAGTTCAAGCGATTCTCCTGCCTCAGCCTCCCAAGTAGCTGGGATTACAGGCATGTGCCACCACGACCGGCTACTTTTGTATTTTTAGTAGAGACGGGGTTTCTCCATGTTTCTCAGGCTGGTCTCGAACTCCCGACCTCAGGTGATCCGCCTGACTCGGCCTCCCAAAGTGCTGGGATTACAGGCGTGAGCCACTGAGCCCGGCCCCTACCTTCATCCTTTATAAACTGTGAGACCTTTGACAAATTACTTAACTTCTCTGTGTCCTAGTTTTCATTTGTTTCAAGTACTACAATTACATTTTATAAGTCAGGTACACTCCAGGAAAAATGACAGGGTGAAAATTAGTGTGTGTGCATGTGTGTGTCGGGTGGGTGGGGTGTGGTTGCGTGTGGAGAAATGTGTTGAGGGGGGCGGCGTGTCAGGAAAGTAGAATTACCCAAATGTGCCCAGAAAACTCCCACATTTCGGTGTTTGTGAGACATTCCCAGATTGGGAGAAATAAGATAATTAACTGACAACAGTTGGAAACTAACTGTGGACCAATTTAAAATGAAAGTTGTAAAGCCAAGCCATTCTTTTAGGTGTTTTGGCTCTCTACTTCAGTAGAAAGAACTTTTATTAATTTTGCACCAAAATGTAATTATAGAAAATTAGGCTGGATGTGGTGGCTCACGCCTGTAATCCCAGCACTTTGAAAGGCTGAGGCAGGGCTGGGCCTGGTGGCTCAAGCCTGTAATCCCAGCACTTTGGGAGGCCAAGGCGGCAGATCACTTGAGGTCAGGAGTTCGAGACCAGCCTGGCCAACATGGCAAAACCCTGACTTTACTAAAAATACAAAAATTAGCTGGGCACGGTGGTGGTGCCTGTAATCTCAGCTACTGGGGAGGCCGAGGCAGGAGAATTGCTTGAATCCAGGAGGCAGAGGTTGCGGTGAGCGAAGATAGCACCACTGCACTCCAGCCTGGGTGAAGAAGCAAGATTCCATCTCAGAAAAATAAAAAGAAAGGCTGAGGCAGGAGGATTGCTTGAGCCCAGGAGTTCAAGACGACCTTGGGCAATATAGTGAGACCTTGTCTTTACAAAAAGTAAAAAAATTAGCTGGGTGTGGTGGTGCATGCCTGTAGTCTCAGCTACTCTGAAGGCTGAGGTGGGAGGATTGCAAGAGCCCAGGAGGTCGAGGCTGCAGTGAGCCGTGATTATGCCACTGCATTCCAGCCTGGGTGACAGAGCAAGATCCTGTCTCCAAAAAGGAAAAAAAGAAAAAAGAAAAACAAAAATTAAACCAAGCAGAAAACAGGAAAAAAAAATTCCTCAACTGTCTTATCATCTAGAGCTAAGTGTTAAACTTTCGTACTTTTTTCTGTGTCTATATGTATATACATACAGACATACATATACACATATAAATACTTGTATATTTGGAAAGTTGATCATGCCTGCGTTGTTCTGCAAGCTTTGAGGGGCAATGGTAAGAAGAGCTCTGAATTGCTAGGTGCAGTGGCTCACGACTATAATTCTGGCACTTTGGGAGGCTGAGGCAGGTGGATCACCTGAGGTCAGGAGTTCAAGACCAGCCTGGCCAACATGGTGAAACCCCATCTCTACTAAAAATACAAAAAATTAGCTGGGCATGGTGGCGGGTGTCTGTAATCCCAGCTACTTGGGAAGCTGAGGCAGGAGAATCACTTGAACCCAACAGGCGAAGGTTGCAGTGAGCTGAGATCATGCCATTGCATTCCAGCCTGGGCAACAAGAGCAAAACTCTGTCTCAAAAAAAAAGAAGAGCTCTGAATCTTCTTAAAACCTACTCAAGGCTGGGAGTGGTGGCTCACACCTGTAATCCCAGCACTTTCGGAGGCCAAAGCAGGTGGATCGCTGAGCTCAGGAGTTCAAGACCAGCCTGGGCAACATGACGAAACCCCGTCTCTACAAAAAATAAAACACACACACACACCCCAAAAATTATCTGGATGTGGTGGCGCGAGCCTGTATTCCCAGCTACTTAGGAGGCTAAGGCAGGAATATGGCTTGAGCCCAGGAGGCAGAGGTTGCAGTAAGCTGAAACTGCACCAGCGCACTCCAGCCTGGGCGACAGAGTGAGACCCTTCTCCTCAAAACAAACAAACAAACAAACCCACTCAATGCCCCCTAGCCTTGCCAGTTTCCTTACATACGTAAATCCTCTTTGCTGATTCAATGTTTTCTAATATTTTGATTATATAACATACTTTGAGACGACTAAACTTTCCCAGGACACAACATGGTAAATGACAGGAAGTATAACTTGAATAGAATCATAAACTATAATCTGAAATGACCAGCCTTCGTTTGCTGACCCCATCCTTAAAATGTTAAAACAAAAACAAATATCAACAAGAACACTTTGTAAAGCAAGTTATAGGTTTCTGGCTACAGAATAAAGATCTGGGTAAATGTGTAATTTAAATTTTAAAACACGTGACAACCAGCCAGGCGCGGTGGCTCACGCCTGTAAATCCCAGCACTTTGGGAGGCCGAGGCGGGCAGATCATGAGGTCAGGAGATGGAGACCATCCTGGCTAACACGGTGAAACCCCCGTCTCTACTAAAAATACAAAAAAAAAAAAAAAAAAAAAAAAAAAATGAGGCGGGCGAGGTGGCGGGTGCCTGTAGTCCCAGCTACTCAGGAGGCTGAGGCAGGAGAATGGCATGAACCAGGAAGGTGGAGTTTGCAATGAGCTGAGATCGCGCCACTGCACTCCAGCCTGGGCGACAGAGCAAGAATCTGTCTCAAAAAAAAAAAAAAAAAAACAACAACAACATGTGACAAGCAATCAGATGCTATCAAGATGTGTTTGGATAGAACAGAAAGAAACAGGGAGCAGAGGTGCAATCACTATGGGTCCTTGTGTCAGTCTCTGTTCTAAAACCAAGACTTAGAGGATTGTGGCAAAGTCTCTGGGGAAGGCTGTGAATAAGAACTTTCATCTACTCATTTTTTTTTTTTTTTTTTTTTTTTTTTTTGAGACGGGGTATCGCTCTGTCGCCCAGGCTAGAGTGTAGTGGCGCGATCTCCGCGCACTGCAAGCTCCGCCTCTCGGGTTCACGCCATTCTCCTGCCTCGGCATCCCGAGTAGCTGGGACTACAGACGCCCGCCACCACGCCCAGCTAGTTTTTTTGTATTTTTAGTAGAGACGGGGTTTCACCATATTAGCCAGGATGGTCTCAATCCTCCGACCTCCGTGATCCGCCCGGCTTCGGCCTTCCAAAGTGCTGGGATTACAGGCATGAGCCACCGCGCCCGGCCCATTTACTCATTTTTTAATGAACTTTTAAAAAAATTGGGCTGGGCGAGTGGCTCACGCCTGTAATCCCAGCACTTTGGGAGGCTGAGGTGGGCAGATCACCGGAGGTAAAGTTCAAGACCAGTCTGGCCAACATGGTGAAACCCCGTCTCTACTAAAAATACGAAAGTTAGCCAGGCATGGTGGCGCTTACCTGTAATCCCAGCTACTCGGGAAGGTGAGGCAGGAGAATCATTTAAACCCCAGCTATTCGGGAGGCGGAGATTGCTGTGAGCCGAGATTATGCCACCACACTCCAGCCTGGGTGACAGAGTGAGACTCCGTCTCAAAAATAAAAATAAAAGTAGAAATACTTATGAAGCAATAAGGGAAATTTGAAAACTGATTGAATATTTGGTAGTAAGGAATTATTGTTCATTATTTTAGGTATAATAAATATTATAATGGTAAAAAGTACATAGAAGGGTGGTATCTCAAAGTATCAAAGCAATTAAGGTGTTTTTTTTGGAAATGGCATCTTTTTTTTTTTTTCTTTTGAGACGGAGTCTCACTCTGTTGCCCAGGCTGGAGTGCAATGGCGTGATCTTGGCTCACTGCAACCTCTGCCTCCCGGGTTCAAGCGATTCTCCTGCCTCAGCCTCCCAAGTAGCTGGGATTACAGGCATCCGCCATCATGCCTGGCTAATTTTTGTATTTTTGTAGAGACAGGGTTTCACCTTGTTGGCTAAGCTAGTCTCAAACTCCTGACCTTAAGTGACCCACCTGCCTTGGCCTCCCAAAGTGCTGGGATTACAGGCATGAGCCTCCATGCCTGGCAGAGACAAAGTCATGCTCTGTCGCCCAGGCTGTAGTGCAATGATGAAATCTTGGCTCACTGCAACCTCTGCCTCCCGAGTACTGGTGTTCAAGCAAGTCTCCTGCCTCAGCCTCCTGAGTAGCTGGGATTATAGGTGCCTGCCACCACGCTGGACTAATTTTTGTATTTTTAATAGAGATGGGGTTTCACCATGTTGGCCAGGCTGGTCTCGAACTCCTGACCGCAGGTGATCTGCCTGCCTCTGCCTCCCCTAAGTGCTGAGATTACAGGCATGAGCCACCGTGCCCGGCCACCAAAGCAATTAAGTTTTAAAAAGCTTAAAACTATGTAATTTGTAAAAACACTCTTTTCACATAGTTGTCCAGGATACAGAACTAAAATGACCTTTTAAATGACTATCTATTGTAATTGTGTGTGCTTATTTTCTATTTGTCCCTGTAGATCAACACAGTCCAGTAGACATAGAATGAGAGCTACATATGTAATTTTTTTAGAGGTGGGGTCTTGCTGTGCTGTCCAGGCTGGAGTGCAGTAGCTACTGGTAGTGCCATGATAGCGCATTACTCTTGCCTCAGCCTCCAGAGTAGTTGGGACTATGGGCCCATGCCACCTTGACTGGCTAATTTGAAATGTTCTGGCAGCCACAGTTAAAAAGTATAAAGAAACAGATAAAATTAATTTTTTTTTTGGTTTCAGACAGAGTCTTGCTCTATTGCCCAGGTTGGAGTGCAGTGGTGGGATCTTGGCTCACTGCAACCCCCACTACCTCTGTTCAAGCCATTCTCCTGCCTCAGCCTCCCGAGTGCTTGGGACTACAGGCACCCACCACCATGCCTGGCTGATTTTTGTGTTTTTAGAGAGACGAGATTTCACCATGTTGGCCACAAACTCCTGACCTCAAGTGATTCACCCGCCTTGGCCTCCTACATTGCTGGAATTACAGGCATGAGCCACTGCGCCTGGCCAAAATTTATTTATTTATTTAGAGACAGAGTCTTGCTCTGTCGCTTAGGCTGGAGCAACCTCTGCCTCCCGGGTTCAAGCGATTCTCCTGCCTCAGCCTCCCGAGTAGCTGGGATTACAGGTACCCGCCACCATGCCCAGCTAATTTCTGTATTTATAGTAGAGTCAGGGTTTCACCGTGTTGGTCAGGTTGGTCTCGAACTCCTGACCTCAGGTGATCTGCCCTCCTCAGCCTCCCAAAGTGTTGGGATTACAGGTGTGAGCCACTGTGCCTGACTGAAATTAATTTTAATATAGTTTATTTTATTTATTTATTTATTTATTTATTTTTTTGAGACAGGGTATCGCTCTGTTGTCAAGGCTGGAGTGCAGTGACATGATCTCAGCTCACCGCAATCTCTGCCTCCCGAGTTAAAGTGATCCTCTCACCTCAACCTCCCTGGTAGCTGGGACTACAAGCGTTTGCCACCATGCCTAGCTAATTTTTGTATTTTTGATAGAGATGGGGTTTCACCATGTTGCCCAGGCTGGTCTCAAACTCCTGAGCTCAAGCGATCTGCCTGCCTCGGTCTCCCAAAGTGCTGGGATTACAGGTGTGAGCCACTGTACTCAGCCCTTAATCTAGTTTTTTAACTCAGTACATCAAAACTATTTGAACTTGAAATCAAATGAAATAATGTATTATTTTTTCATACAAAGTCTTTAAAATCCAGCATGTATTTTTCATTTACAGCACATCTCAATTAGGACTAAACTTGCCACAGGTACCTGTGGCTACCATATTGGACAGCACAACCCTAGATCAGTTCTCTAGCCTTCTCAGCCCTGCTCTGTGCCCTGGCCAACCAACCTCTAGACTTGTATCACCCAGCTCTCTTGCCCTCAGGCTTCCAGTTGGTTTTGAGCAAAAGATGTCACCATTAAAAGATGGGACAATGGAGAGAGTGGTTCTAGCCCCACACCCCCAAAACTGGGCTGCCACAGTTCCTCTATCTAAAGCTATAATAGCTCATCTCCCACAGCAACAGCAGCTGGCTGTTTTTGGTAACCCTGCTCCCTTCCTTGCCCCATTGGGCCTACGAGCTGCCTTTGGGATTGCCCTTACCCACTATGGGTTTCCTTAACTCTGCCCACACCCCTGTACATAATTCCCTATGTGGTTAACTCTTTAAGTGTGCCATCTGGTTTCTGCCAGGATCTTGACTGAACCATGTAGTTAATGAACTATTGTGATGGTTCATGCTCTTTTTTAAAAAATTTTTACTTTTTTTTTGAGACGGAGTCTCACTCTGTGGCCCAGGCTGGAGTGCAGTGGCACAACCTTGGCTCACTGCAACCTCTGCCTCCCGGGTTCAAGAGATTCTCCTGCCTCAGCCTCCAGAGTAGCTGTGATTACAGGTGTGAGCCACCATGCCTGGCTAATTTTTGGGTTTTTCTTTTTTGAGACGGAGTCTCGTTCTGTTGCCCAGGCTGGAGTGCAGTGGTGTGATCTCGGCTGACTGAACCTCTGCCTCCTGGGTTCAACCGATTCTCCTGCCTCAGCCTCCCTAGTAGCCGAGACTACAGGTGAGTGCCACCATGCCCAGCTAATTTTTTGTATTTTGAGTAGAGACGGGGTTTCACTGTGTTAGCCAGGATGGTCTCGATCTTCTGACCTTGTGATCCTCCCACCTCGGCCTCCCAAAGTACTGGGATTACAGGCGTGAGCCATCGCGCCCAGCCAATTTTTGTATTTTTTAGTGGAGATGGAGTTTCACCATGTTGGCCAGGCTGGTCTCAAACTCCTGACCTCAGGTGATCCACCTGCCTCGGCCTCCCAAAGTGCTGGGATTACAGGCATGAGCCACCACGCCCAGCCTGTGAAGGTTCATACTGTTTAAGATTTTCCTTCACGGATACTTGAAGTCAATCACAATATTTAAAACATTAAATATTTTATTATTTATTTATTTATCTATTTGTTTTGAAACGGAGTCTCACTCTGTTGCCCAGACTGGAGTGCAGTGGTATCTTGGCTCACTGCAACCTCTGCCTCCTGGGTTCAAGGGATTCTGCTGCCTCAGCCTCCCAAGTAGCTGGAATTACAGGCGCGCACCATTATGCCTGGCTAATTTTGGTATTTTTAGTAGAGACAGGGTTTCGTCATGTTGGCCAGGCTGGTCTCAAACTCCTGACCTCAGATGATCTGCCTGCCTCAGCCTCCCACAGTGCTTGGATTATAGCCAAAAAAAATTTTTTTTTCTTCTTAGAGACAAGGTCTTGCTATGTTGCCCAAGTTGGAGTGCAGTGAAATAATCATAGCCCACTGCAGCCTCGAACTCCTGTACTCAAGAGATCCTTGCCGTCTCAGCCTCCTGAGTAGCTAGAACTACAGGCATGCAGCACCACTTTGCTAATTTGTTTTTTTAAATTTTTGTAGAGACAATAGTAAAACTGCTGGTTTCAGAACACCTGGCCTTAAGCGATTCTCCCATCTTGGCCCCCCAAAACATAAAACATTAAACCAGGCTGGGTGCAGTGGCTCACGCCTGTAATCGCAGCACTTTGGGAGGCTGAGGCGGGTAGATCACGAGATCAAGAGATTGAGACTATCCTAGCCAACATGGTGAAACCCTGTCTCTACTAAAAATACAAAAATTAGCTGGGCTTGGTGGCGCATGCCTGTCGTCCCAGTTACTCAGGAGGCTGAGGCAGGAGAATCACTTGAAACTGGGAGGTGGAGGTTGGAATGAGCCAAGATCATGCCACTGAACTCCAGCCTGGTGACACAGCAAGAATCTGTCTCAAACAAACAAACAAAACAACAACAACAAAAACATTAAACCTTATACAAAACTCTTAGCACCTGGCCATCAGTAATTTCTTTCTTTTTTGAAAATTTTTTTTTTCTGAGCAGAGTCTCACTATGTGCCCCAGGCTGGAGTGAAGTGGTGCAATCTCAGCTCACTGCAACCTCTGCCTCACAGGCTCAAGTGATCCTCCCAACTCAGCCCCCTAAGTAGCTGGGACTATAGGCGCACAACACCATGCCCAGCTAATTTTTGTATTTTTTTGTACGGGGCGGGGGGGTCTTGCTATGTTGTCCAGGCCAGTCTCAAACTCCTGGCCTGAAGTGGTCCTCTCGCCTCAGCCTTTCAAAGTGCTGGGATTACAGGCATGAACCATTGTGCCCAGCATTTTTTGTTTTTAATTTTAAATTAAACATTTTTTAAATTTTAAGTTAAAAAATATATATACGTGGCCAGGTGCAGTGGGTCACACCTGTAATCCCAGTACTTTGGGAGTCCGAGGCGGGCGGATCACTTGAGGTCAGGAATTCCAGACCAGCCTGGCCATCATGGCGAAACCCTGTCTCTACTAAAAATAAAAAAATTTGTTGGGCGTTGTGGCAAACGCCTGTAATCCCAGCTACTTGGGTGGCTGAGGCAGAAGAATTGCTTGAACCCAGGAGCCAGAGGTTGCAGTGAGCCAAGATCACACACTGAACTCCCAGCCGGGGCGACAGAGTGAGACTCCATCTCAAAAACAAACAAACAAACAAACAAAAATAGTGAATTGGTAACAGGTGAATTTTAGAATTGAAAGGTAACTTAGTACCATGCTCTCAACTTGAGATAGTGAGAAGTCTGTGTCAGAATAATTTTTGTACTTGGAATCTTGGCCTGGTGTGGTGGCCACTTTGGGAGGCAGAGGCAGGAGGATCACTTGAGCCCAGGAGCTCGAGACCAGCCTGGCCAACATAGCAGGACCCCCACCTCTGTAAAATAAAATAAAAAAGAATATTTGTATTTAGAATCTTTCTGATGTCTAATGACAGGAAAAAATCTAACTCAAAGTGGCTTAAGCCACTTTGAGGAAAGTGTAGGAACTTGTATGGTGATCTCTTTGTGGTGGGTGTTCTGGTTCCAGGACCCCTGAGGATACCAAAATCCAAGGATGCTCAAGTCCCTTATATAAAATGTAGTATTTGCATATAATCTATGCACATCCTCCCCTATAATTTAAATCAACTCTACATTAATTATACCTAACACAATATAAGTAAATGGTTGTTATGCTGTATTATGTTTTATTCTTTTAAAAAATATTTTTGATCTGCAGTTGGTTGCAGGAACCTGAAGATACAGAGGGCTGACTGTATGTTCAAGTAACTGGGAATTCAGGCTGGGCTTTGTGGCTCCCACCTGTAATCCCAGCACTTTGCGAGGCTGAGGCGGGCGGATCACCTGAAGTCAGGAGTTCAAGACCAGCCTGGCCAACATGGTGAAACCCCGTCTCTACTAAAAATACAAACATTAGCCGGGTGTGGTGGTGCACACCTGTAATCCCAGCTACTTGGGAGGCTGAGGCACAAGAATTGCTTGAACCTGGGAGGTGGAGGTTGCAGTGAGCCGAGACCTCGCCGATGCACTCCAGCCTGTGCAACAGAGCAAGACTCCATCTCAAAAAAAAGAAAAAAAAAAAAGCCTTCTTAAGCAAGACTCTCCATGGCTCCTTATTTCCCACCTTGCAGTTCTCCTTCCCACTGTGTTGGGTCTACCTCAGGCTGCTTCTTCCCTCCTGGAAACAGGCTGGCTGCCCCGGCTCAGGACTGTGCTAATCAGGGGAAATAGCACACCTCTCTCTGGTTGGCCTATGAACAGTGCTGGATCAGCAGCTGACTGGTCTGACTGGATTACTCATCCTCATTCCTAATGGTGGGGGAGGCACAAGGGAAGGACTAAGAACTTGGATGATTTAATTAATCCAGAATGGTTACCTCCCTACCCCTGAAAAAGAGGGGTGTAGGACCCAACCACATTCAAATCAATAATATGTACTACTGTGAGAAAGGTGGTTTCCCAAAGAAAATCAAGAGATATTCCTACAACATATGATTCCCATTCTGTGTCTGTACCAAAAACCCTGATATGTCTCCTTGAAGCTTCAGGTAGTCGAGGGTCCAGACAAGAGTAGTGGTCGTATAAGTTTAAAGGAATATTAAAATACTCCACAGGACTAGGTGTGGTGGCTCCCATCTGTAATCCCAGTACTTTGGGAGGCCAAGGTGGGCAGATCACTTGAAGCCAGGAGTTCGAGACCAGCCTGGCCAACGTGATGAAACCCCATCTCTACTAAAAATACAAATATCAGCCTGGCGTGGTGGCGCATGCCTGTAGTCCCAGCTACTCGGGAGGTTGAGGTAGGAGAATCGCTTGAACCTGGGAGGTGGAGGCTGCAGTGAGCCGAGATGGAGACTGTGCCACTGCACTCCAGCCTGGGTGACAGAGTGAGACAACAACAACAACAACAACAACAAAAAACACCTCTAAAGCAAGTGGATAATTCATTTGTCTGAAGTCGCTAGAAGATGAAAAGTTGTGGATGGCCAGGGGAGGTTCAGAATGTTTTTGTTACTAGAGGTAGAGGGATTAAGAGAGTTCCACTGAAAGACAACACACTTGACTAGACTTGACTAGCACCACACACAAAAACAAACAAACACACAAACAAAAAACAGGAAAAGTGGTGGGAAAGAATGGGAAAATGAGATGGGAAAAGAAAAATTTTAAAAGGCCAGCATTTATTTATTTATTTATTTATAAGACACGGTCTCATTCGATTACACTGGAATGCACTGGAGTGCAGTGGCACGATCTTGGCTCATTGCAGCCTCAACTTCTCAGGTTCAGGCGATTCTCCCACCTCAGCTTTCTGAGTAGCTGGACTACAGGTTCCCATCACCACGACTAACTTTTTGTATTCTTAGTAGAGACAGGTTCTCCCCATGTTGCCTAGGCTGGTCTCAAACTCTTGGTCTAAAGTGGTCCACCAGCCTAGGCCTCCCAAAATGCTGCGATTACAGGCGTGAGCCACTGCACCCAGCCGGCCAGCATTTTTAAAAGCAGTGATTGTGCCAGATGATTTACATACATCATTTCTCTTAATTAAATAATTTAACAGCCCAGCACAGTGGTTCACGCCTGTAATCCCAGCACTTTGAGAGACTTGTTTGAGGCCAGGAGTTTAAGACCAATCTCAGGAGTTGGATTGGTCTCGAACAACTCAAACAACTCTCCCAAGGTGGTAGAATCGTTTGAGGCCAGGAGTTCAAGACCAATCTGGGCAGCAAAGTGAGACTCCTCTACAAAAAAATCAAAAAATTAGCCAGGCATGGTGGCTAATTTTAACCCATGAGGTCCAGCCCACGAGGTCCAGGTTGTGGTGAGCGAAGTTTGCTCC
Source organism: Homo sapiens (assembly GCF_000001405.40). NCBI lineage: Eukaryota > Metazoa > Chordata > Mammalia > Primates > Hominidae > Homo > Homo sapiens. The sequence continues at coordinate 36,592,018 of NC_000006.12, forward strand.
ACTGCCCTCCCGCCTGAGTAAGAGAGCAAGACCCTGTCTCAAAAAAAAAAAAAAAAAAAAAAGGCCAGGTGCCGTGACTCATGGCTGTAATCCCAGCACTTTGGGAGGCAGAGGAGGGTGGATGGCTTTGAGCTCAGGAGTTCTAGACCAGCCTGGGCAACATGGTGAAATCCTGTCTCTACAAAAAATACGAAAATTAGCTGGGCATCTGTGCTCGCGCCTGTGGTCCTAGTCGTTGGGGAGGCTGAGGTAGGAGAATTGCTCGAGCCCGGCAGGTGGACGTTGCCGTGAGGCGAGATCGAACCACTGTACTCCAGCCTGGGTGACAGAGCCAGACCCAGAGTCTCAAAAATAAATAACTAACTAAAAATAAACAAATATGTATTGCTTGACTGCTGTATCGTTTCCAAGCCCTGGGGATGCAGGTGTGACCACAATTGGCCAAAGTGACAAAACCTAACATCTGTAACGCTGCAAGCCTGGGGTTATTTTATACAGAGGAAATAGAGAGGTTAAACGTTCTTCTCAGGATGCTTCAGCCAGTAACTAGCAGTGGGGGCTGGGGCCAAATCCAGGACTGCCTGACTCCAGAGCCTTTGATTTGATAGAAGGAAAGAAAATGAAAAAGAGGAGAAAAGCTTACATAGAGGAGGGGAACAAATCAAGGCAAATATAAGTGAGCCAGAAAAAAAAATCTAGACGAGAGAGAAATAAGAAAAGGTTTGCTAGGATCCCCTTCTCCCCTTTTACAGGTGAGGAAACTAGGCTGAGATGTAATAAATCTGTATTTTTTTCCTCCACTACAGATAAACCTTTTAGAACCACAATAAGAGGTAAGGCTTCAAAAGAAAAATACCTGGGAAAGTTAAAACATATTAATTGGCTGGCCGGGTGCTGTGGCTCACGCCTGTAATACCAGCACTTTGGGAGGCCGAGGCGGGAGAATCGCCTGAGGTGGCGAGTTCGAGACCAGCCTGACCAGCATGGTGAAACCCCGTCTCTATTAAAAATACAAAAATTAGCCGGGTGTGGTGGCAGGTGCCTGTAATCCCAGCTACTCGGGAAGCTGAGGTAGGCGAATCGCTTGAACCCGGGAGGCGGAGTTTGCAGTGAGCCGAGGTCGCGCCATTGCACTCCAGCCTGGGCAACAGAACGAGACTCCATCTCAAGAAAAAAAAAAAAAGAAAAAAGAAAAAAAAAAACATAATAATTGGCATATCTTTCAGCTAAGAGGGAATAAATAAAAAGACAGGTTCTTTTTCTCTCTTTTTTTTTTTGTGCAGTGGTAGGATCTCAGCTCACGGCAACCTCCGCCTCCTGGGTTCAAGCGATTCTCCTGCTCTCAGCCTCCCAAGTAGCTGGGATTACAGGCGCCTGCCACCATGCCCGGCCATTTGTATTTTTAATAGAGACGGGATTTCACCATGTTGGCCAGGCTGGTCTTGAACTCCTGACCTCAAGTGATCCGCCTGCCTCGGCCTCCCAAAGTGCTGGGATTACAGGCATGAGCCACCGCGCCCGGCCCTTGGTGATTTTTCTAACCCAATCACAGTCTCTCTCCCCTTAATTACTCTTGCGGCTCTGTCTTCGTAAGGGAAGTGGCCCGGACAAAATACATGCCAGGCAGTGCAACGGCTGCTAGGAGAAAGGCTCGAGATACCCCTCCTGGCATTTGCTTGGGGGCCAGAATTTACATTCAATCTTCTTCAGAAACTTCCCTTTCCGGGTGTTTGCTAAAGGTGATAGTTTCCAGGTCACCTGACCGGTCTCCTTTGCTGTCGGCGCCAAGTCCTGCAAGTTTGCTTGAGAGACGAGAAACCAGCAAGAGTTGGGCAAACTTTCCAAACCAGGCTTTTCCTTCAGTGTGGAATCTAGGCGGCCACAGTCTGGTGCCAGCTGGGTCACAAACAGCTCCGTGACCTGTTTGTAAACGCGATGCTCTTAGTTCCAGACTAACCGCTCACAAGGGTGAAGCACTTAATTAATTCATCTCTTAATCTTGTTAGGGGCCAACGGCTCCTATTAGTGTTTGAGCGTGACGGCGACGGTGCTGTTTATGAAGCCCTAGCCTATTTGGAGGTGAGGAAGAGGAGTCTGTGGGTAACCTGGAGGTCGACAGACCGGGAGGAACGCTCGAGGGAGCACCAGGCCTGTTACAACGAGCGCGCGCCGACGCACGTCTCCACCCACCCGGCGCAACCGCCAGAGCGCGCTCCCAGCAACCGCGGCTCTCGCTGCGTTTGTAGCCATACGTCACGGCCTCTTCTGCTTCTCATTGGGGGAGCCCGTCCAATCATGTGATTCCAGTATGGCGTATAAATAAAGGCGAGGAGAAGGCGGTGGTCCGCCATTTCGTGGACGCCGGGTGAGTGAGAGAGTTGGTTGGTGTTGGGCCGGAGGAAAGCGGGAAGACTCATCGGAGCGTGTGGATTTGAGCCGCCGCATTTTTTAACCCTAGATCTCGGTAAGAGACCAGCGAAAGAGGGAATGAGGTGGAAATGGAATTTAACAGTACCAAGGAGCCAGGCCCAATGGCGGCGCCAGATTGAGACAAAGAGGCGCCGCCGCCATTTTGTGACGTTCAGCACGGGGCGGTGGCGGGGGCTCCCGGCCCATCGGAGGGTTTCCTAGTCTTGGAGTGGAAGTCTTTATATTCCTCATTGGGGCATGAGCCAGGATGGGGGTTACCTGGGAGTTGGGAACCACAAAGGGGAGCCGATAGCCGAGTTGTATTCCAGGTCACGGCCTTTTTATTTTTATGGCGCCTTTTTTTTTTTTGGCCCCTCATTTAATTGGGAAGCTTCTCAGAATGTTTTTGTAAAGTCACTAACCAAGACCGGACCTTTCAGTTCATATTAAATGGCCCCCGTAGTCACCTTACTTTCATGTAGTTTCAGATTTTGCAGCCTGAATCTAATCACCTTTTTCTAAGACCGAAAGATCTTCCTTGAACTTAAGATTCGTTCTTTCATCGCTTCCCATTAAAATGGAGGCTTAAGACAGGTGCCAGCAGTGTTTTTAAAAATTTTCACCAGTGGTTTGGTCTTAGAACTTACTCCTGGGCACAGGGTGTGGTCACGGCAAATAGGATGTGTCTGGACTGGATATTTTAATTAGACAAGCCCAGAGTAAGAAGAACGTGGTGTTTATGGAAAGCACTTCAGCTGAATTATTGAGTAGATGGTTTTTATGTAATTGAAACTGGTCTACAAGTTTATCAGATTCATCGTCGAAGTGACTCAGTAATAAAGCTTTATCAAATACAAGTCCGCCAAGGAAGAACAAAAAAATAAGTCCCCAAAGTGCAGTAAATTTTTTAGTAGCAAATATCTCTTTGTAATTTTTTATTAAAGTGAAATTATCTTTAAGTGGTATTTAGTATATTCAGTGTTGTGTAATCATCACTTACACGTAGTTCCAAAACATTTCCGTCACCTCCCCCCGCAGGAGACTACTACCCATTGAGCACTTACTCCCAGATTCCCTGTCCCCCTTCCTCTAGTCCCTAGCAACCACTAATCTTCCTGTCTCTCTGAACTTAGCTATTTTAGATATTTAGTATTTATGGAATCGTGTACTTTTATGTCTGGCTTCTTTAACTTAGCGTAATGTTTTCAAGATTTTCCAACGTTGGAGGATTTGTCAGTACATCATTCTGAATAATACTCATTTTATGTCTATACCACATTTTGCTTATCCGTTTCTGTTGATGGACATTTGGGTTAACATCTTTGGGCTACTGTGAATAAGTGCTACTATGAGTTTACATTTTTTAAAAAACTGTAAAGTTGGTCTCGTTGCTTGATAAATTTTTACCGCGTAAGACTCTGGTCTATCTAATGACATTTGATACTAGCCTTGTTCCTATAGTTCCAAATGACCAAAATAGGCATTTATTTATTTATTTATTTGTGGTTTTTTTTTGGCGATGGAATCTCGCTCTGTCGCCGAGGCTGGAGTGCAGTGGCGCGATCTCGGCTCACTGCCACCTCCGCCTCGCGGGTTCAAGCGATTGTTCTGCCTCAGCCTCCCGAGTAGCTGGGACTACAGGTGTGCGCCACCATGCCCGGCTAATTTTTGTATTTTTAGTTGTGACGGGGTTTCACCATATTGGCCAGGCTGGGTCGAACTCCTGACCTCGTGATTCGCCCGCCTCGGCTTCCCAAAAGTTCTGGGATTGCAGGTGTGAGCCGCCGCGCCCGGTCCATGGGCATTTTTTTAAAAGTGAAAATCGTTGGCCTTATTTTTATTAAAGCTGGTAAGTTTTGGCTTATGTAGGTACTTTGAATCGCTTGCCTGGTAGTATAACCTTAAGGACTAGCTTTCTTCATCATTGTTTTATTTAGTTTTGAGTCCCCAACAGAATTCTCTTCTGTTTTTCTAGAAATGCTTTATTTTGGGGATTAAATGAAATAACAGGTTAAGTCTCTTAACTCACGGCCCAGATGGTGGTAAATGCTCCTCCAGTTGTTCTCAACGTTCCAAGGAAGCTGTTTTTTTCTTCACTAATTGCTGGCTTCCTGAGGGTTAGGAGTAAAGATAATGGGGCGGGGTGGCGGGGGGGGGGAAATGGGTGCTTAGCAGTAACATTTCTTGTTTGGTTTCTAGCATTTTTGTAATTTTTTTTTCTTTACGTGCTACCTTAAACTCTCTTGTCCTCTCTAATGGAGTTCTTTCTAAGGATCTGTGGTTTTAACTGTAGATGTTTAGATGAATGAATATTTTTGGTATTTTTCATTACAGAAATGCATCGTGATTCCTGTCCATTGGACTGTAAGGTTTATGTAGGCAATCTTGGAAACAATGGCAACAAGACGGAATTGGAACGGGCTTTTGGCTACTATGGACCACTCCGAAGTGTGTGGGTTGCTAGAAACCCACCCGGCTTTGCTTTTGTTGAATTTGAAGATCCCCGAGATGCAGCTGATGCAGTCCGAGAGCTAGATGGAAGGTGATTTAATGATTACGCTGATAAAAATGTGTTGCTTGTGTTTTTCATATTTAAAATCTACAGGATATGTGGCTCTTAGATGGCTTTCCCAATCACTGGCCAATTGTATCTTTAGATACAATTGGGATCTTTTTTTTTTTTTTTTTTTTTGGTGGGGAGACGAGTCTTGCACTGTCACTGGGCTGGAGTGCAGTGGTACAGTCTCCCGCTCCCCGCAACCTCGGCCTCCGGGGTTCAAGTGATTCTCCTGCCTCAGCCTTCTGAGTAACTGGGACTACAGGCGTGTGCCATCATGCGGGGCTGATTTTTGTATTTCTAGCAGAGATGGGGTTTCACCATGTTGGCCAGGCTGGTCTCGAACTCCTGACCCCAGGTGATCTGACCGCCTTGACCTCCCAAAGTGCTGGAATTACAGGTGGGAGCCACTGTGCCCAGCCAGGATCAAATATTTTTAAGAGTAGTTGTGAACTGATCCTTGTTTAAAAAATTGTTTACAAAATGGTTACATGGGTTGGTTGTACCTTTACTTTTATGTGTTTGAAATACTCCAGAAAGTGAATCACTTACTATTTCCCTTTGTGTTAATAGTGTCCTGTTAGCTGGCTGAGTAAGGCCTGAGTATTGACCTCCATGCCCCCACCCCCCTTTCCTCATATTTGGAAGTATAATGGGAAAAAGGAGCTGAGTGTTCACTGTAAAGCTGCATGAAAGGTTGGTCAATTCAAGCAGGTTGTAGTAAAGTTTTCCAGGGCCCACCTCTTCCCAGTCACTCTTCAAATATGATAGCTTATCTAAATTTAATGACTGGTTGTATTAAGGGTGAGGAATAATGGTCTTTTTTTTTTTTTTTTACTACTGTGAGCTATAATTTCTTTTTTTAAAAAAATGTATATTTATTATTTAAAAAATAATACAGACGACAGTCTGTGTTGCCCAGGCTGGCCTCAAGCTCCTGGGCTCAAGCCATCCTCCTGCCTCAGCCTCTCTGAGTGCTGGGATTACAGGCATGAGCCACCTCACCTGGCCACAGCTATAATTTCTTCTGTGCTGACTGTTGAGGGGAGAGGGTGCTGTAAAATGGCCAAAATGGTTCTGTCTTGTCTTGAACTGATTTTTTACTTGGAGTGGGGCAGGGGGAGACCAATAAATACAGCCTGGTAAATAACTGAAATAAGTGCAGGGACTTCAAGGGAAGAAATCATAATGAAGATACAGGAGAACTTGTTTTTCAAGGATAAATGGATCTTCACACTTAAATTGCAACTGTTAACAAATTAACATTGAGCTCAGTAATCAGACTGGCTCTAACAATTAGGTGATAAAATAGAATTTGACTTCCTTGTGAATTGGTACTTTAGAAAATCCTATTTGTTTAATTTGAAATTAATTGAAATTTTAATTTGAAACTGGGAAACAAGCTTATTTTATTTTTCAAGACAGAGTCTTGCTCTGTCCCCCAGGCTGGAGTGCAATGGTGTGATCTTGGCTCGTTGTAACCTCTGCCTACTGGGTTCAAGTGATTCTCCTGCCTCAGCCGCCTGAGTAGCTGGGATTACAGGCATGTACCACCACACCTGGCTATTTTTTGTATTTTTAGTAGAGCGAGGGTTTCACCACGTTGGCCAAGATAGTGTCGAACTCTTGACCTTGTGATCCGCCTGCCTCGGCCTCATAAAGTGTTGGGATTACAGGCGTGTACCACCGTGCCTGGCCAAAGCTCATTTTATATTAGTAAAAATAAGGGAGCTAGAAATTTGATGTTAAATTGCACAGACACTTAGGTGTGTTCTTTGCAGAATAGCCAACTGAGAGTACTTTTGGCTTTAATACGCATGTCAGAAAGTCAGGCTGTTTTAAGTTTAATATCTTTGCCCCCTCAGAACACTATGTGGCTGCCGTGTAAGAGTGGAACTGTCGAATGGTGAAAAAAGAAGTAGAAATCGTGGCCCACCTCCCTCTTGGGGTCGTCGCCCTCGAGATGATTATCGTAGGAGGAGTCCTCCACCTCGTCGCAGGTACTTGAGAGAAAGCTTGTTAAGAGGTATTGGTGTAATGGAGTAGCTAGTAGGAGCAGGTATTTCTCTTAAGTTTGTTGGTGGGTTTTAAACTTTGGAAGAATCGGAGGTTTCTGTGAAACATTTGTTGGGTGTAATTTGGGGTATGTGAGTTGTGCTGAGTGTTGGCTTTTGTCTTTAGGTCACTGTTCATGTTGGTAGTCAGTAACTTCTATCTTGGATCTGTCTTCTAGTTCATCTTTCTAGTTGCATCTTTCCAAATCTTCCCTTATACTTCAGTTTAGGCCTTTTTCCATTTCTTGGCTCCATAATGACAAACATTACATTCAACTCTAGCTCTTCACAAATTTGTGTTTTCTACTATTAGCACAATTGTAATATTTATCAAACAGGCAGCTGTTTTAATGTTACAACTGGTAAAGTAGAAATCATTCTGAGACTAACTTAAGTCACTGACCAATAAAGGGGGCTAAAAAAGAAGTAATCCCAGTCATCTGTTCTTCAATCCCAAATAGGAGAAAATTCAGTTTTTTTATAATTGAAAATGGCATCATTCTTGGACCAGGCAGTATTGTCTGGGTGCTAACTCCACATCTCCTCAGACCTCCAAAATAGTTTCTATAGGACTAAATTTACCTCTTACAGGTGAGTGGAGTCCTTCTAGGAGACAGGAGTTCAAAATCTTGCCCCTTTTGCTATTTTGAAAAACAACAGCACACTGTTGCCCATCATAATAAAGAGTATTTGTTAGCTAATAGATGGTTGTACTGATGGCTTGTTTTTCATTTTTTTTGTGCTTTTTGGTCCATCTATTAATAAAAATGAACCCCGTTACAGAGTCACCATCATGTCTCTTCTCACCACCCTCTGAATCTGCATTAGCCAGTCAACTAGCCCTTTCAGCGTCATGTGACCAGCGCGCCCCATTCAGCTTGGCTGGTGTCGTTTCACATGACCCAGGCTGGCCAGTCGTCAGGTTGCACCGCCCTTTGGTTCCCGAGCATGCTGTTTTCTCTCAGCCTTCTCTCCAACCTTAACCAAATCGGCAGCAGCCACCTCGACCGCCCACACATTCCTGGCCAATCAGCTCAGCTGTTTATTTACCAAATGTCTTCACAACAACTACAGCAGCAGCCTTCGGCTAACAAAAAAGCAGGAAAAATCCACAACACCCCCTTCGCCAACCAACTAAATCCAACGCAACATCTGGCAAAACCTTTTCAGCAAATTCTTCCTGGCCGTCAGTCCGGCAGCCTCACCTCACCATTTCTAGCTTGTTGAAACCCAAAACTAGTAAGTTTTTCCTGCTTATACAGTTTACTGCTGGTTAAAATAAGGAGTAAGCGGCTTAAAGTAATTCTTTTTTCTGGATCAAAGGCTGGCTGTGCATAATTGAATGGTAACGTACATATATATTGCTTGAAAAACTTTTAAGGGTGATAGGGAACTCGTAATGTAACTAGGCCTTCAAGTGAAACTTATTTGCATGTGCAAGATGCCAAACTAAAAATTTTAATATCTCTAACAGATTAGCTTTTCTGGCAAAAATTTGTTGAATCCTATCACCTTTAAATGGTTTTACTAACAGTTTCAAAATTTAAAATTTTGGGGTTGAAGTGTGGGCCAAGCTAAGGTAATTTTGGTAAGCCTAAACACACTCTTAAATGTGACGATCACAAATGCAGTTCTAATGTAGCACTTAATGGCATCAATATTTACACCTACCGCGTTTTCACAAAATTACACTATCCACCTGGTACCTAAGTCTTGTCATGGACTTACAGGTTTGCATGGGTTCCAAATACTGGTTTATGGTACTGTTTTTGGAACTACTTGTGGGACTATATTTTGGTGTGGTGTTTGGGTAGTGAAGTTAGTTTGACATGAAGTTTTGCATTGGACAGATCTGCTGTGAAGCATTCTTTGTTAAAGTGAATCCATGGTTGGAATACCTGCTTTTCACTTGAGCTTTTTGTTTCTTAATCCTTCTGTGCCTTTTTTTTCTTTTCTTTTTTTTCTTTTTTTTTTTTTTTTTTTTTTTTTGGACGATGGGTGCCAGTTCTTCGGCACATTCACTGGGCCCAACAGTGAGATTGAAAAGTTGGGAAATGCCTCACGCCATAAATACTAATTGATGATGAGCCTAATTTTCCTGTTTCTGCTTTTAGATCTCCAAGAAGGAGAAGCTTCTCTCGCAGCCGGAGCAGGTAAATGACTACCTTTTTTGGCTACGTTCTTAGAAATGGCAGTGTTTCTGCTATTCCTAAACTTTTCCAGGTGGCTTAGTTAATGGGAATAAACCTTGGCTTTAATAGTGAATCAAGTTGTAAGGATGAGTCAGCTTTCTTTGAGTTTTCAAAGGCTTTTTAGAAAGTATTTAATTTTTTAAAAAAGGATCTGTCACCCAGGCTGGAGTGCAGTGGTGTGATTATAGCTCACTGTAGCCTTTAACTCCTGGCCTTGGAGTGATCCTCCCTCTTCAGCCTCCTGAGTAGCTTGGACTACAGGCAAGTACTGCCATACCTGGCTAATTTATTTTTTGTGGAGATGGGATCTCACTTTGTTGTCCAATCTGTTCTCAAACTCTTGGCTTCAAGTGAGCCTCCTGCCTCTGCCTCCCAAAATATTGGAATTATTGGCATGAGTCACCATGCCAGATCAAGAAAATATTTATGTATAATTTTATCATACCTCATTGGTCCTAATGTTTTTTTGCTTGTTTAGGTCCCTTTCTAGAGATAGGAGAAGAGAGAGATCGCTGTCTCGGGAGAGAAATCACAAGCCGTCCCGATCCTTCTCTAGGTCTCGTAGGTAAGATCTTTGATAACTTGTATTTAAGACTTTGCATACATAGTATGCTAAGGCCTGTCTTCTAAGCCATAAATTTTTTACCTTAAAGTTCTATTTCGATATGTCACTAAAGTGTCACCAAGTTACAGATGTAATGTTTTGTTTTCTTTTTTTTTTTTTTTTTTTAGTCGATCTAGGTCAAATGAAAGGAAATAGAAGACAGTTTGCAAGAGAAGTGGTGTACAGGAAATTACTTCATTTGACAGGAGTATGTACAGAAAATTCAAGTTTTGTTTGAGACTTCATAAGCTTGGTGCATTTTTAAGATGTTTTAGCTGTTCAAATCTGTTTGTCTCTTGAAACAGTGACACAAAGGTGTAATTCTCTATGGTTTGAAATGGATCATACGAGGCATGTAATACCAAGAATTGTTACTTTACAATGTTCCCTTAAGCAAAATTGAATTTGCTTTGAACTTTTAGTTATGCACAGACTGATAATAAACCTCTAAACCTGCCCAGCGGAAGTGTGTTTTTTTTTAAATTTAAATACAGAAACAACTGGCAAAAATTGAACTAAGATTTACTTTTTTTTCCATAGCTGGGATATAGGCTGCAGCTATAGTTGAACAAGCAGTCTTTAAAAACTGCTGTGAAACACAGGCCATCAGGGAAAACGAAATGCTGCACTATTAAATTAGAGGTTTTTGAAAAATCCAACTCTCATCCTGGGCAGAGGTTGCCTAGTTGGTATAGAATGTTAAGTTTCAAGAAAGTTTACCTTTGCTTTAGGTCATAAGTTCCTTATTTGATTGCTGTATATGGATACATGGCTGTTCGTGACATTCTTTATGTGCAAATTTGTGATTTCAAAAATGTCCTGCCAGTTTAAGGGTACATTGTAGAGCCGAACTTTGAGTTACTGTGCAAGATTTTTTTTTCATGCTGTCATTTGTAATATGTTTTGTGAGAATCCTTGGGATTAAAGTTTTGGTTACAAATTGTTCTTTAACTTGAAAGCCTGTTTTTCCTTGCAAACTCAAATCTGTGAGCTTGGTACCAAGTCCAGGTATAACATTCCTATTGGAAGCCATACTTATATTTTCTTGTAAAGTGCTTTTGAATTAATAAAATATTAGCATAATTGTGTATAGTCAGTTGAACCCACTGTTACCATTGTTCTTATCCCATGGGAAGCAGTTGGTTACACGATTCTTATTTTATAAGAAACAGCTGAGAGGCACTATGGATTAGTCTTCTGAAGTGAAGGAAATATAGATGTCACCTAAGTGATAGTTAACCCATTTTTTTTTTTTTTAGGCATAGAAGCCAGTTCAGGGTCCATAATATTTAGTGACCAACATTTTAAAGTATAGCAGCAACCTGGTTCTTAAACACAAAGTAAGTTGCCCATTAACAAATGGCTTTTATCTTTAGCATGAAAACTTTCCACAGGTCTAAAAATTGCTTCCATTTTATAATTTGAGGTGTTGCATGGGAATTCTAAGCTGATCCATCATGATGTAAAAGTTCACAATATGGTTCAAATGTAACAGTGCAGAATTGAATATGGAGGCATGCATAACCTTCCTCTTAGAAAATGGCAGGTGTTGTAATTTCAAATTTTTGTGCAATTAGATTAAATCATAATGCAACAGTCTTGTGGCTTAGTTTCCTTAAATATGCTCTTAAGATAGTTTTGGATTATGCGGTATTGACTGTCTTAAATATGAAAGATAAGTCATTGCATTAAGAGTTCAAGCTAAATGGATACATTAAGATACAGTTCCTAAACAAATTATTTATTTCCACCTTTTACACAAATCTTGGGAGAATTGGTGTCAGGAAGGTTCAGCCTTAAAGTTAAGCATGTTCAAGAAAGACACTTTTCAGACAGCCTGTTTATTTACTGAGAGCTCTGGCATTGGGCATTTTGTCTTTAGTATTCTCACATAGCCTACAACCTGTTCCTGTTAGGAACAAGCCAAGATAGCTAAGAAGTTACGGAAGCCATGCAATATGTCAATTACATTGCTTTTTATAAATGGACAACTTATGTGGGCATTTTTGGGCAGTATATGACTTCCTTGCAGGCTCTTAAGTTGGAAGGGTTTCTGTAAAAAGGACAGTTACGGGTATAATATGGCTAAGAGAAATAATACAGAACCTGAAATAAAAGTAACTTCACCAGGGAGTTATCCTGACTTAGGTGACATACAGTCCCAGTTGGCAGTTACTTTAACCAGGAGCCCTAGCATAACCTCAAGACTCTTAGAAACTTTAGAACATGGAAATTGTTAAAAGCTTTGAATTGCACATTTAGATTGTGGCTATTAGGAATTTTTAAAGTTGTAATTCCTAAAATAACAGGTCACACTAACCGGTCTTGTCCATATTCAGGGTTGAGTGTAAAAATGAAAGGAATCACAAAACTGAACTTAGACCTGTGGTTTAAGGATCAAGGTGTTCACTAGAAGTCACTGTTACTAATACTTGATGACAATGTAAAGAAACATTAAGGATTATATTTGATTGTTTTCAAAGACACTGGCTGGATGTGGTGGCTCACACTTGTAATTCCTAGCACTTTGGGAGGCTAGGGCGGGTGGGAGGATCTCTTGAAGCCAGGAGTTGGAGACCAGTCTGCCCAACATGGCAAGATTCACATTTCTATTAAAAGGAATATTTAGTTTGATCTCTGGTTCACAGTTCATTGTGGGTTGCTTCTGACCTCCATGTCTTAAGCAGAAAGTAGGGAAGTTGTAGTTTTACCAAGCACAGGTACCCTGTGTCTACCATTTGAGTATCTTAGAGATCCTTACAAACGTGATCCCGTCAGCGTCCATGACACTCCCACCCTGTTAGACTGCTGTCAGTGGCTTTCACACAAACCCATATGTGGATGGAAAATCCAGGTTATTACTACATTCATTTTAGTACAGTGCTGCCTAATTAGAAATTTTGTTGAAGAGGTATTTCAGAATAGATACAGCCAGACTCCAGGCTCATTGACTTAGTTTTTCAGGGTGACCTAACCCTGTGTAATTTTGAGGAGTTCTACATGATAAATACCCTTGGTGATGTGAGAACCACTAGTTTAGTATTTTGTCCAAGTATGCTTTTTTTCAGAGTTCTGAATGAGATTTAGTTGTCATACCTAGTTGGTGGTAATTTCTTAGTTGTATATTTTTGTACTACCAGATTGTTGCCTTCTGGTTTTCCATCTTTTCGAGAAAGATTTCTAGTTAAAGTTACTGAAGAAAAACTGGGTTGGAAGTACATTTTTCTCTAAATAATCCAGTAGTGTTGAATTTGATTTTATGTCCACTCTAATTTTTTTCATCCTGTTTTATTAGGGGGATTCATCGGGTACCTGAAGATAATTCAGCTGTAGACCCCTTAAGGTTCTGAGACAAGGTCATTGAAATTTGTTTTGGCTGGGTGTGATGGCTCATGCCTGTAATCCCGGTGCATTGGGAGGTTGAGGCAGGTGGATCACTTGTGGTCAGGAGTTGGAGACCAGCTTGGTCAACATGGTGAAACCCCGTCTCTACTAACAGTACAAAAATTAGCTGGGTGTGGTGGCAGGCGCCTATAATGCCAGCCACTTGGGAGGCTGAGGCAGGAGAAGTGCTTAAACCTGGTGGGTGGAGGTTGCCATGAGCCGAGATGTAGCCACTTCACTCCAGCCTGAGTGAAAGCAAAACTTCGTCTCCAAAAAAAAAAAAAAAGTTTGTTTTGGTAAGCCTAGTATAATTGATTAGTTTTGTCCATGCAACTTTCCCCTTGTTGGACTCTGTACTTAATAATACAGTATTTAGATTCTCATTTAGTATCCTGCTTTCTCTGTCGATTTGATGAAGGTACCCAAAATGATTCCTAAACTAACACATGAAATACGTGTGTAAAACATTGCTGTTTTAATCTTTAGTTTTCCTCATTTCTGATGTAAGGCATTGTATAGTTGTTCTACTATAAAAGATGTAGAATATGGCCATGTAGTGCCTCACTGTAAGTTAGTACATGTGTCTTGAGCAAGTGGAAATATCAAAACATTGATACTTTGCTTCTCCCTAATCATTTGGAATGTCCTGAGATGGATACTATTTCCAGGGCAAAATTAAACCTTCCAGAAAAGTAGTCTATAGGTTGAAGGAGTCCTCCTCTTTTGAAAGCCTTGTTCATTTGTGGTTGTGCACCTTTATTTCAGTATATACTTCATTCAGATTTCATCTGGGGCAAGTTAGCATTCCTGTTTTTGTTTTGTTTTTTGAGACCAGTGGTGACATAGCTTACTGCAGCCTTGGCTTCTTGGGCTCAAGCGTTCCTCCCACCTCAGTCTCCCAAGTAGCTAGGACTACAGTCACACACCACCATGCCCAGCTAATTAAAAACTTTTTTTAAGAGACGTGGTTATGTTTCTCAGGCTGGTCTGGAACTCCTCAAGCGATCCTTCTGCCTCAGCCTCCCAAAGCGCTGGGATTACAGGCCTGAGTCACCTTTCCCTGGCCAAGTTAGCGTTGTTCACTGTTTTTTTATTTGCTCACAAAGCCCCAAAATGTAGAGCTAAGGGGAATGTTGTTGAAGTTGTTGCCTAATGCTGCCTGGAGCTGGGCAGTGGCAATGGGGGGTCGGGGAGGGGGTGGGGTGGAGATGTGAAGTTTATATTGGTCATTTGGAGAAGGAAATATTTGAATATTTTAAAAAAATGTTATGTAAGTCTTGAGATACAGAAGTTTATTTTTTATTTAATGTTATTTATGTATTTTTTTTTTTTTTTGAGATGGAGTCTCTCTTTGTCACCCAGGCTGGAGTGCTGTGGCTCGATCTCGGCTCACTGCCACCTTCGCCTCCCGGGTTCAAGCAATTCTCCTGCCTCAGCCTCCCGAGTAGCTGGGACTACAGGCGCGTGTCACCACGCCCAGCTGCTTTTTGTATTTTTAGTAGAGCCAGGGTTTCACCATGTTAGCCAAGCTGATCTTGAACTCCTGACCTCAAGTGATCCGCCTGCCTCGGCCTCCCAGAGTGCTGGGATTACAGGCGTGAGCCACCGTGCCCGGCCTAGAAGTTTCATTTTTGAAAGAATAACTCCTTTGGGAAACAATTCTAAATCTTAAGCTCAGGCAGCTGGTAACTTTAAAAAACCTCATCCAGCTGGCTGGCTGCCACCAGAATCTCATAATGACATTTATTTTTAGTTTAGATAAAACTACCCATGTTTTCAATGAAAGTATTTTACAAATACAAATTGGAATGTTGATTTGTCATTTAATTGTTTCATAATTTTCCTACATGTCAAAAGTCCATGATACAAACACTGACTGGGATACAGTGATAAATCACAACACCAGCTCAATATCTAGAAAGAAAAATCTATATAATATTTGTGTTTGACTGGAGTGCAAGTTTAGGCTGTTGACCTTTAACAATTCATTTTCACCCCAGTTTTCTTTTTGGTTGGTTGGTTTTGAGACGGAGTCTCACTCTGTCACTCAGGCTGGAGTGCAGTGGTGTGATCTCAGCTCACTGCAATCTCTGCCTCCCAGGTTCAAGTGATTCTCCTGTCTCAGCCTCCTGAGCAGCTGGGACTACAGGTGCGCACCACCATGCCTGGCTAATTTTTTGGTATTTTTTAGTAGAGACGGGTTTCACCATATTGGCAAGGATGGTCTCGATGTCTTGACCTCATGATCCGCCCGCCTTGGCCTCTCAAAGTACTAGGATTACAGGCGTGAGCCACTGCGCCCCGCCCCAGGCTGTTTTTTATAAGATGGTATTTCACTGTTGCCCAGGCTGCACTCAAGGACCCCTCCAGCCTTGGCTGTAATCCCAAAGTGTTGGGATTATAGGCATGAGCCACTGCAACTGGCCATCCCAGTTCCAGAGCTCACATTCAAATGATAAGGAGAGACTAACCAATCTGAGGTGAAGAGGAAGAAATAAATGCCTTAATCATGAAATAGGGGTTTAGAGCCAGAAACAGTTGAGAATGTAAACTGCACTAGGATTTAGAGATAAAAGGGTTTATTTAAGTTTGAAGTGGGTCCAAATCTGATTGGTTTTTTTTTACTTTCCTTTAGCCATGTATTTGAACAAGCGTGTATAAGATAACTTGTCCAGCTTTAACACTGACAGGAAAGCCAAGAAGTTGGGAGTATTAGAGTGCATTGATGAATGGCTGGCTCGCTCATTCTAGCTGCTTGGAGTTTAATGAGGACAGGTTTACTGAGCTGGCAGTCTTGGTTAGATTTCAGTTGGCAATATATAGCAATCCATTTGACATGAAATTGGCCTCAAAGAGTGAGGTTGGAAGAAGTCACGTGCTTTGTAAGTTGGAGTATGAACACACTGACAAGGAGGGCTAAGAACTGAATCATTGAAAGTATCTGCCTTAGGCCAGGTGCTGTGGGTCACACCTGTAATCCGAGCACTTTGGGAGGCCAAGTTGGGTGGATCACGTGAGGTCGGGAGTTTGAGACCAGCCTGACCAACGTGGAGAAATCCTGTCTCTACTTAAAAAAGCCGGGCATGTTGGCACATGCCTGTAATCCCAGCAACTGGGGAGGCTGAGCCAGGAGAATCGCTTGAACCTGCGAGGCAGAGGTTGCAGTGAGCCGAGATCGTGCCATTGCACTCCAGCCTGGGCAACAAGAGTGAAACTGTCTCAAAAAAAAAAAACAAACCCAAAACATCAAACAGGGAGGACTTTTCAGTTTTACAGAGAAAAGTATACAAACCTTTTTTTTCTCTGTGTGTCTCTTTTTTTTTTCTTCCAGAGATTCATGAGCTCTTGTTTAAAAATGATAGCCCAAGTTAGGAGACTGTTGTGTCTTATTTCTGAGTTGCTGGTGAAAAAATAGTGGTCGAAGTTAAGTAGACAAATTTAAGTGATCACTTACTTGGTAATTAAAGCTCTTTTTCTTCCCAGCATTTTGGGAGCCCAAGGCAGGTGGATTGCCTGAGCTCAGGAGACCAGCCTGGGCAACATGGCAAAACCCCGTCTCTACAAAAAGTACAAAAATTAGCTGGGCATGGTGGTATGTGCTTGTAGTCCCAGCTACTGAGGAGGCTGAGGTGGGAGGATTGCTTTGAGCCCAGGAGGTAGAGGTTGCAGTGAGCTGAGATTGTGCCACTGCACTCCAGCCTGGGTGACAGAGTGAGGCCCTGTCTCAAAAACAACAACAAAAAACAAAAACAAGCTCTCTACAGCAGCTGGCAGTCTATTGACCTGGAAGAAAGCTCCATTCCTTTCCTCAAGTAATTTTGATTAATTCTCAACAGAAGTGGGTGGAAGGAAAGGTTTTTACTTACTCTGTCATCCAAGACTGGTACCTGAGCCACTGCCAGCTCTTGGGTATGACAGCAGTTGACAGGAATAAAATGATTCAAAAGGGTGTTAGTAGTAAGGTTAATGTGATCATCTCCATTTATTGAGGAAGAGATTTAAGTTCGGAGGGGCTTGGCAAGTTGTCTAACTTCGCAGCCCAGTGGTAATGGAGCTGAAACTATAAACTTGGTTACAGGACCAGGTGTAGATAAACTGGAAAGGGCTTCAGAGTCGATAGTCCAAATTCTTATTAGTTTAGAGATAAGAAAGTGGATTTGTTCAAGGTCACACAGGGACACAGTGGCAGAGCAGGGCTCTGGTGCCTCAACAGCAAATCCAGGGCTTGTTATAGGGAGCAGTGTAACGTTAAGGCCGTCAGGCTTGGAAATAGCAGCCCAGATTTGAATCCTTGCTTCCTTACAGCTCTGTGGCTTTGGGCCAATTGTGTAATGTCTGGGATTTCATTTTTTTCATCTTTAAAATGGTGATAATAGGAAGCACCTATCCCCTATTGTTAATATCAAGAATATAGTGTAATGCAAGTAAAGCACTCAGCACAGAGCATAGCACACTGCTCAGTAAATAATAGGTGTTCTGTGCAGGCTTGTGTTGGCATGCAGTAAGCACTCAGGTAATGGCTTAAGAAAGGCTCCTTTGGGTGCTGGGCAGGCAGAAATTACCCTAATTTGCCTGCTGTGAGTGTGCTTCCGCTGACCTTGCTCCTCCTCAACCACTTTTGAATCTGTCCAATTTCGAAGAGTGCGGAAGGGGGACTACTGAGTTGAATGGTCCAAGGTCAAGAGGGACATTTGTGGATAAGGGAGTATGGGCATATGTTAAGAAAGGGGATTCTGAAGGGATAGGTAGGTAGGAAAGATGGTGTGGGTTAAAACTGCTAGATAGCTGTTTTAAAATAGGTTTTCAAATTAGGCTTTCTTGAGTTCAAATTTTTTTTTTTTTTTTGGCTGTGTGCTGAGGGCAAGTCACTTTCTTAGTTCCCTTGTTTGAAAAGTTGGGGGATAACAATATACTTCACAGGGTATTCATGGTGTTTTCTCTCCCCTTTGCTGCACATTGGAATCACGGGGAGCTTTAGAAAACCAATAACTTGGGCTGGGCGCAGTGGCTCATGCTTGTAATCCCAGCACTTTGGGAGGCCCGGGTGGACGGATCATTTGAGGTCAGGAGTTCGAGACCAGCTTTACCAACATGGCAAAACCCCATCTCTACTAAAAAAAAAAAAAAAAAAAAAAAAAGCCGGGCGTGGTGGAGCGCGCCTGTAATCCCAGCTACTGGGGAGGGGAGGCTAAGGCAGGAGAATTACTTAAACCTGGGAGGCAGAGGTTGCAGTGAGCTGAGATCGCGCCACTGCACTACGGCCTGGGCAGTCAAGATTAAAGTCTGTTTCTGATACCACAGAAGTGCAGTTTGTCACTTTGACCCAGTATGTCTTAAGGAAGAAAAACACCTTTTAATCTGAGGAATGTGATTCCTTTTAAATTATTAGGGCCAGAGAGGCATTTAACAGCAGTCCTGTCTTCACTCCCTCCTTGAGCTAAATAATTACCTCTTGAAGTCACTTGCCATGTGGGTTCTAGACTGTGATGCCAAGTAGCCATAAAATGCCATTGTCCTGTAATTCAACAGTGGATAGCCAATCACTAACCAGTGTTATTTCTGTAAACCAATGAGAATTCCTGACGAACAACTTTTGTAATCACCCGTCTTCTGATTCATCCTTTTTTCTGTAAAAAGTTGAGCCTGTCCTTTGGAATACTCTCCAAGGCAACCTGGAAGTGTCTCAGGCTGCAGTCTTCAACCTTGGCCCAAATAAGCTACCTTGACCTGCTGTTTGCCTTTTTACCCTAATTCCCCCCAGGCATCCCTAGATAGGGAAACAAGCCACATCTCTGCCCTCAGCCTGGGACCCTGCTTCCTGATGATACCTGCCCATCCCTGTTTTTTCTCCATAAACTTGCTGGGAAAGGTGCCCTGGTTCTGTTTCTCTAGAGGCTGTGGTGCCAGACTGGAAACTACCAGTTTCCTGGGCATGTGCCTTGGTGTCACCGAACAGCCAGATGAGACTTGTCACCAGAAAATGCTTTCCTTTGCTCCTTTATTAAACACACTCATATTGCCAGTACTGGGGATATCCCCTGAGCAAGGTGTAGGAGAGCAAAAGTAGACAACCAGATAGGAAGAAAACTGAAGTGGAATAAATAGATGCCAGGCACATGAATGGTGCTTTTTTTCATCAACCTTGTGACGTTGGAATTATCTCCCATTACTCAAGAAGCTCAGAGAGGACAAGTGGTCTTGACTTATCAGACATGGGCCCCTTTTTTGTTAAAAAAAAAAAAAAAAATTGGTAATGACCCTTGACTCTTCTGAAGTGAGATCCATTTTCTATATGGATTATAGAAATGCAAAGCCTTAACAATAATATAAAAATACAAGAAAAGCAGTTTATAAAATAAACGTTCTGTATGTAAATATCAGATATGAGTGTGCTATAAGATGTAAGTCAGGTTGGGCATGGTGGCTCAGGCCTGTAATCCTAGCACTTTGGGAGGCCGAGGTGGGCGGATCATCTGAGGTCAGTAGTTTGAGATCAGCCTAGCCAACATGGCAAAACACCGTCTCTACTAAAAATACAAAAATTAGCCGGACATGATGGTGGACACCTGTAATCCCAGCTACTTGGGAGGCCAAGGCAGGAGAGAATTGCTTGAAGCCAGGAGGCACAGGTTGCAGTGAACCAAGATCACACCATTACACTCCAGTCTGGGTGACAGAGCAGGACTCTGTCTCAAAAACAAAAACAAAAACAAAGACCAACAGCAACAACAAAAAAACAAAAAGTGCAAGGTGAAGCAGCAAGTGCTGATGTAGAAGCTGCAAGTTATCCAGAAGATCTACCTAAGATAATGGATGAAGGTGACTACACTAAACATTTTCATTGTAGAAAAAAGCCTTCCATTGGAACAAGATGCCATCTGGGACTTTCATAGCTAGAGAGGGGAAGCCAACGCCTGGTTTCAAAGCTTCAAAGGACAGTCTTACTCTTGATTTTTTGTTTTGCTTTTGGTACAGGCTCTTGCTCTGTGGCCCAGGCTGGAGTGTAGTGGCACAAACACGGCTCAACCTCCTGGGCTCAAGCGATTCTCCTGCCTCAGCTTCCCAAGTAGCTGGGACCACAGGCACGCGCCACCATGCTCAGCTGATTTGTAAAAATTTTTTTGTAGAGATTGGGTCTCACCATGTTGCCCAGGAGACCAGTCTGGTGAGACCCCATCTTTACAAACTCCTGAACTCCGCTGGGATTGCAGGCGTGGAGCTTCTATGCCCCGCCCAGGCTAACTCGTTGAGGACTGAGGCAGCTGGTGGAAGCCAATGCTCATTTATTGTTCTGAAATTCCCAAGACCCTTAATTGTGCTGAATTTACTCTGCCTGTGCCCTATAAATGGAACGAAGCCTGGGTGACAGCCCATCTGTTTATAGGATGGTTTACTGTTTTTTTTTCTTTTTTTCTTTTTTTTTCAGACAGGAGTCTTGCTCTGTCGCCCAGGCTGGAGTGCGGTGGTGCTATCTCGGCTCACTGCAACCTCTGCCTCCCAGGTTCAAGCGATTCTCCTGCCTCAGCCTCCCAAGTAGCTGGGATTACAGGCGCTTGCCACCACGCCCGACTAATTTTTTGTATTTTTAGTAGAGGTGAGGTTTCACCGTGTTGGCCAGGCTGGTCTTGAACTCCTGACCTCAAGTGATCGCCTGCCTCAGCCTTCCAAAGTGCTAGGATTACAGGTGTCAGCCACCGTGCCCAGCCAGGTTTACTGAATATTTTAAGCCTACTATTGAGACCTGCTCAAAAAAGATTTCTTTCAAAATATTACTGCTCATTTACAATACACCTGGTTACCCAAGAGCTCTGCTGGAGATGTACAGGGAGATTAGTAGTTTCATACCTGCAAACACAACATCCACTCTGCAGCCGGTGGATCAAGGAGTCATTTCAGCTTTCACGTCTTATTAAGAAATACATTTCATAAGGCTATACTGCTATAGATATTTATTCCTCTGATGGATCTGGGCAAAGTAAATTGAAAATCTTTTGGAAAGGATTCACTGCTTTACATGTCATTAACGACACATGCGATTCATGGGAGGTGGTCAAAATATCAACATTAGCAGTTTGGAAGAAGTTGATTCCAACCCACATGGATGACTGAGGGGTTTGAGACTGCAGTGGAGGAAGTAATGACAGATGTGGTGGAAAAAACAGCAAGAGAACTAAAAACGGAGCGTAGAGATGTGACGGAATTGCTGTAATCTCATGATAAAACTTGAACGAATGAAGACTTGTTTCAATGGATGAGCAAAGAGTGGTTTCTTGAGATGGAATCTATTGCTGAAGGTGCTGCACACATTGTTGAAATGACAACAAAAGATTTGGAATATTGCATAAACTTAGTTGAAAAAGCAATGGCAGAGTTTCAGAGCATTGACTCCAACTTTGAAAGAAGTTCTACTGTGGGCAAAATGCTATCATATAGCATCAGATACTACAGAGACATCTTGTGAAAACAAGAGTCAGTTAATGCGGCAAACCTCATTATTGTCTTATTTTAAGAAATTGCCACAGCCACTCCAGCCTTCAGCGACCACAATCCTGATCAGTCAGCAGCCATCAACACTGAGGGAAGACCCTCCACCAGCAAGGTTATGTGGCTGAAGGCTTATATGATTGTAAGCATTCCTGGGCTTAAGTGATCCTCCTGCCTCAGCCTCCTGAATAGCTGGGACTACAGGCCCACACAACTATGCCTGGCTAATTTTTTTTTTTTTTTTTTTGAGACAGAGTCTCATTCTGTCACCCAGGCTGGAGTGCAGTGGTGCGATCTTGGCTCACTGCAACCTCTGCCTCCTGGATTCAAGTGATTCTCCTGCCTCAGCCTCCCGAGTGGCTGGGATTATAGGCAGCCACCACCATGCCCTGCTAATTTTTGTATTTTTAGTAGAAATAGGGTTTCACCATGTTGGCCAGGCTGGTCTCGAACTCCTGACCTCAGGTAATCCGCCTGCCTCGGCCTTCCAAAGTGTTGGGATTACAGGCGTGAGCCACTGCGTCTGGCCTGTATTTTTTTAGAGATGAGATCTTACCATGTTGCCCAGACTGGTCTCAAACTCTTGGGCTCAAGCCATCCACTTGTTTCGGCCTCTCAAAGTGCTGGGATTACAGGCATGAGCCACCATGCCCAGCCCCTGTACATTTTTAAATACATAATGCTTTTGCACACTTACAGTACAATGTAAACATAACTTTTATATACACTGGGAAACAAATTGTGTGACCTGCTTTATTGACATGGTCTGGAACTGAACCCATATATATCTGAGGTATGTCTATATGTGAAATGTGCACATAATGTTTTCTTGTGCTAAGTTCCCCAGCTTTTGAATTTTTATTTTTTTTTTAGATGGAATCTCCATCACCTGGGCTGGAGTGCAATGGCGCGATCTTGGCTCGCTGCAACCTCTGCCTCCTGGGTTCCAGTGATTCTCCAGCCTCAGCCTCCCGAGTAGCTGAGATTACAGGCACCTGCCACCAAGCCTAGCTAATTTTTTTTGTATTTTTAGTAGAGACGGGGTTTCACCATGTTGGCCAGGCTGATCTTGAACTCCTGACCTCAGGTGATTTCACCTGCCTCAGCTTCCCAAAGTGCTGGGATTACAGGCGTGAGCCACCGTGCCCAGCCAGGTTTCGAAAAATTTAAAGCACTTTTTATATTTTATACCTGTAATGGATTCAGTCCTGTGGGCATGGGCAATTCTTTGTGTGCCAGACATTTAATATCTCTGTCCTCTTCACCCTACAGCCAGTTAACCTCCCTGGCCAGTGTGACAGTCATTAAAAAAAAAAAAAATTGGCTGGGCGCACTGGCTCATGCCTGTAATCTCAGCACTTGGGCTGAGAGGCAGAGGTGGGAGGATTGCTTGAGCTCAGGAGTCAGTCTGGGCAACATAGCAAGACCTTGTCTCTACTAAAAATAAAAAATTAGCCGGGTGTGGTAGCACGTGCCTGTTGTCCCAGCTACTCTGGAGGCTGAGGTGAGAGGATCGCTTGAGTCTGAGAAATTGAGGTTGCAGTGAGCCGTGATTGCATCACTGCGCTCCAGCCTGGGGGACAGGAGTCTAAAAAAAAAAAAAAAGAAAAAAAAATGCCCAGCTACCCACTAGGAGGCAGTACTGCACCATCGAGAATGGGCCAGACTTTTTGCCTGAGGTTGCACATCTCTTCAGGGAATTGAGTCTGCACTGACTTTTCCACCATGACAATAATAACACATTAACAAAGATAATCATAACAGTAATTACTGATCCTTGAGCTTTATGTATCAGCATTTTGCTAAACATTTTACATATACATACTACCTACTCACTTAAACCTAACCACTTGAGGGAGGCTCTGTTACCCTATTTTGAAACCAAGGCTTAGATCCAAGACCCATGTTAAGTGCTTTGTGAGGAAGGGGTTTTACTGAAGTGCTGAAAGAATGGGATTTGGATAGGAAGTTGGATATATGAAGAGCCAAGTGCATAAAAACAAAGGCAGGAAACTAAAAGGTTCCATGTTGACAGGTTTAAAACCCTATGAATTTGTTCAGAGCTTTAGAATGGTAGGTAGACTAGTAGAATGTCAGAGCTACAGGGACCTTAGAGATTATCAGGGATGGTGATTTCCTTTTTCTTTTTCTTTTTTTTTTTTTTTTTTTGAGACTGAGTCTCACTTTATTTCCCAGGCTGAAGTAGAGTGATGTGATCTCGGCTCACTGCAACCTCCGCCTCCCGGGTTCAAGCAATTCTCGTGCCTCAGCCTCCTGAATAACTGGGATTATGGGCGCCTGCCACCACGCCTGGCTAATTTTTATTTTTTATTTATTTATTTTTTTTGAGACGGAGTCTTGCTCTGTCGCCCAGGTTGGAGTGCAGTGGCGCGATCTCAGCTCACTGCAAGCTCTGTCTCCCGGGTTCACGCCATTCTCCTGCTTCAGCCTCCTGAGTAGCTGGGACTACAGGCATCCGCCACCACGCCCGGCTAATTTTTTGTATTTTTAGTAGAGATGGGGTTTCACCGTGTTAGCCAGGATGGTCTCGATCTCCTTGACCTTATGATCTGCCTGCCTTGGCCTCCCAAAGTGCTGGAATTACAAGCGTGAGCCACTGCGCCCGGCCAATTTTTGCTTTTTTAGTACAGACAGGGTTTCACCATGTTGGCCAGGCTGGTCGGGAACTCCTGACCTCAGGTGATCTGCCTGTCTCGGCCTCCTAAAGTGTTGGGATTACAGGCGTGAGCCACCATGCCCAGCCAGGGATGGTGATTTTCAAACTTTAAACATAGTTAAAGTTTTTGGAATGAAATCTTATGTAGAATACAGAAAACAGCTAAAAATGGTATAGCTATAAAAAGTATAGGTTCTAATAATATTGGCTCATAAAGACAAGAGAAATCCAATTTCCTTCTGTTATTTTGGTTGAATAGAGAAGTGCAAATGGTAACATTTTTTAACACTTTATTTTGCAATCCCCGAGGTGACAGGATAGGAAGGTCCATCCCATAAACAACCTAGAAGCACAGACGTCAGAAGAACATCACCCCAACATGTTTATAGGCATTTGGTTGAATAGGTTTTATGTGGGGGAAAAAACAGAAAACTTAAAAATTGTTAGACCTGTATATATTTTCAACTCAACCAAGTGCCTGTGAGCCCTCTGCAGCCATAGTGGGAAAAGTCCTTATACTGCCCACACCTTCATGCTACAGATGAAGAGCCTGAGGCCCAGGGAGGAGGAGGGGGTGGCTGAGACTCAGGGAGCCTAGGGGGGCCATCTCCAGGGGCTCGGCCTCCTGCCACCCCATCCGGTGCCCTTTCTGAGTGACCAGTCATGACATCTGGTATGGCAGTGTGCTGGAGCCTGGCTGTTCAACCCCTCACCCTGAGAGGGCTCTGGCCACTTGCCCATCTCCCTGGCAGATAAAGCCTCAGACAGATGGCAAACAGTACTTGGCTCCAGGAATCAATTCAGGTCTGATTCACCAGTGGTTTGTGCCCGAGCCAGCGCCACAGGCTGTCTCCTTTCCCCTGTTCTATCACTCACTACCCTCACTGTGGCCAGGTTGGGACTCTTGAGCAACAGGCAGATACCTGTGATCTTGAGAATTGCACTGACTCTTTTGAGGGTTTTCCAGGCCACAGCAGGACTTGTCTGCCTCATTCCTCTGGGCAGCTCAGAGCATTACCCCATCAGCTGCAGTTTCAGTATCAGGGTGGGGCAGTGGTGTGGGGTGGGGCACCGTGTTACTAGGACTAGCCCTGTTGGCTGCAGACACATTGGCAACAGGTGGTGGCTCAGGGGCACAGAACAGGTGGACTACACATCTCCAGGATGAAGTGTCATTTATTGGCATTTGCCTTTTGAAAGAAGCAATCTACTTATAAATGGCAGGACCCTTTTTATTTTCTTTTTTGAGAAAAGCATTTTATTAAATCCATATTTGGAGATATGTTTTAGCAAAGTATAATTAGCATTTTTTGTTTAGAGGATGAATTGTGTTGCTACTCAATAGAAGGAGAATATGGCATACAAACAATGCTTTTATGCAGAAACATGTGTTTTTGTTTTTGAGACAGAGTCTTGCTCTGTTGCCCAGGCTGGAGTGCAGTGGCGCAATCTCGGCTCACCTCTGCCTCCTGGGTTCAAGTGATCCTCCTGCCTTAGTCTCTCAAGTAGCTGGGACTACAGGCATGTGCCACCACGCCCAATTTTTGTATTTTTAGTAGAGAGGGTTTTGACATGTTGCCCGGGCTGGTCTCGAACTCCTGACTTCAAGTGATCCACCCACCTTGGCCTCCCAAAGTGCTGAGATTACAGGCGTGAACCACCGCGCCCAGCAGCAGAAACATGTTTTAAAAGTACATTCAGGCTGGGCGTGGTGGCTCATGCCTGTAATCCCAGCACTTTGGGAGGCCAAGGTGGGCGGATCACGAGAGGTCAGGAGATCGAGACCATCTTGGCTAACATGGTGAAAACCTGCCTCTACTAAAAATACAAAAAATTAGCCGGGCGTGGTGGTGGGCGCCTGTAGTCCCAGTACTCGGGAGGCTGAGGCAGGATAATGGCGTGAACCCGGGAGGCGGAGCTTGCAGTTAACTAAGATCACGCCACTGCACTCCAGCCTGGGAGACAGACGGAGACTCTGTCTCAAAAAAAATAAAATAAAAAAGGACGTTCATACACTTAAGCTTTTCTGACTGGACACGATGCTGCTATTTAATAATAAACTTTTTTGATCTTAAAAGAATCCAGAGCAGGTCCCCCAGGAGCAGGTTCGTGGCGTATCACCAGTGGGGAAGGCTTTTCTCAGAGGCTCTGAGGCAGTGTCTCAAGAAAGGGGGGAGGCTCCGCTTTCTCAGAGTTGCAGTGCTCACCTTGCTGCTGCTGCCACACATCTGTATGCGCCTTCCTGGTACATCACCATCAC
The DNA here is from genome assembly GCF_000001405.40 of Homo sapiens. Taxonomy (NCBI): domain Eukaryota; kingdom Metazoa; phylum Chordata; class Mammalia; order Primates; family Hominidae; genus Homo; species Homo sapiens. Next base: position 36,618,639 of record NC_000006.12, read on the forward strand.
CACAGGCTCTCATGATAGTGAGGGCTTGACTCCTTCGGGAACCTCAGTCTCCCCAGCTGGAAGTAGGAGCCATAATGCCTCCCTTTCAGGCTTGTTGGGACAAAGAGATGAGGTCACATAGGTGAAGCATCAGCAACTGTGCCTGGCACAGAGGAGGCCCTGAAAGTTGCCAAGCTCAGCGTTTTCCTTCACATCAGCTCTGCTCCACCCCCTTTAATTACTCACTTTTATAATAATTCAAAGGTAACCCATGACCATGGTAGAAAAATTAGCACATATAAGCAAAAAAAGGGAAAAAAGTGATTCAATAGCTTCTGGTTTTTCTAGCCTTTTTCTTTATTCTGGGTGCTTGGTATGGGAAGTTTCTTCATTTGTGTTTAGAGGGTTTTGTAGAGATGATATCATGGTCCCACTTTGCAAACGAGACAATTGAATTCCAGAAAGAGGAAGTGCCTTCCCCAAGGTCATGCAGATAAGGTTAAGCTGGGTTGAAACCCACAGCTTGAGTCCAAGCCCAGCACCAGAATATCAGGACCACAGAGGCATTGCACACAGGTGGGTCACAGATACCTGTCCCTGAAAAGCTCATGATACGGTATTTTCCTTGAAGGACTTAAACATTCCCCACTGAAAACATCCTGCTTTGTGACTTGCCCCATCCTGAAGTCCTGGGAGTGGACAGTTTGTGAATAAACCACCTGACTAGGTGAGGGCTGTCGGCTCCTGAGTTTTGCTCCCCCAGAGACACTGAGTATGCACCATCCGTGGGCTTGCCAGCATGAAAGTGCTATCATTGTGGGCTTTCCCTTCACATTTTTTTTTTTTTTTTTGAGACAAGGTCTTGCTCTGTCACCCAGGCTGGAGTGCAGTGGTGCGATCTTGGCTCACTGCAACCTCTGCCTCCTGAGTTCAAGTGATTCTCCTGCCTCAGCTTCCCAATAAGCTGAGATTACAGGTGCGTGCCACCATGCTCGGCTAATTTTTGTATTTTTATTAGAGACAGGGTTTGGCTATGTTGCTAAAGGCTGGTCTCGAACTCCTAGCCTCAAGTGATCTGCCCGCCTTGGCCTCCCAAAGTGCTGGGATTATAGGCATGAGCCCGGCCTCCCCTCACTTTAAAGGATGCTCCTTACCTGTTTTTGCTTTCTTCTGGTCTTTCCTGTGGCAACTGTTGTGGGGTTCCCAGCAAATATTTCAGTTTTTTCCTAAAAGAAGTAAGCGTGCACATTTCACTGGCTAAAGTACACTCTTGTGTTAAAATTCTGCATTGAAAATGGGTGAAGTCACCCTGGCAACATGGCAAAACTGCATTTTTACAAAAAATACAAAAATTAAGGCCAGGTGTGGTGGCTCACGTCTGTAATCCCAGCACTTTGGGAGGCCGAGGCAGGCAGATCACTTGAGGCCAGACATTCGAGACCAGCCTGGCCAACATGGCGAAACCCTGTCTCTGCTAAAAATACAAAAATTAGCCAGGCATGGCTGGGTGCGGTGGCTCATGCCTGTAATCCCAGCACTTTGGGAGGCTGAGGAGGACAGATCATGAGGTCAGGAGTTCAAGACCAGCCTGACCAATATGGTGAAACCCCGTCTCTACTAAAAATACAAAAATTAGCTGGGTGTGGTGGCACGCACCTGTCGTCCCAGCTACTTGGGAGGCTGAGGCAGGAGAATCGCTTGAACCCGGGAGGCAGAGGTTGCAGTGAGCCGAGATCACGCCAATGCGCTCCAGCCTGGGTGACAGAGCAAGACTCCATCTCAAAAAAAAAACCAAAAAAACAAAAAAGCTGCGTGGTGGTGCACGCTTGTAATCCCAGCCGCTTGGAAGGCTGAGGCACAAGAATCACTTGAGCCTGGAAGGTCAAGGCTGCAGTGAGCTGTGATGGCGCCACTGCACTCCAGCCTGAGTGAAGGGCAAGACCCTGTCTCAAACAAACAAACAAAAATCAAAGGATGAAGTCACGTAGATTTTGGGCAAATTGTTTTCCAAAATCTGTTAGCATAATTCTACAGAATGTCAAAAAGATAAAGACATCCACCAGTAAACCCTAATTGTTTGATGGTTGTAAGTAGTCACTTGAGATGTGACCGCAATAGGGGCCTGCCCATGGGGAAGGTGGCATACCCACCCATCTCCTGTGCCAACATGGCGTCCCTATCTCCTGGTAGCCCTGAGGCGAGGGTCAGGTGAAGGAAGTTGGGATCATCATTTACTCAGTTTGCCTATCTGTAGAAAGGGGGTATTTGGGCTGAAGGTGGCCTGTAACTCACAGGATGATCTGTCCCCTCTTCACACTGCACCCTGCAGTGAGGGGAGCAATGACTGAGTCAACCACTGCTTTAGGCAGCGGGGGTCCTTGATAAGGAGATAAGTTTGCCACACTGGGACTGATGGTCCTCAAGTTCTTTTCCAGCACCGATATTCTAAGATTCGGTGACTCCAGAAAAGCAATAAGGCCGTTGTGAGGAGGGCAGATCCAGAGGATGATCTTCCTGGAGGGGAGGGGAAAATGTTCAGTGCATACAGTGGGTAATGGTTCATCTGAGGTGGCATCAGACTGTACAACAAGCAGGGATTGTTCTGCAGGGTTCAGGCGACTGTTAGTATTTGATCAAGATTGGAATAGTCTCCTAAAACCTACTTGATCCTCACAGAAAAGTTCCTATCCCCATTGTGCAGATGTGGAAACTGAAGGTTAGAGATAGAAAGTTAGACCCTAGGGTGAGGCAATGGATGGCTAGGACTAGAACCCAAGGCAGGCTCCTAGGGCTCCTGCTTTTCCAGCACGCATCTACCATGCATATGTGCTACTACCAGGCCTGGCGCTAGGATTCACATCACTTTAGAGGCTGCTTGGTGAACATGGGCACCCACAAAAGCCCTGGAGAAGGCAGGTTCTTTCTCAGGAATGGCCAGTGGGTGTGAAGATCACAGTGTGGGAGAAAGATCAAGGAGGACTGAGGGCCACCCGACCAGGAATCATCTCCAGCAGCCTGTGGGTGACCGCTCGTCATCCAGATCAGCATCAGGAAGGTTCTGCACAACACCTCTAGGGAACACATGGGGATCGAGGTCCTGTGGCCGTCTTGGGGTCTGAAGATCTAGATTTAGCTTCTGGCAGTATCATGATGCAAACCTGGGCAAGTTGTTTTGTTCCCTGGACCTTGGTCTCTTCATCAGTGAAATGGAACTAATTATATTACCTCATAGGGCTATTATAAGGCCTAATAAAAAAAAAAAAGAAAGCATCCATAAACAATGTTTACTGAGCACTAGTAGTGCCAGGCACTCTTCACTTGTATTAACCCATTTGATCTTCACAAAAAATATTTTCTTTTTTGTTTGAGACGGAGTCTCCCTCTGTCGCCCAGGCTGGAGTGCAGTGGCGTGATTTTGGCTCACTGCAGCCTCCACCTCCCAGGTTCAAGTGATTCTCCTGCCTCCGCCTCCCGAGTAGCTGGGATTACAGGCGCCCGCCACCACACCCGGCTAATTTTTTGTATTTTTAGTAGAGACAGGGTCTCACCATGTTAGCTAGGATGGTCTCGATCTCCTGATTTCATGATCTGCCTGCCTCGGCCTCCCAAAGTGCTGGGATTACAGGCGTGAGCCACCGCACCTAGCCCACAACAAATTTTAGAGAGTAGGTACTATTGCTGTCCCCATTTTAGGAAACACAGAAGTTGGTTCCAGCCACAAGGAAGTGGCTTCATCCATCATCAAGAAGTTGATTCCAGCCCACGTGGATGGCTTTGAGGAGTTCAAGACTTTAGTGGAGGAAGTGATGAAAGATGTGGTGGAAATAGCAAGAGAACTAAAACTGGAGTCTGGAGATGTGACAGGCTCCACTTTCAGTTCTCTTGCTATTCCCACATGACCATGGTCCAGGATCCTGAGTTTATGTTCAGGAAATAAGACTCAGCGAAAACTTGCAGTCACTTTCATAATCATTAATGCAGAGATTCTCAATAAATTCTTAAGGCTCCACCACGCTCCAACATAAAGTAACACATTCAGTTTGTTACAGAAATGGTAATAAGGCAACACTATGCAATACTATGTGTACAATGCAGCACTTTGCAGTACCAAAATCCATGCCTACAAAGCACTGCACAAGAACACATACAAATAAAGGATATAGTAGAATGGCTGCCTGTGGGGTGGGGGCATGGAAATGACAATGGAGTGAGGGGGGAATACATGAAGCAAGAGGTGACTAGTCAGGACCAATGATGACAGCCAGCCATCACCTGGGGAATAGGAGGGACTCATCCCACTGCACCTGAGGACTAAAAATAAAATGGAATGGAAACAAGACCCTGGGTGAAATCACTCGGCCTGAAATACACTGGCCCTGGGCTCAAAGAGGAAAGGTGGGGACACATCCTGGGCTGCCTCATCAAACCAGGAGCCTGCAAGAGCATCCCTGTGTGTGTGTGGAGGGGGTGAGGACAAAGGGAGGGTCAACCACACCCAGTTCTGTGAGCTCAAACACCAGACTAAAGGCCACAGGCAGACCCTCCAAGGCCTCAGGGAAGGAGTGAAGAGAAAGGCCTGGGTGGTCAGTGTCAGAGGCGGCACAGTCACATGCTGTCATGCCTATTTCACCAAGGTTTAGCCAAATGCACTATTAGGGTGTCAAGAAAATATGGATATAGGGCAACAATCCTGTGATTGTATGATGACTGTAGGCTTGATCATCATAAGGGTCCTGCCATATGCTGGTCCAGTTGGCACACCCACCCATCTCCTGTGCCAGTGGAGTGTGCCTGTGAAACAGCAGTCAGCTCTTCTGGTGGCCCTGAGGATCGGGGTGAAGGAAGAGTGGATCTTCATTTAGTTAGTTTGCCCCTCTGCAGGAGGAGGGGAGTTGGATACAGACCTCTCCTAACAACCCGCCTGGCTACTGGAACCTTCCTGAGAAATGTGGTTAACCTCTGGGCGCAGAGCCAGCAGTTCTAGGCTCCCGTCACAAGGGGGCAGGATGGGGAAGAAAACAGGTTCTCAATTCCAGGCCTTGGACCTGTCAGGTTTGCTGGCAGGGGCAGGAAGGAGGGTGGGGTCGGGAGTGTGTGGTGGTTGATGAGGGATCCAACCATCGTTCCGCAAGAGCGGCTTGTTTATTAAACATGAAATGAGGGAAAAGCCTAGTAGCTCCATTGGATTGGGAAGAATGGCAAAGAGAGACAGGCGTCATTTTCTAGAAAGCAATCTTCACACCTGTTGGTCCTCACCCATTGAATGTCCTCACCCAATCTCCAACACAGAAATGAGTGACTGTGTGTGCACATGCGTGTGCATGTGTGAAAGTATGAGTGTGAATGTGTCTATATGGGAACATATATGTGATTGTATGTGTGTAACTATGTGTGACTGGCAGCGTGGGGAGTGCTGGTTGGAGTGTGGTGTGATGTGAGTATGCATGAGTGGCTGTGTGTATGACTGTGGCGGGAGGCGGAAGGGGAGAAGCAGCAGGCTCAGGTGTCGCCAGAGAGGCTGGGAGGAAACTATAAACCTGGGCAATTTCCTCCTCATCAGCGAGCCTTTCTTGGGCAATAGGGGCAGAGCTCAAAGTTCACAGAGATAGTGCCTGGGAGGCATGAGGCAAGGCGGAAGTACTGCGAGGAGGGGCAGAGGGTCTGACACTTGAGGGGTTCTAATGGGAAAGGAAAGACCCACACTGAATTCCACTTAGCCCCAGACCCTGGGCCCAGCGGTGCCGGCTTCCAACCATACCAACCATTTCCAAGTGTTGCCGGCAGAAGTTAACCTCTCTTAGCCTCAGTTTCCCCACCTGTAAAATGGCAGAAGTAACCAAGCTTACCTTCCCGGCAGTGTGTGAGGATGAAAAGAGCTATGTACGTGATGCACTTAGAAGAAGGTCTAGGGTGTGAGTGGTACTCGTCTGGTGGGTGTGGAGAAGACATTCTAGGCAATGAGGACTGGGGAGAGCCTGGCCCATGGCTTCCACTCAGCAAGGTCAGTCTCTTGTCCTCTGCACTCCCAGCCTTCCAGAGAGGACCTTCCCAACCAGCACTCCCCACGCTGCCAGTCACACATAGTTACACACATACAATCACATATATGTTCCCATATAGACACATTCACACTCATACCTTCACACATGCACACGCATGTGCACACACAGTCACTCATTTCTGTGTTGGAGATTGGGTGAGGACATTCAATGGGTGAGGACCAACAGGTGTGAAGATTGCTTTCTAGAAAATGACTCCTGTCTCTCTTTGCCATTCTTCCCAATCCGATGGAGCTACTAGGCTTTTCCCTCATTTCATGTTTAATAAACCTTCCCAATGGCGAAATGGGCTTTCTCAAGAAGTGGTGAGTGTCCCATCCCTGCGGTGGGGACAGGGGTGGCAGCGGACAAGCCTGCCTGGAGGGAACTGTCAGGCTGATTCCCAGTCCAACTCCAGCTTCCAACACCTCATCCTCCAGGCAGTCTTCATTCTTGGCTCTAATTTCGCTCTTGTTTTCTTTTTTATTTTTATCGAGAACTGGGTGGAGAGCTTTTGGTGTCATTGGGGATTGCTTTGAAACCCTTCTCTGCCTCACACTGGGAGCTGGCTTGAGTCAACTGGTCTCCATGGAATTTCTTTTTTTAGTGTGTAAACAGCTAAGTTTTAGGCAGCTGTTGTGCCGTCCAGGGTGGAAAGCAGCCTGTTGATGTGGAACTGCTTGGCTCAGATTTCTTGGGCAAACAGATGCCGTGTCTCTCAACTCACCAATTAAGAAGCCCAGAAAATGTGGCTTGGAGACCACATGTCTGGTTATGTCTAGTAATTCAGATGGCTTCACCTGGGAAGCCCTTTCTGAATGTCAAAGCCATGAGATAAAGGACATATATATAGTAGCTAGGGTGGTCCACTTCTTAGGGGCCATCTCCGGAGGTGGTGAGCACTAAGTGCCAGGAAGAGAGGAAACTCTGTTTTGGAGCCAAAGCATAAAAAAACCTTAGCCACAAACCACTGAACATTTGTTTTGTGCAGGTTCTGAGTCCAGGGAGGGCTTCTGAGGAGAGGGGCAGCTGGAGCTGGTAGGAGTTATGTGAGATGGAGCAAGGGCCCTTTAAGAGGTGGGAGCAGCATGAGCAAAGGCAGAGAGGTGGTAATGTATAAGGTATGTCATGGGAAAGAGTTTGGCTGGAACAGAGTTTACAGAATAGAAAAATTCAACACTATTAATTGAGCCTCTACTACGTGCTCGACATTGTTCTAGTCACTGAGATAGGTTTGGTATACAAAACAAAATCCATCCTCTATGGACATTTTAGTGACTAACAACAATATAAATAATAAAAGTGAACAAAAGCTCAAAACATGCCAGGCACTATTATTTATTTATTTATTTATTTATTTATTTATTTTTTGAAACAGAGTCTCGCTCTGTTGCCCAGGCTGGAGTGTAGTGGTGCGATCTCGGCTCACTGCAAGCTCCGCCTCCCGGGTTCACACCATTCTCCTGCCTCAGCTTCCCGAGCAGCTGGGATTACAGGTGTGCACCACCGTGCCTGGCTAATTTTTTTTGTATTTTTAGTAGAGACAGGGTTTCGCCATGTTAGCCAGGATGGTCTCGATCTCCTGACCTCGTGATCCACCTGCCTCGGCCTCCCAAAGTGCTGGGATTACCGGCGTGAGCCACCGCCCCCGGCTCCAGGCACTATTTTGAGTATATATTTATTCATTTAATCCTCAAAGCACCCGCATGAAGTAGTAGCATTGTTATTCCCATTTCATGGATGAGGAAGTAAAGGCATTGAATGGTGGAGGCAGAATTCAAACCCAGAGCCCATGTGGTGACCATGATGCTCCCCTACTCCACGAGAATAAGAAAGTAGCCAAAAGTCCAGTCAACCAGGGAACAAGGGCACGTCTGGAGAGTGGTGAATACTGGGCAGGGGGAGTGGGGAGCTGGTGGTTTTGGAAGATTAATCTGGAAATGTGTGGAGTTGATGGGAGGACAGGTAGCTGGAGGGATATGGGGCCTCACTCGGGAGGAGAAAAAGAGTGAAGACAGAGAAGAATCAGTATAGGGCTTGGAACATTTCTCAGGTCATATCTTAACAGGAATTAGTGAACTTGGCAGAAATCATTTCCTCCCTGGTCAAAGTGGACTGATTACCAGTTCACCATGGGTTAGGCTTTTTGTTTTTATTCACTGAAATTCATGAGGAGTGAGAGGGCCTTTCTGGGGCTCACAGGCTCAGCCAGATGATGTGATGATGCTTTGCATAGTGCTCAGGCCTTCTGTCCAGATTCCCTCAGCCGATCCCCAAACTTGGTGTTTAGATGAGTTGTACACCCACTCCCATCCGCCACTCTAACCCACACCTGTCCCCTCTTCCCTTCTCTTCATGGCAGGGCCCTTCACATTTCTTTTTTCTTTGAGATGGAGTCTCACTCTGTCACCCAGGCTGGAGCGCAGTGGTACAATCTCGGTTCACTGCAACCTCCGCCTCCTGGTTTCAAGTGATTCTCCTGCCTCAGCCTCCCAAGTGGCTGGGATTACAGGTGCACCACCACACCTGGCTAATTTTGTATTTTTGGTGGACACAGGGTTTCATCACGTTGGCCAGGCTGGTCTCGAACTCCTGACCTCAAGTGATCTGCCTGCCTTGGCTTCCGAAGGTGCTGGGATTACAGGCGTGAGCCACTGTGCCTGGCCCACATTTCTTTTTGAGAAATTCCGACACCAGCCCCTTGGTGGCCAGTCTGCAGACCCCTTGCATGGCCAGAGCCACACTTTTACACAGGTGACACCACTGCTCTTGTCTCCCTGTCTGCCCATCACTGCCACACCTGATCCAGACTCCCACAAGCACAAGCCAGACCTCTGTTCCAGCCTCTTCCAGTTTTCCTCCATGTTTCCTGAATGGATATAGGATCTCACCGTGCCTTAGGTAAGAGTAGCCAACTTTATTTTTTGGCTGCTGTCAGTTCAGCCTCTTAGAGTGCCCCTCCCCACACCTTCACACATACCATTGGGCACATGGCTTTGCCAAGCCTCCTTTTCACTGTGCACTGCCTTGGGGGGAAAGGCCTTGTCCCCTGGAAGCCCAGAAGGGCCTGGACCCTCAGGCACCTTGTGACCCTACCCACCAGGGTCCATTCTTCCCCAGAGTACCCCCTGCCCTACCCTCTCCCTCCCACCCTAGCTCTGCTCTGTCCCTCAAAATTCAACTCCAACTTCAGGCACATACCTCCCTCCGGGCCAAGGCAGGGACAAGGGGTTAGGTGCTCCCATGAGCTGGGAACGATGTCAAGAGCTGATTTCAAGATTGCTCTTCAAGAACTTCCTCAGCCTGGCTGACATAGGCCTTGAGGGCTGGGAATTCCCACCTGGGAATCTTTCCAATATTCTGCCAGCTGTTTCTTCTCTTTCAGTGGTTTTATTATTTTTTTCTTTCTGTTCCACCGCCTCCTTTCGCTTTCAGTATGGGAGCTCAGGCAGAATGGTGGAGGAGGGTGGGGACCTGGCATTTGCTGAGTTAGGAGCTGTGGCCAAGGCCAGCTATGCCAAGGGAGAGGACAGGATACAGGAGGAAACAGGGCTGGGCACAGTGGCTCATGCCTGTAATCTCAGCACTTTGGGAGGCCGAGGCGGGTGGATCACCTGAGGTCGGGAGTTTGAGACCAGCCTGACCAACATGGAGAAACCCCGTCTCTACTAAAAGTACAAAATTAGGCCGGGCATGGTGGCTCACGCCTGTAATCCCAGCACTTTGGGAGGCCAAGGCGGGCAGATCACCAGGTCAGGAGTTCAAGACCAGCCTGGCCAACATAGTGAAACCCCGTCTCTACTGAAAATACAGAAATTAGCTGGGCATGGTGGCACGTGCCTATAGTCTCAGCTACTTGGGAGGCTGAGGCAGGAGAATCACTTGAATGCAGGAGGTGGAGGTTGCAGTGAGCTGAGATGGCACCACTGTACTCCAGCTTGGGCAACAGAGTGAGACTTTGTCTCAAAAAAAGAAAACAGCAACAACAACAACAACAACAACAACAAAATTAGCCAGACATGGTGGTGCATGCCTGTAATCCCAGCTACTCGGGAGGCTGAGGCAGGAGAATCACTTGAACCTAGGAGGTAGAGGCTGCAGTGAGCCAAGATCGCACCACTGCACTCCAGCCTGGGCAACAGAGTGAGACTTCATCTCAAAAAACAAAACAAAACAACAACAAAGAAACAAGCAAAGAAAAAACCAAAATTAGCCAGGTGTGGTGGTGCATGCCTGTAATCCCAGCTACTCTGGAGGCTGAGGCAGGAGAATCACTTGAACCCGGGAGATGAAGGTTGCAGTGAGCCAAGGTCACGCCACTGCACTCCAGCCTGGGCGACAGAGTGAGACTTTGTCTCCAAAAAAAAAAAAAAAAAAAAAAGGAGGAAACAGGAGTGGAACAGAGGAAGTGAGACCAGCACCAGGGCGGCCTCTTGTTTTTCTGGGGATTTTTACGTCATTCAGCTCTGGGCATAAGGCCTTATTTCCAGAAGGGCCCTGTCAAAAATACACATCTATTACTCGGGAGGGTGAATTCTGGGCATAAGGCCTTGTTTCCAGAAAGGCCCTGTCAAAAATACACATCTATTACTTGGGAGGGTGACACATTAACCCAGTAACTCCAATTCACATATCAGATGCGCTATCTGTTGCCTACGAGCAGAGACCAAAGAGAAGGGCACAGGGAACAGCTACATTTCGAGGGAGCGTGTGGAAAGGGTTGGGGGCGTGGAGTACTTGCTTGGAGTGGTACCACAGAGCTCTGAGCGGCTAGAGGACAGTGAGGAGGTAACAGACACCTGGGGATTTGGGCCAAAAGTATGAACCCCTGCCTAGGAAGCCTTTTTTTTCACTGCATCATAAGGCTCCAAGAGGGAGTAGGGTCTCTTGGTGAGATCATCTCCTTGGTGTGATATTGGCACCATAGCACCTGACCATGACACTGGGTCTCCAAGGTGGGTGAGTCCCTTGGACAACTTCCTGGTGAGACAGCCACTGGTCTCCAGCATCAGATAAAGATTGAATTCAGCCACATATAACAGAAAAGGCAAGTCAGTCACTTAAACCAGAGAAAGTTTGATTTTTCTTTTACATAAAATAATTATGGAGGCAGACAAAACTAAGACTTATGCCAGGGTGTGGTGGCTCACACCTGTAATCCTGGCATTTGGGGAGGCCAAGGAGGGAGGATCGCTTGAGCCCAGGAGTTTGAGACCAGTCTGGGCAACAAAGCGACACCCATATCTACAAAAAGTAAAAACAAAAAATTAGCTAAGGCCTGGTCACATGCACTTGTAATCCCAGCTACTCCAGAGGCGGAGGTGGGAGGAAGTCTTAAGCCCACGAGGTCAAGGCTCCGGTGAGTGGAGATCCCGCCACAGCACTCCGGCCTGGGCAACAGAGCAAGACCTTGTCTCAAAAAACAAAACAAGTCAAACTCAGTGGCTCACGCCTGTAATCCTAGTACTTTGGGACGCCGAGGCAGGTGGATCACGAGGTCAGGAGTTCAAGACCAACCTGGCCAACATGGGGAAACCCCATCTCTACTAAAAATAAAAAATTAGCCAGGCACGGTGGCAGGCGCCTGTAATCCCAGCTACTTGGACGGCTGAGGCAGGAGAATTGCTTGAACCCAGGCAGCAGAGGTTGCAGTGAACCGAGATAGATCCACTGCACTTCAGCCTAGGTGATAGAGTGAGACTCCATCTCAAACAAAACAAGCAATTCAACAACCAAAACCAAAACAAAAACAAAAACCAAGACTTAAAGGAGCAGAGACAATCCTGGACCATTCACCTTTTTGACTCCACTTCCAGGCATTTTTTGCAAGCAGGTGGCTGGCTCCGGGTGGAGCTTGATAAATGCACCTTCCCTGGGCTTCCTTTCCTCCCAGTCTTACTTCCCCACATTACCACTTGTGCTTCCTGGGCTTACCTCCAAAATCCTTGTCTTGGGGTCAGCCTCTGGAGGATCCCAAACCAAGATGCTTATATTATTGAGCACTTACTGTGTCCCAGGCGCCTTGCAGGCAGGCATTGTCTCAGTTTTTCCTCAAACCTGTGTGGTGGGATGCCATGAAGTCCCATTTTAGGGATGAGGCTAAAAAGTCACCCATCACTAGAGCCAAGACTCAAACCAGGCTGATCATTTTGGTTGTTTGTTTGTATGTTTGTTTTTGGAGGCAGGGTATCACTCTGTTGCCCAGGCTAGAGGGCAGTGGCACCATCTCAGCTCACTGCAACCTCCGCCTTCCAGGTTCAAGTGATTCTCGTGCCTCAGCCTCCCAAGTAGCCACCACACCTGGCTAATTTTTTAATTTTTAGTAGAGACCGGGTTTCACCATGTTGGCCAGGCTGGTCTCGAACTCCTGACCTCAGGTGATCTGCCTGCCTCGGCCTCCCAAAGTGTTGGGATTACAGGCGTGAGCCGCCGTGCCCGGCAGACTGATCATTTTGTGATATCTCCTTAGAGCAGATTCCTAGACCTGGATCCCTGGGTCATAGCATGCACATTTCCAGGCTTTTGACCTGTTCTGCCAAACTGCCCCTGAATTAAGTCAAACCCACTTGTCCCCCTGTCCCCACTGGCAGTGTGGGGGCCCCTCACTTCTCATGTCCTTACAGCCAAGGGCTCTCAGCTCTTTCCAACTCAGGCCCTGTGAGGACATTCCTCTGGAATACCTCTTTTAAAAAATACAGAGCATTAATATTAACTAGCTGTATACTAGCAGACGTGCAATATGTGTCTGCAAGTTGAACTGAAAGGGTGTGAAACCAAGTGGACGAGCTCCTGACCTGAGAAGAACAGTTGTCTCCTTGCTGCCCTCCTGGCTTGGCTGGGGGGTGCAGCTACTGCCCATCTTCCCTCCCTGGAGCCAGGTGGACGGAGGGGCATGGGTGGGCAGATGGAAAGGGAGATGAAGGGTCGCAGGGATGGCAACTGTGTGGTGCGGGCCTGTGGAGGGAATCTTTGATTGGACAGCTTTGATCCCTTCCGCCACATTCCCTTTCCTGGCAGAAATACGGCTGGGGTGGGGGGTGGGCTGGGAGTGTGACAACGCCCCCATCTCTTCCCCTTAGATGTCTGAAGAGCCAACCTGCCACTCCTGCATTCCAGGCATGTCAAGTTGGCATTCCAAATGCTAGGGGTGGCAGGGAGGCATGTGAGCAGCTGGAGGGGGGGCATCGGAACCCGCTTCACAAGCATGTGCAACTGCTACTTCAGTGTCTCTAGAGAGCAGAGAACCCTACACGATGTCTGCAGGACGGGGCTGTTCCCGCCTCACCCCTGTCTTATCAAACCCCCTTACTGGGCTTTCCAGCTTTCCAAACACTTTCTTTTTTTTGAGACGGGGTCTCGCTGTCGCCCAGGCTGGAGTGCAGTGGCACGATCTCGGCTCACTGCAGGCTCCGCCCCCCGGGGTTCAGCCATTCTCCTGCCTCAGCTTCCCAAGTAGCTGGGACTACAGGCGCCTGCCACCTTGCTCGGCTAATTTTTTGTATTTTTAGTAGAGATGGGGTTTCACTGTGTTAGCCAGGGTGGTCTCAATCTCCTGACCTCGTGATCCGCGCGCCTTGGCCTCCCAAAGTGCTGGGATTACAGGCGTGAGCCACCGCGCCCGGCCGCTTTCCAAACACTTTCACATCTGGGAACGGCTTTGATCCTTTCACAGCCTGTGAGGAGGGCTGAGCCACAGGATATTATTATCCCATTTTACAGATGAGGAAGCTGAGGCTCTGATTAAAACGATAGTTCAAAGTCACATGCTATAACTCAAGACTTCTGCAGCCTCTCCTACTAATAATCACATCATGGTGAAAACACATTCCCTGAACGTGATTACACGCTGGGCACCGTATGAGGCTCTTTGTCCAAGTTATGCCCTTCAGTCCTCCCAAAACCCTCCCGGGTGGAGAGTCAACTGCATCTGACAGAGCTGGGATTTGAACCTGGGCTGTTGGACTCCATACCCAGGTGATCTCAAAGTATAGTCCCCAGACCGGGAACATCAGCTGGGAACTTTTGAGAAATGCACATTCTCAGGCCCCACCCTAGACCTGCTAAGAAACTTGGGGCGAGGCTGTACAGCCCCTGGTTTAATATGCCCTCCGGCTGATTCTGATACACTCTCAAATTTGAGAATTGCCATCCAAATACATTCTTTAGTTAGGTGGATTTCAATCTTTTTTTTTTTTTTTGAGATGGAGTCTCGTTCTGTCACCAGGCTGGAGTGCAGTGGCGAAATCTCAGCTCACTGCAACCTCTGCCTCCCGGGTTCAAGTGATTCTCCTGCCTCAGCCTCCCGAGTAGCTGGAACTACAGACGCCTACCACCACACCAGGCTAATTTTTGTATTTTTAGTAGAGACAGGGTTTCAACATGTTGGCCAGGATGGTCTTGATCTGTTGACCTCGTGATCCGCCTGCCTTGGCTTCCCAAAGTGCTGGGATTACAGGCGTGAGCCACCATGCCTGGCCGTTTTTCAATCTTGGGTTTTTTTTTTTTTTTTTGAGACAGTCTCACTCTCACCCAGGCTGGAGTGCAGTGGCGCAATCTAGGCTCACTGCAACCTCTGCCTCCCAGGTTCAAGTGATTCTCCTGCCTCAGCCTCCCAAATAGCTGGGATTACAGGCGCCCACCATCACACCCAATTAATTTTTGTATTTTCAGTAGAGACAGGGTTTCACCATGTTGGCCAGCCTGGTCTCGAACGTCTGACCTCAGGCGATCCACCCCCCTTGGCCTCCCAAAGTGCTAGGATTACAGGCGCAGGCCACCGCGCCCGGCCAAATTTCAATCTTGACTACACAGTGGAATCACCTGGGGAGCTTTAGTGACATAATGACCAGTGCTGTCCAGGACGAGAATCTCTGGGGTGAGGCCCAGGCAGCAGTATTTTTAGAAGCTCTCCAGATGAATGTAATGAGCATGTCACTCCATTGACATGCACTCAGGACAATAACCACTGAAGGCTCCCTGTTTGACCAGAATGTTCTAGAGGAGCAGAATGGGACAGCCTGATTCATTTGGCTATTCCTCAGTCCTGGTGGGAATGAGAGAAGACTTGGAGTCCAGAAAGGAGAGACTCTGAGGCCCTTCTTCTTCTTCTTCTTCTTTTTTTTTTTTTTTGAGACAGAGTCTCGCTCTGTTTCCCAGGCTGGAGTGCAATGGTGTGATCATGGCTCACTACAGCCTTGACCTCCTGGGGCTCAAGTGATCCTCCTGTCTCAGCCTCCTGAGTAGCTGGGACTAAAGGCACATGCCACTACGCCTGGCTAGTTTTTTTATTTTGTAGATATGGGGGATCTTGCTTTATTTCCCAGTTTGGTCTTGAACTCCTGGGCTCGAGTGGTCCTCCCGCTTCAGCCTCCTAAAGTGATAGGGTTACAGGCATGAGCCACTGCACTTGGCCTTAGCCCCTACTTCTTGAGAGGCCTCCGTGAGGGACCAGGAAGCCTGCAGCCGTGATGAGGCCCAGAGACCGTGGCCGTTTGTTTTGGCATTTGCCCAGCAGGCAGTTCTGTGTGGAGCTGTGGCTCTTTTGTTTGTGTGGTTTAACTGTTGGCCCAGTTTTTCCAGTGCTGATTAGATATCCCTGTGAGCAGCACATCCATTTCTAGTCCACAGGATTCCTGAAAAAGGGGCCGAAACCGTTGTTTCTCTTAGCCATGAGGCAAGTCAGAGGTACAGGGGGCCTGGCTCCTGCCTCTGTAACACTCCGAACCTCGAGTTTGAGGATTCAGTGAGTCTATCAGTCAGGGTCCAGTCAGGATACACAAACCACACCAGTGTTTTGTTTGTTTGTTTGTTTGTTTGCTTGTTTTTGAGACAAGATCTTGCTCTGTTGCCCAGGCTGGAGTGCAGTGGCACAATCTGGGCTCACTGCAGCCTCAACTTCCTGGGCTCAAGCCATCCTCCCACCTCTGCCTCCCAAGTAGCTGGGACCACAGGCATGCGCCTGCGAACATGATTACATGCCGGGCACCGTAAGAGGCTAATTTTTGTTTTTCTTGTAGAGACGGCGTTTCACCATGTTGCCCAGGCTGGTCTCAAACTCCTGGGCTCAAGGGATCGGCCTGCCTTGGCCTCCCAAAGTGCTGGGATTATAGGCGTAAGCCACCGTGCCCCGGCCTACACCAGTTATTTTAACAGTGAGAATCTAACATGCAGAATTGTTAATTAGGTACTGAAAAACTGAAAAGGCAAAAAGAGAACGCTGAAGCATTATGGAAGTCACAACCACAAGAAGGAGCCAGGGCTTCCCTCGGGCTGGAGGAACAAAGGGAAACAGTGAGAACTGTTGTGCACATGTACCCTAGAACTTAAAGTATTAAAAAAAAAAACAACAAAACTTAGAAGCTTGCGGGAGTGCCCGTGGTGCTGAAGCTCAGTCTTTGGGGATGGGTTGCCTACTGGTGGTGCTGGTGTCTCTGAGGGGGAGCCAGGGGGCTGGTTCTGTGAGTACTGGAAAAAACACAAACCAGAATCAACTGCTGCTCCTTGAGTGAATTGCTGCTGTCAGATGGAAAAAAACGTTTCTAGGGTAGCGGCATGTCGGGGCAGTTGGGTTTCCGGTTAATTCCTCCCTGTTCTTAGGGTCTATCCCTCTTCACCTGCAGGCTCACACTCCCCTCTCAGTATTCTTTTTTCCAGGAACAACCCCATACTTTGCTGGCTCAATCAATAATGTGCTTTGCTGAACACCTATTAGGCTGCACCCGCCCTGGGGTCTGGGTGCCACAGATATAGATATGGTAACAGCATCCACATTCATTGGCAAACGTAGTGCCCGACCCTGCTCTAAGCATGTCATATGCATTAATACATTAACTATTACCCTCATTTTACAGATGGGGAGCCTGAGGCACAGAGACGTTTAGCAGCTTGCCCAAGGCTATTCTTTAGCTAGTAATTGGCAGAGCCTGACTATGAACCCAGGCAGAGTGGCTCCACGACCTACATTCTTCATGAAGCCCCCTCACTGCCTCAAGTCCTGGAAAGGCAGAACTGTACACAGCTGACCACAGCACAGGGTGGAGAATGCCACCGGGAATGGGTGGGAGGCCTCACAGAAGTGGTAGTTCATTCATGCATTCATTCAATAAGTCTTTTTTAGTTTTTTGAGACGGAGTCTCATTCTGTTGCCCAGGCTGGAGTGCAGTGCTGCGATCATGGCTCACTGCAACCTCCGCCTCCCAAGTTCAAGCAACTCTCCTTCCTCAGCCTCCCTAGTAGCTGGGATTACAGGCGCCCACCACCACGCCTGGCTAATTTTTTTATTTTTAGTGGAGTCAGGGTTTCACTATGTTGGCCAGGCTGGTCTCAAACTCCTGGCCTCAGGTGGTCCGCCTGCCTCGGCCTTGGATGGCGGGGGGCTGGGGGCATCTTTCACCCCAAGTACGCAGGTCTGGGACTATAGGCATGAGCCCCCATGCCCGGCTTCATTCAATAGGTCTTTAGACTGGGGTGTGATGGTCAACAAAAGCAGACATTCTGCCTGCTCTCAGGAAGTTCCTAGTGGAGACACAGATATTACTCAAATTTTCATATCCAAAAAAAGCAAGCTCCAACCAACAGGTTCTTGCTGTGAAAATTGTAATCACGGGAGTTTGTTGTAAACATAGGAATGAGAGAGCCTGCTTCCCGAAGGAAGTAATGATTGCACTGGGACAGGAAAGATGAGTGGGAGTTAATTCAATGGAGAGAAGAAGGAAAAGAGATCTGGTCAGAGGGCACAGCATGTGCAAAGGCCCTGGGGTGAGGGTCGGGGTCATGGTAAGTGTGAGGACTGCTAGTCCTGCTCCTGAACTCTGGCCAGCCCTCCCTGGCATGCAGCCCACCCATCAAGACTCCCACCACTCCGGTTTGGAGCCGTCTAGCCAGCCCTTCCTGCATCATGCTGGAGGCCAGCCATCACCTTCTAATTGGGTCCCAGCCTCCCACAGCTCCAAGGAACAGGGCGGGCTCAGGGGACTCTTGAGGGAGGCCTGAAAAAGCCCCAAAGCTGAAAGCTGCTCTGGGGACCAATGGGGGCAGTCCTGTGGGAGAGAAAGTGGGGTAAGTTCCCAGTGAGTCTTTGGAGAGTAACTGAGTGCACCATGTAAATGAAGCCTCGAGGGAGAGGGGGGCTTGAATAGTCACCCCACCCCACCACGAGGGCTCTGACTAGGAGACTTGCAGTACTGAAGCCACACGAATTAACTCCCACTCCTTGACTGCTTGGGAGGGCAATGATGAACGCAGGCCAAGGACGAGGCTGGAGAAGAACATTGCTGTTTGGGGCAGCTTCTCAGCCTGACCCTTTCAGGAGGCCGCTGGGCGTTTGGAGAATGAGGTTCTGAGGAGTCTCACCGTGTCTTTGTGTGGGATCCAGAGAGCTTTTGGGATCAGTGGACAAGATAGTAGACTCCTAATGGCTCAAAGAGGGGAGAGGCAGAGAGCAGAAGGAAGAAAGGGAACCGCCTCTTCATTGGTTCCCCATGCCTCCTCTCTGCCCTGTTTACAGAAAACAAAGTGCCTTTGGTTGACTCTGGACCGATTCCCCCAAAGCAATTAGAGCAACCACTGTCAGTGCTCCAGGAAGAACAGCTTCCCCCTCCCCCATCACGCCCCCTCCCTCCAGGCAGCAGCTGAAGGCCCAACTGGGGGCCCCATGTTGTGTCTGTTGGGATCTGCATGCCTGGCCTGTCCCCAAGCCCCCTCCTCCACTCCAGCTAGCACTGAAAGGGTGCCCCATAGCTATTCAAGTTTCCGTGGGCTCAATCTAATCAAGCATTGAGGACTATGTCATCCTCATTACTCTCCCTGGGAGCATCTGATTAGGAGGAACATCACTGAATGGGCCCCTCTGAGTCCCAATGGGAAATGGGAAGGCCAGGCTTCCCCTCCCTGCCTGACCCCCCATGCCTGAGGTAGGCCTTTCAGCAGAACCACCCGACCAGAGGCTCCGAATAAAGATGATTTGGATTCCCTGAGCCTCCTTTCCAGGGCAAGGGTGAGGGTGTGTGCACAAATCCCTGTTGTGCCCTGTTGGGTTGGGGGGCCTGCAGGATGTCACCACCCATCTGCCATGCTGATTAGGTCCTGGGGCTATTAGACAGGAGAACCGCTGTGGAGTCGGATGACATGACCCAGGGGCCAGGGGCTCAGGCAGGGACTCAGCGCCTGACAGAGGAGGTGACCCCCACTGATTTGTTTGGGTCCCCTTACCCCCTCAGCACCCGCAGCACCACTCACCACCATCTCTTCTACCAGCCTCATGTACCGCTTGGGTGGTGGGGGGCTGGGGGCATCTTTCACCCCAAGTGGGCAGGTCTGGGAGTGTGTTGGAGCCAGCTCACATAGGCTTGCAAGAGCAGATGGTTAAATATTCAGGAATTTAGTGAGCTGGTTGTTAAACACAGCCATCATTAAAATTAAATTAAATTATATGGACAGGGTTTCTCAACCTTTTGTTCATCATTGCCTCCTGAGAAGACTTTCAAGACATTTTTCTCCTCCAATCTCCTACCATCACTGTCCCATAAAATTTTAATATCACAGATACTGTATATCTGCTTAAGTACTGGAGAGATATCTGTGCTTTATACACAAAAGGATTAAGTTTCTTGGTTTTTTTTTTTTTTTTTTTTTTTTTTTTTGAGACAGAGTCTCACTCTGTTGCCCAGGCTGGAGTGCAGTGGTGTGATCACGGCTCACTGCAACCTCCTCCTCCCAGGTTCAGGTGATCCTCCCACCTCAACCTCCAGAGTAGCCGAGACTACAGGCGCGTACCACCATGCCTGGCTGATTTTTGTATTTTTTTGGTAGAGGCAGGGTTCCATTATGTTACCCAGGCTGGTCTCAAACTCCTGGGCTCCAACGATTTGCCCTCCTCAGACTCCCAAAGTGTTGGGATTACAGGTGTGAGCCACTGCACCCAGCAAGACTTTTTGTTTTGTTTCCCCATCAAGAATCAGTTTTTGCCCCTATTGAGAATGCATGCTACAAACTCAGAATTAAATAAATTATATTCAAAACAAAGGTAACATATACTCACAGCACAGCACTTCCTAGTTGTTTTGCTGCACTTTACTATTATTGATTCTTTTGGGGTCATGGATATACCTGTTCTCCCCTGGAGAGCTGGTTGTGCAACATTTACCAACACACCACTGAGCGGGTCTTTTGGTGAAATAATAGGCAGCATGAGAGGCGACTGATTTTAGTCAAAGAAAGATGGGTTTGTCTAGCAAAAACCTCACTCAAAGAAACATGGGAGGACCTGGAGAATTCCAGTGGATGCAGGGAAGAAAGGAAGAGGAGCCGGAAGAGAGAAAGGACCCTCTGATGCTGACTCCATATGGGCAGAAGGGTGTCTCTCTGTGGAAAGTTAAAAATAGCGGGAAAAATATACCATGCCCCCATGTGCTAGGAGTGTTTGTAACTAGCAATTGCTTGTTTCTTCCTCAGGTACACACCTTATACACCTTTAAAGGTCAGGGGCATAAGACTGAGACCCACTGCCCCATTTCCTCCCACGGTCTCATGTCTAGAGGGTCCTATGGATACCCAGAGATCTTCATTCTGAACGGCACGCTAGGCCAGATGGGGAACACGGAGGAATGAATGGCACTGCCTGGCCTTGAGAAGAGGGAGAAGACAAGCCTTCACATGAGATAAACATGTGAGTACTGCATCACTTCCTCCTCTCCAGGCCTCAGACCCCCGGCCCAGCACCCCAATGACATGGGAGGAGTTCTCAGTGGGCCCTTTCAGCTCCCACCATCCCAGCCTGGAAAGCTCTCCTCTTCCTTCTATCTGGACAAAGCTATGAGGACCGGCCTAGGCACCTCCTCCTGCCACTCCTCCGGCCTCACTCATCTCCTATCTGCACAGCAGGATGGCCTTTTATTTTCTTTGAATTTTTTTTCATTTGGGGAAATCACAGGGGTCAGCACATCCAGAGTGCAATGGATAAGCCTCGCCCTGGGAAAACCACCTTCGTGATCATAGTATCTCCCCTGCCAGGTAAGTATAGGATGGCCTTTTAAAACTCAGCCCACCTGCTTCAACCACAGCAAGGCGACATGTGAGGGGCAAAGTGTGAACCCAAATGCTGCGACATTCTTTCTCAGCTGGCAGACCACTGGCCATTACCAGCTGCTCCCAACACTAGCCTCCTCTTTTTTTTTTTGAGACAGAGTTTCGCTCTGTCACCCAGGGTGGAGTGCAGTGGCGTACTCTTGGCTCACTGCAACCTCCGCCTCCTGGGTTCCAGCAATTCTCCTGCCTCAGCCTCCCAAGTAGCTGGGACTATAGTCGTGCACCACCGTGCCTGACTAATTTTTGTATTTTTAGACCAAGCTGGTCTCGAACTCCTGACCTCAGATGATCCACCCGCCTTGGCCTCCCAAAGTGCTAGGATTACAGGCATGAACCACCAGGCCCGGCCCTCCTCATTTTTTTTTTTTCTTTTTTTATTTGAAACGGAGTTTCGCTCTTGTTGCCCAGGCTGGAGTGGAGTGGTGCGATCTCAGCCCACTGCAACCTCCGCCTCCCGGGTTCAAGTGATTTTTGTGCCTCAGCCTCCCTAGTAGCTGGGACTACAGGCATGCACCACCATGCCCAACTAATTTTTTTTTTTTTTTTTGTATTTTTAGTACAGATGGAGTTTCACCATGTTGGCCAGGTTGGTCTCGAACTCCTGGTCTCAGGTGATCCGCCCACGTCAGCCTCCCAAAGTGTGGAATTACAGGCATGAGCCACTGCGTCCAGTTTCCTTTTTTTTCTGTTTGTTTGTTTCTTTTTTTCTTTTTTTTTTTTTTTGAGATGGAGTCTCGCTTTGTCGCCAGGATGGAGCGCAGTGGCGTGATCTTGGCCCACTGCAACTTTTGCCTCCTGGGTTCAAGCAATTATCCTGCCTCAGCCTCCCGAATAGGTGGGACTACAGGCGCCCACCACCACGCACAGCTAATTTTTGTATTTTTAGTAGAAACGGGGTTTCACCATGTTGGCCAGGATTGTCTCGATCTCTTGACCTGGTGATCCACCCGCCTTGGCCTCCCAAAGTGCTGGGATTACAGGCCTGAGCCACTCACTGCGCCTGGCCTTTTTGTTTTCTTTATTTTCCAAAACCGTTATCTTAGACTCCTCATCTTTAAAATAGGAGTAAGGCTGGGTGTGGTGGTTCACACTAGTAATCCTAGCACTTTGGGAGGCCGAGGCAGGCAGACCGCCTGAGGTCAGGAGTTCAAGACAAGCCTGGCTAACATGGTGAAAACCTGTCTCTACTAAAAATACAAAAATTACCTGGGTGTGGTGGTGGGCACCTGTAATCCCAGCTACTCGGGAGGCTGAGGCAAGAGAATTGCTTGAACCTGGGAGGCAGATGTTGCAGCGAGCCGAGACCGCACCATTGCACTCCAGCCTGGGCAACAGAGCGGAACTCTGTCTCAAGAAACCCCCCCCACCCCCAAAAAAGGAATAAGGCCTGCAGCACCCAGGCTAGGGTGAAAACACATGAGCTAATGTACTGCACACATAGTAGGACACTAAACTGTGTCCCCCAAATTCATATGTTGAAGTCTTAACTCCCAGTACGTTTGAATGTGACTATTTGGAGATAGTACCTTTAAAGAGGTAATTAAGTAAAATGAGGCCATTAGGGTGGGTCCTAATCCAATATGGCTGGTGTCTTTATAAGAAAAGGAAGTGTGGACATGGAAGGAGACCCCAGGGGTGCACGTGCACAGAGGGATGACCGTGTGAGGAGGCAGTAGGAGGACAGCCGTCTGCAAGCAGGGACAGAAGCCTCAGGAGAAACCAACCTTGCTGGCACCTCGGTCTTAGATGCCCAGATTCCAGAACTGTTAGAAAATAAATTTCTATTGTTGAAACCACCCAGCCTGTGGTATTTTGCAATGACAGTCCTGGCAAAATAATACAGTCCTTCAGAGGCACCTATTCTTTCTGCCTTTAATTTGCTTTGGCTTTGTTTTATGTGTGGCCTTGTTTCATTTGCTTGTAAATGACTTGAGGGCGACATCCAGGAAGGAGTATCTTTTCCTGTGTCCCCACAGGGTGCAGTTCAATGCCAGGCACAAAGTGCACAGAATCAGACCTTTGTCCTCACTGCCAGCTTTGTCGACCTGCTGACAAGGGTCAGGGGGACCCAAGCTGCTATCCACCCAGGGTGCTTTTCAAAATTCAAGTCATGGAAATAATTTAGGGAGCCACTTGAGTACTTTTTGGAAATAATGAGACAGAAGAGCAGATAATAGAAAATGCCAGCGTGTTTCTCAGGCAGTAAAAGTGTTACTTCATGCAACTTTGTTTGATTTTACATATTTATAAATAAACAGAATAATTACAAATTATCCTAAGAGCTATGATTATGTTTGTGTGTCCGATTACTGCATTGTGGTGTTAAATACATTTCTTAAAAAAAAAAATAGAGACAGGGTCTCGCTATGTTGCCCAGGCTGGTCTTGAACTCCTGGGCTCCGGTGATCCTCCTGCCTCAGCCTCCCAAAGTGCTGGGATTACAGGGGAGAGCCACTGCACCTGGCCTAAATGCATTTCTTACTGTGAGTTTCAGCCCAAAAATTTTGAAAACACTGACCTACCAGTGTTTTCCAATTTCCTTCAGAGTGAGTTTGTGGTTAAAAAGCTAGTCAGGGCTGGGCACGGTGGCTTATGCCTGTAATCTCAGGACTTTGGGAGGCCGAGGCGGGCAGATCACCAGGTCAGGAGATTGTGACCATCCTGGCTAACATGGTGAAACCCCATCTCTACTAAAAATACAAAAATTAGCTGGGCATGGTGGTGCATACCTGTAATCCTAGCTACTCAGGAGGCTGAGGTAGGAAAATCGCTTGAACCAGAGAGTCAGAGGTTGCAGTGAGCCGAGATTGCGCCACTGCACTCCAGCCTGGCGACAGAGCGAGATTCCGTCTCAAAAAATAAAATAAAATTTAAAGATAAAGCTAGTCAGCTCTTGGGGAGGCTTGGAGTCTATGGGGGTGAGGGCTGGGCCTCCAGGGCAAGGACTTGAAATGGATCTAAGTCACTCTGTCCAGGCAAAGAGCCATGGAGCCCTGTCCTTGGGTTCTTTCCTCTCTGTGTCCTGGGGCAAGTGACATGACTTGCCTGTGCAAGTGCTTCAATGTCCCTGTGCCTCAATGTCCCTCATTGTGCCCCAATGTCCCTACCTGTAGAAGGGATTTAAAAAATCTGTCATGGAGTGCTGTGAGGATTACCAGGAGCTGAAGAACCTGAAGGCCCTTGCTGATGTCAGAGGTGGTTTGTTATTTCACCATTTCATGCAAGTCTGTCTGCTCTAGGAGGGGAATTGTTTTCTTGCTCTTCCACCTCAGGAGAAAGGAACACACATGTCCCTCACCCCTTGGAATCCCTGGCTGGGGCTAGGCCAGGGGGTCAAGAGTACCCAGAAAAGTATTTCAAAAGCTCAATTCCAAGGTGAGACTCTCCTAAGGGTTTAATGCAGGTAAAATCAAGTTCTGGAAAACTTTCAAAGCAGCTTCCAAAGGGGAGTCAAAGTCCTAAGAGATCAGGAGGAGGAGTCATCCACCAGCCTCTGTCCAGGGAACAGGAGATCCTGGCTGGCTGCCACCCCTTCCTACTCTGTTCCCAGGAACACTGCCCATGAGCCCTGAGTCACTACTAGAAGCCACCCTGGGCCCACGGGGAGCACAGAGCTGGGTCCACGGGGAGCACAGAGCTGGGTCCACGGGGAGCACAGAGCTGGGACAGCTCTCCCTCAAGGTGGTCCTTGGGCTTGGTTGCCCAGCAACCCCAGCCTCGGCAGCCTGCTTCTCTCCACACCGTCCCTCCCTTCTCAGGGCTGACAACACTTGGAAACCCATGCTGGCAAACCTGCTTCCAAGCAGGGAACTTGGACATAAGTAGAATATCAGGAATTCCTGGAGGACTTACAATCCAGAAACTGGGACAGGTGTAGGTAGATGATTCCTACCCACGACCCCAGCTCTGAACCTGCCTCCAGCTCTGGCACAGTTCTCTTCTCTCTGGTTTCCCAGAGCCACGTCTAGGTCACCATCCCCTCCCCCACCCCCTCGTTCAGAGCAGAGAGCACTGGGTACACAGCCAGGAGCCCTGTTTCCAGATCTTGCTCAGCCTTTTACCCTCTGTGTGACCTCAGGCAGCCCACTTCACCTCTCTGGGACTCAGTTTCTTCATCTGTAAAACAGGGGTGGATTTGATTGGTTCTTGATTTTTTTTGTAAGCATTATATATTTTACTGTTCTTTCTAAAATTCTAGGGCATGAACCAGAGGAGCTGAAACTACGCTGGTTTCCTTCTCCAAATAGAGAAATGGGTACCTGCATTCCTGGGGATGCAGCTGGAGTTTCCAAACTGTCAGATCAATTTCCGGGGCTTGGAATCTCATTGGTGGGGCAGGGGATGGGCATCCTTTCCATAGCCTGCACTAGGAGGGTGCGGACTCTGGACTGCAAAGGGTGTGCTCTAGTTTGCAGCGGGCAGGGAGAATGGTTGTTCCCCACACAGCAGCTGCATTCCACCCCAGAGTGGGGAAATGGGGAACTTCTCTTGGGCAGCTCTCACTAGTATCCTCCCTTCTTCACCTCTGTCTCAACTCAGAGGTCGTCTGGCTTATTTGGTGGAGATGCCCATTGTCCAGGGTTAATCAGAGGACCTCCCAAACTCCACTCACTCAGATCTGCCTCTAGATCATTCCTGACCTTCACACCTCCTCACCAATCAAACTGATTTTTAATTAATTAATTTCTGATTTTTTTTTGAGATGGAGTCTCGCTCTGTCATCCAGGCTGGAGTGCAATGGCATGATTTCGGCTTACTGCAACCTCTGCCTCCCGGGTTGAAGCAATTCTCCCACCTCAGTCTGCCGACTAGCTGGGATTATAGGCATCTGCCATCATGCCCAGCTAATTTTTGTGTTTTCTAGAGACGGGGTTTCACCACGTTGGTCAGGCTGGTCTTGAAATCCTGATCTGCCTACCTTGGCCTCCTAAAGTGCTGGGATTACAGGAGTGAGCCACCGCGCCCAGTCCCAAACTGATCCTTGTGAGTCAGGAAGCCAGAAGACATTTAGCTCCTCTGACTCAGAATTTCGTATGTTGAAATTGATTCTCAAGAAAAGTCACTCATGCCTGTAATCCCAACACTGTGGGAGGCCAAGTTGGGAGGATCACTTGAGCCCAGGAGTTTGAGATCAGCCTGGCCAACATGATGAGATCCCATCTCTACAAAAAATACAAAAATTAGCTAGGCATGGTGGTATGTGCCTGTAGTCGCAGCTGCTGAGGAAGCTGAGATGGGAGGATTGCTTGAGCCCAGGAGGTCAGGGCTGCAGTGAGCTGTGATTGCATCACTGCACTCCAGCCTGGGCGACAGAGCGAGACTCTTGGGGGATGCTCCAATCTGCTGACTTTCCCTCTTTCCTCCACACCAGACGTTCAATGATTCAATCTTTCACCCGTTCAGTGTGTACTGGGCATCTGATCCATGCCCTGCTTTGCTGGGTGCTGGGATAAGGAGGTCATTTCTTCCGCAGGTATTTAGGGCCTGATGGACAGCAGCAGGAACTCTTCTTACACATCCCTTCCTTCTCGCCTCCCCTACCCCCAGCATCCAGACTCACTTCCAAGGACAGCACCTGTGTCTTGTGCATCTTTGTTTCTCAGCACCCAGCAAGTGTTTGTCACCTAAGAGGCCTTTGACATATTGCAGATTACATTTGAGTGGACAAATAGAGGAAGTGGTTTATGCCTGAAGCTAAGTCCTAACTTTGTTATTTATGGACAACAAAAGATGGAGAAAATACTTAAGGCTAGATGCTGGGTTAAAAAGTATGTACTGCTCTCCGACAGAGGACAATTTGGCCATGTCTATCAAAATTATAAATGCGTGCACTTTCTGACCCAGCAATTCCACTTTTAGGAATTTATTTGACAGATGGATGCTCACACATGTGAACTGATACACACGCAATGGTAGTCACTGTAGTATTGTTTGCATCAGATTGGAAATAATGTAGCCTGAGCAACATAAACCCTGTCTCCACAAAAAAATTTTTAAAATTAGCTGGGTGTAGTGGTGTATGCCTGTAGTCCTAGCTACTCAGGAGGCTGAGGTGAGAGGATTGTTTGAACCCAAGAGTTGGAGGCTGCAGTGAGTGATGATTGTGCCACCACACTTGAGCCTGGGTACAGAGTGAGACCCTGTTTCTTAAAAAAAAAAAAAATTGGAAATACCTTAAATGTTCATCTATGGGGCCTACTTTAATAAATCATGGTATACCTATCTATATAGAGCAGACTCCAATACTATTGTAAAAAAAAATAAGAAAGCTGTCTTGAGCATAAATAGGAAGACATTCAAGATACACTTTTAAGTTTAAGAGTTTAAAAGGAAGGTAAAGCCAGGCACAATGGCCTGCACCTGTAGTCCCAGCTACCTGGAAGACTGAGATGGGAAGCTTGCTTGAGACCAGGAGTTTGAAACTATCCTGGGCAACATAGGGAGACCCCAGCTCAAACAAATTTTAAAAAGGAGAAGGTGAGGACAGTGTATATAGCTCATTATTCTTTGTGTAAAAAATGGGGAGATGGGCTGGGTGCGCTGGCTCACACCTGTAATCCCAGCACTTTGGGAGGCTGAGGTGGGTGGATCACAAAGTTAGGATTTTGAGACCAGCCTGGCCAGCATGGTGAAACCCTGTCTCTACTAAAAATAAAAAAATTAGCCGGGCATTGTGGCACGCACCTGTAGTCCCAGCTACTCAGGAGGCTGAGGCAAGAGAATCGCTTGAACCCGGGAGGCGGAAGTTGCAGTCAGCCGAGATCGTGCCACTGCACTCCAGCCTGGGCTACAGAGCAAGACTCTGTCCCAAAAAAAAAAAAAAAAAGGTGGGGAGATGAGGAAGGAATACACTTAAATATACCTGCATTTGTTTAGATAAAGCATAAAAAAACTTTCATGGAGGACATACAAGAAACAGGCAACAGTGGGCAATTTAGGGATGAAAAATAGGCTAGTGGGAGAATGGGGTGGAAAGAAATCTTTCCACTGAATCGCATTTGAATCTTTTGAATATTGTGTTATGTAAATGTGTTATCTATTACAAATAAAAAATTATAAAGACTCTGAGGCAATATGGAAAAATGCTTATAAGTTGGAAATGGATTAAAAAATGATGTACTATATATTCAGTAGGATTACAACCATATATAATAAATGCATGTTAAGATTTCTGTTGGTAGAAGAAACATTCTAGGGAAACTTTCTTTCTTTCTTGTAATTTTTTCCATAGATTTCAATAATATACATATGTTGTTTTCATTATTAGAAAAAACTAGTGACATAGGAAACACTAAGAGAATTGTCCATTCTGCATAATCTCAATTATTATTATTTTTTTTTGAGATGGAGTCTCGCTTTGTTGCCCAGGCTGGAGTACAGTGGCTCAATCTCAGCTCACTGCAACCTTCGCCTCCCGGGTTCAAGCAATTCTCCTGCCTCAGCCTCCCGAGTAGCTGGGATTACAGGCACAAGCCACCATGTTGGGCTAATTTTTTGTATTTTTTTGTAGAGATGGGGTTTCACCGTGCTGGCCAGGCTGGTCTCAAACTCCTGATCTCGTGATCCACCCACCTCAGCCTCCCAAAGTGCTGGGATTACAGGCGTGAGCCACCGTGCCCCGCCTGCATTATCTCAATTATTAAACAAGGTATTGAAAAAGACTGGAAGGAAATGTGCAAGATGTTCCCAGTGACTGACTCTGGGTATCAGATAATAGGTGATTTTCAGAATATGGCAGTGATTTCGTGCTACTTTCATCATGGACGGACAGAAGGACTCAAGAGAGGGAAAAAGGAAGGGAGGGAGAAAGAAAGGGAGCGAATTAGTAAAGGGAATTCTTGAAAACAACAGTTGTGTTAGGGTAGTAAGATTATGGTTATTTTTGTTGCTTTGTTCAGTTTTCCAAACTTTTCATTAGGTGGTTTTGTTGTTATTTTAGCAGGAACAAAACCCTTACTGTTGCAGAGCAGGATTCCACTCCCCAAAGTCCTGCTGATTTGTGTTAAAGAGTTACAGCTCCTAATTGCTTGTTATTCACTCCAAGTAAGGAGGCTCAGGAGTTACTTGGGTGATAGGAAATTGCTACCAGTAACATGTTGCTGGGGGAAAGAATGCAAAATATCAGAGCACCCTTAAACCTTTAAAATGTCTTAGCAAATACTTTATGGAGCCCCAGTTGCCAGGCTTGGTGCTGGGGGAGTACAAAGATAGGAGGCCCCAGTTGCTGCCCAACTTGAGCGCCAGCCTTCTATGGCATCCTAGGGCAAGGGGCATCCTCAAGGAGGTCTGAGCAGAGGCTGCAAGACCAAGCCCTGTAGGAAGTGGCCAACTTTACCAATGGACAAAATTAGGCCTGTCCAAGGGTCAAAGCCTCATTGGTCCCCACCTGCCTTGCCACTGTGAGCACATGTCCACCCAGAATCTTCTTGGTGAGAAAACACCACTAATGATTACAAAGCAAACTGCCCAGTGGTTTTGCTCATTCAAACTCAAGAGACCTGGATTCTGGGTCTGGATCTGCCATTAACCAGCTGTGAGATGTTGGAAAAATCATTTCACCTTGTAAGCCTCAGTCTCCTCAATCTGTAAAATGCAGAGAATCATAATAATAATGAATCATATCTGCTCTTTCCACCTCACAGAGTTTTTGTGACGATGAGGTGATGCAGTGTACGTAGAAGCACCCTTTTGTTTTTTTTTTTTTGAGACAGTCTCACTCTGTTGCCCAGGCTGGAGTGCAGTGGTGCGATCTCGGCTCACTGCGACCTCTGCCTCCCGGGTTCAAGCAACTCTTCTGCCTCAGCCTCCCAAGTAGCTGGGATTACAGGTGTTTGCCACACACCCAACTAATTTTTTTTTTTTTTTGTATTTTTAGTAGAGATGGGTTTCACCATATTGGCCAGGCTGGCATCAAACTCCTGACCTCAAGTGATCTGCCTGCCTCAGCCTCCCAAAGTGCTAGGATTACAGGCATGAGCCACCACACCTGGCCATGAAGCACTTTAAAAGTGTAAAGGGGCCGAGGCGGGCGGATCAACTGAGGTCGGGGGTTCGAGACCATACTGGCCAACATGGTGAAACCCCGGCTCTACCAAAAATACAAAAATTAGCTGGGTGTGGTGGCGGGTGCTTGTAGTCCCAGCTACTTGGGAGACTGAGGCAGGAGAATTGCTTGAACCTGCGAGGCAGAGATTGCAGTAAGCCGAGATCATGACACTGCACTCCAGCCTGGGCAATAAAAGCAAAACTCCACCTCAACAACAACAACAAAAAAGTGTAAAGGATGTCAAATGATGAATGGATAAATAAAATGTGGTATATCCGTACAACAGAATATTATAAAAAGCCATAAAAAGGAATGCAGTCCTGATATATGCTACAACATGGATGGACCTTGAAAACGTTACACTAAGAGAAAGAAGCCGGACACAAAAGACCACATACGTATGCTTCCATTTATATGAAATACTCAGAATAGACAAATCCATAGAGGCAGAAAGCAGATTTGTGGTTGCCAGGGGCTGGGAGGAGGGAGGAATGGAGAGTGACTGCTTAATGGGTACAGGATTTCCTTTTGAAGCAATGAAAATATTCAGAAACTAGACAGTGGAGATGATTGCAAGCCACTGTGAATATACTAAATGCCACTGGATTGTACACTTTTTTGTTGTGTTTGTTTTCTCTGTATGAATTGTACACTTTAAAATGGTTAAAATGGTAAGTCTTATGTGTCTTTTACCACAGTTTTTAAAAACTGAAAAAAGTATAAACGATGGCTCAAATCTGAGTTTATTATGATTATTATTTCCACAATTAATAATCAAAAGAATAAGTGTCCAGAATTTCAGAGTTCTTCCTCCATTTTAGGGCAGAGAAAGAAGTGACTAGAAAAACAAAACAAAAGGCAATCCCACCCTGAAAGTGTGCAGAGCTCCAGAGACACGCACTGTTCAGGCTTAGCCCAGGAGAAGTGTGGTCAGAGGGGAAACCCAGAGTGGCGAGGCCAGGGAAGCACACTGACCTGGGAATTTCAAATTCCATCTGCGTGGGCTCACCCTTTAATTTGGTGGCTGTGTGATCCCTTGGGGGAGATTTAATCCCCAGCTTCCTGCGCCCACACTGTTTCCCAGCCAGATTGGAAGACCGTGCTTCCTGGTTCCTGCCTGAGGGCAAAGGGGCAGCTTCCTGAACCAAAAGGGGCACACACCTGGCTTAGCTCCTGAGTGACCCCAGAGCTGGAGGCACTCTTGGATGAAGACTTTTTGGTGACAATGATGATGCAACATTTTTATGTTGATGAAGTGACATAACAAGAGCAATTTACCCACAGGACGCTCAGATGCACAAAGAAGATATTCTCTCTTTCTTCCTGTTACTGATTCAATCTCTCCCACGAGTCCCACTTCGGGGTGTTGGAGCTGGGAAGGGAAGGGGACAATTTGCCAAGTAGGTGCCTTGGTCTACTCCCATTTGAAGTGTATCTAACGGGTAAACACTCAGTCACCACATGAATAGGGACATTTCTCCCTTCCCTACCCGCTTGTCTCCATGCCACCTTGGAGAGGGGTCACACATGGAACCTACCGCTTCCCTGCCCCTTTCCCTTCTTCCCCTACAACACACTGGGACCTGAGGAGCCGACCCTTTGTCTCTGCCTAAGACACTTTGTCTCTTCCTAGGCTTCTCTGACCAGAAGCAGCAACTGGGGCACTGGTTTAAAATATTCATTCCCTGCTGGGCGCGGTGGCTCATGCCTGTAATCCCAGCACTTTGGGAGGCCAAGGCGGGCTGATCATTTGAGGTCAGGAGTTCGAGATCAGCCTGACCAACATGGTGAAACCCCGTCTCTACTAAAAATACAAAAAAATTAGCAGGGCATGGTGGCACGCGCCTGTAGCCCCAGCAAGCTATTCAGGAGGCTGAGGCAGGACAATCACTTGAACCCGGGAGGTGGAGGTTGCAGTGAGCTGAGAGACAGAGCGAGACTCCGTCTCAGAAAAAAACAAAACAAAACAAAAAACCATAAAATAAAATATTCATTCCCTGTGCCTACCCTGGAGAGTCTGATTAAGTAGATTTGAGGAGAGACCCAGGAATCCATGTATTTTAGTTCTCTCCCAGAAAGTTAGAGACACACTGCTCTATGCCAGATACTGAGTTCTCTCCAGCAAGGCTTACAGTAACCTCAGTGGCCAAGTCCTTCAGGCCGACTTGTTAAGGGAACAGAAACTTCAAACACTGTAGGACAATTCCCTTTGCCTCAAAGCCTGGCTTTGAAGGTTATTGTTTACAAGGAGCTCCCACCCCACCCAGCTGCCAGATAAAGGAAACTTGTTAGTTGAGGGAAAGCAATGACTTTGTCTTTCAAACTGGTATCTGTTCCTCTTTTAATACAGGGAACCTGTTGATTCTGGGCTGGGGAGCCCCGGGGGCCAAGGTGATTAAAGGAGTTATGCTTTCACAAATGTATTTTAAAATATCCCTTCACTAACAATAATATCTAACATTCATTGAGAACTTACTATGTGCAAAGTATTGTGTTACATGCACTCATGGATTCTCTCCTTTAATCCTCACAACCTTATACTGCTATTACCCCCAGTTTACAGATAAGGAAAGTGTGAAGCATATAGAGGTTAAACAACTTGCCTGGGATCACTGTCCTTCCAGGAAAAGCCAGGATTTAAGCTGAGTCTGTGTAACTCTAAAAGTTCCCTAAGATCTCCTTACCTACTTGATCCTACTTGATCCTTCCGACTTAGCCTCCCAAAGTACTGGGATTACAGGTGTGAGACCATGCCCGGCCTTAGCCTTTAATTTTCAATTCCTAAAAATCTGCAAGGGCTGGGCACAGTAGCTCATGCCTGTAACCCTAGCACTTTGGGAGGCCAAGGCGGGCAGATCACTTGAGGTCTGGAGTTCGCAGGATCTTAGAATCACTAAGATCCCCTTACCTACTTTAGTTTGAGGCCTCTTGGAAATAATCTGGACCAGCTTTCATATTTTATTGCTGTGGAGATACAGGCTTGTACCCAGTAGGAAAATGACTTGCCCAGGGACACACAGCTAGTCAGCAGCAAGGCTGGAAATGGAACCCAGGGCTGGACTCCTGATCTAGTGCTCCTCCCTTCAGCCTTGGTGCCTCCATTCTGGCATTTGACGTGCCATCCTGGATATTCAGGAATTGCCACTGTTCTGAGCTGCTGAACTCCCTGAGGAATGTGGAGGTCTTCAGGGGACTGAGGTCTGCCCCACAGGTTTCACAATTTCACTGAGTTCTTAAAACGAGTGGGGCCCATCCAGGGCATTGCTTCAATGTCATTGCACCATAAACTCTACTCCTTGATTTCTAATGTGCACATTTCTTGGTTATGACTCTGTAAACTCTTTATAGTCTAATTCTCTTTGTTCTGCAGATTTTTTTTTTTTTTTCACAGAGTATCACTGTCTCGCCCAGGCTGGAGTGCAGCAGCGTCATCTCGGCTCATTGCAATCTCTGTTTCCCGCGTTCAGGCAATTCTCATACCTCAGCCTCCCAAGTAGCTGGACTACAGGTGCCCGCCACCACGCCCAGATAATTTTTATATTTTTAGTAGAGTCGGGGTTTAGCTGTGTTGGCCAGGCTGGCATCAACCTCCAGACCTCAAGTGATCCACCTGCCTTGGCCTCCCAAAGTGCTGGGATTACAGGCATGAGCCACTGTGCCCAGCCCCTGAAGATTTTTAGGGATTGAAAATTGAAATTTTGACCTCCAGTCAAAAAGCTTCTGCGATCTTTGTCCCAGCCCATTTCACAACCTGAAAGGGGGAGCTCTGACTCCCCAGTAGAAGAAGAAAGGGAGTTCACAAATGTTTAGCGAGCAGCTGTGATAAACATGAGCCTGTGTTAAACCTTTGGACAGAGTTATTGCATTTAATTCTCACCCTTGCCCTGCAAGGTTGGTACTTTTTATTTTTTTTGAGACAGAGTCTTACTCTGTCACCCAGGCTGAAGTGCAGTGGCATAATCTCAGCTCACTGCAACCTCCGTCTCCCAGGTTCAAGCAATTCTCCTGCCTCAGCCTCCCAAGTAGCTGGAACTACAGGCACCCCCCACCATGCCTGGCTAATTTTTGTATTTTTAGTAGAGACGGGGTTTCACCATGTCGGCCAGGCTGGTCTCGAACTCTTGACCTCAGGTGATCCACTCGCCTCGGCCTTTCAAAGTGCTGGGATTACAGCCTTGATCCATCACATCCAGCCAGTCGGTACTATCTTCATTTTACAGATGAAGAAATCAAAGCTCATAGAGCCTTGCCTGTTGGACTCCAGCAATTTTGTATCTAGGACACCATGAAGCATTTTTTTTTTTTTTTTTGAGACAGAGTCTTGCTCTGCCACCCAGGCTGGAGTCCAGTGGCGAGATCTCGGCTCACTGCAACCTCTGCCTCCTGGATTCAAGCAATTCTCTTGCCTCAGCCTCCCAAGTAGCTGAGATTACAGGCGCGCACCACCATGCCTGGCTTATTTTTGTATTTTTAGTAAAGACAGGGTTTCACTATGTTGGCCAGGTTGGTCTCGAACTCCTGACCTTGTGATCCACCTGCCTTGGCCTCCCAAAGTGCTGGGATTACAGGTGTGAACCACCACGCCTGGCCCACCATGAAGGCTTAAAGAGTGAAATGTTATCTGCGAGTCTTAGTACAGTTCTCTCTAAATCGACAGCAGGGATTGCTTGGGGGACTTTTTGCCTTTAGGCTCATCTCCTTACCTACTGGTACCACCATCTGCTGCCAGACATGGTACCCCTTCATCCGCCCTTGCTCCAGATCCTCCCCTGGGTTGGCAGTTCCTGATTGTGTCCTGCTATTATCTGGAGGTCACACTTGTGCCCATCTCAGCTTTCATTTTCTGGTATGGAGGAGTAAACAGCCTTAATGGGGAGGTGTCCTGAAAATGTCAGTCACTGCATGTCCTGCCCAAATCCCTTCTAGGGGACTTTTCTCTTCCAAAAGGGCCCTCCAGGGCCCCAGTTGATTGCTCTGTGATGGACACCTGACCAAGGTCAGTTCAGGTGTAATTAGTCCAGCTACTTGTGCTTTATGGGACCTTGCTTAGCAAAGAGGAGCTGTATTAATTAGACATCTTTTCGGGAATTTTGGAACCAGGCACTGATCAGTAGTGGCACCTGTATCATAGGCTGTGATGTACATAGGGAACTAGAAAGTAGAAAAGGGCTTAATGAACCAGTGAATTGATGAATTAAAAAACCAAGCCTATGCCTATGAAATGAGAAAAGAATAGAGTATATGTGCAGAAAGTAACAGAAAAGTTATAAATACTTGTATGTGTGTGTATATATATGTGTGTATGTGTATGTGTGTATGCATATATACATATATATGTGTGTATAGTGTGTGTGTGTATATATATATATCTACAACAATTGCCATGAGGCCATGCTGTGCAGAAGTTGCTGTTCTTCGATTTCCATGAGCCCCTCTGAATCCTTCCATAAAGCCTAAAACCCCCTTTTCCTGAGATACAGTGGATGGGTTTCTTTTTTTCCTTTTTTTAATTTTTTGAGATGGAGTCTTGCTCTGTCGCCTAGGCTGGAGTGCAGTGGCATGATCTCAGCTGCTGCAATCTCTACCTCCCGGGTTCCAGTGATTCTCCTGCCTCAGCCTCCCAAGTAGCTGGGATTACAGGCATGCACCACCACAGAATACTAATTTTTTTTCTTTTCTTCTTTCTTTTTTTCCTTGAAACCAAAGAGGCTTCGTCTAGAGTAGGAGGAAACTTGAAATAATTTACAAGGCTTGAACTTCTTTACAATTGACAAAGGAACCTCTGGGTTAAGAGTTCCCAAAGGACTCCAACCAACGTGTCACATGGAGCAGCTTTTTTTTTTTTTTTTTTGAGACAGAGTGTTGCCCAGGCTGGAGTGCAATGGTGTGATCTTGGCTCACCGCAACCTCCGCCTCCCGGGTTCAAGCAATTATCCTGCCTTAGCCTTCCAAGTAGCTGGGATTACAGGTACCTGCCACCATGCCTGGCTAATTTTTTGTACTTTTAGTAGAGACCAGGTTTCACTATGTTGGCTAGCTGGTCTCAAACTCCTGACCTCAAGTGATCCTCCCACTTTGGCCTCCCAAAGTGCTGGGATTATAGGCATGAGCCACACCTCCCAGCCCTGGAGCAGCTTTTAAGCACAGTAAAAAGTGGTGTCATATAGTTATCTATTGTTGTGAATGATACCACCTCAAACTTGGAGGCTTAGATAACAACCATCACTTCTTTTGCTCATAAATACTTGGGGCAAGGCTTGGTAGAGACAGCTTGTTTCTGCTCCACTTGGCATCAGCAGGGGAATTCAAAGCCTAGGGTGGAATCACGGAAGCCTCACTCACTCACTCCCTTGCTCCCATTTGAGGACTGGTGCTGGCTGAAAGGGGCCCTGGCTGGGGCTCTCCGCCAGACACCTACACATGGTCTCTCCATGTGGTTTCTCCCCTTCCTTGTGGCATGGTAATTGGGTTCCAAGAATAAGCATTCCTAGAGGACTGGGTGGAAACCATATCACCTTTTATGACCCAGCCTTGGAAGATACCTGATTTAAGAGGAGAGAGTATAAATGATGGATGGAGTGTTAACATTACGTTGCATGTTGGATGGGAGATATTGCAGTGCTTGTTTTTGGAAAATATAATCTGCCACTTATAGCTAATGAGCTACAGATGTTAGGAGGATGGAGAGAGTGGAGAAAGCCCCTGGCCCACATGCAGACAACTGCATATAAAATGTAGCAGAAGATTAAGAGGCTGATAAAGCTGCTGCTGCAGAGAGGAGACAGAACTCTAAAAAGGATGTGTGACACACAGAGCGCAGACACACTTAGTGCAGGTG
The DNA here is from genome assembly GCF_000001405.40 of Homo sapiens. Taxonomy (NCBI): domain Eukaryota; kingdom Metazoa; phylum Chordata; class Mammalia; order Primates; family Hominidae; genus Homo; species Homo sapiens. Next base: position 36,655,624 of record NC_000006.12, read on the forward strand.
CAAGCTGCCTAGCTGACCTCGGTAACGCCTGAAACTCTCACTATTCAACAGCAAAGAATGTTGAACCTGAGTCTTCTGTTAGGAAGTTAAGCATGGGGTGATATATTTTGGAATGATTTACATCAGAAATTATTAAAATAATGTTTTGGGTTTTAAATGGATTACTTCAATGACATGAGATTAACTTTCCTTTATAATGATAGACAAATATTACTACAGTATCCAATAGGTATTTTATGTTTTACCTTCCAATGAGAAAGAGCAACCTACCTTATAGATCTTTTTAAGACATCATTCCAGCCCAGGCGCGGTGGCTCACGCCTGTAATCCCAGCACTTTGGGAGTACAAGGTGGGCGGGTCACCTGAGGTCAGGAGTTCAAGACCAGCCTGGCCAACATGGTGAAACCCCATCTCTACTAAAAATACAAAAATTAGTCGGGCGTGGTGGCACACATCTGTAATCCCAGCTACTCGGAGGCTGAGGCAGGAGAATCACTTGAACCCAGGAGGTGGAGGTTGCAGCGAGCTGCGATCATAGCACTGCACTCCAGCCTGGGTGACAGAGCAAGACTCTGTCTAAAAAACAAAAAAAGATATCATTCCATCATCTTCCAGCCTCTATTGATATTGAAGATAAGTCTGTTGTTACTATATTTGAGTTCCTTTGTAGGTCATCATCTTATTTCCCCAGAGGCATGTAAGATTTTTCCTTTTGTCTTTGGTGTACTGCATTTGCTCATATATGTGTGTCTACCTGTGGAATTAGAAAAATGATTCTGCTCAGGGCTCAATATGATTCTTCATTCTGATGATACATGTTCTATAATAAAGAATTTGTCTGGTTTTCCCGGGAAGGAGCTTCTAAACTCTTGGAATTTCTGAAGAAATAGAAATGTCTTGGTTAATAATGGTGGGACCCTCAGCCCACACCTGGATTTATGCTAATGAGATGACTCACGGTAAGAGCTGGTCACACCAGAATGACCAACTATGTGGTTACAGGGTTGGAGATTTGAGCCACGTGATATCAGCCCAACCTCCTTCAGGGAAAGGAGGTAGGCTGGAGATTGAGTTCAATCTCATGACCAATGATTTAATCAATTATGCATACATAATGAAACCTCAAAACCCTGGATACCCAAAGCTCGGGTGAATCTCCTGGTTAGCGAACACAACAATGTGCTAGAAAAGCAACATGTTGGCCAGGTGCAGTGGCTCACGCCTGTAATCCCAGCACTTTGGGAGGCTGAGGTGGGTGGATCACCTGAGGTCAAGAGTTTGAGACCAGCCTGGCCAAGATGGTGAAACTCCGTCTCTACTTAAAAAATACTAAAATTAGCCAGGCATGGTGGCGCAAACCTGTAGTCCCAGCTACTCAGGAGGCTGAAGCAGGAGAATCGCTTGAACCCAGGAGGCGGATGTTGCAGTGAGCCGAGATCGCGCCACTGCACTCCAGCCTGAGCGAGAGTGAGACTCCGTCTCAAAAAAAAAAAAAAGAAAGAAAAGAAAAGCAACATGTCCTGATTTCACAGGGAGGGGGCATGGAAGCTCCATGTTTGGGATGCTCCCCAACCTCACCCTATGTTTCTCTTCATTTGGCTGGCCCTGATTGTATCCTTATAATAAAACTGCAATTGTAAATGTAGCACTTTTGTGAATTCTGTGAATTATCTCAGCAAATTATGGAAGCTGAGGGGGTTGTGGGACCCTTGAATTGGTAGCCAGTTCATGAGAAGTGTCATTGGCCTCAGGACCCCTGATCTTGCAGCTGACATCTTTGTAGAGCAGTCTTACTGGGGACTGCACGCTTAACCAGTGGAGTCTGCATTAACTCCAGGTGGTTACTGCCAGAATTGCACTGCAGTAGGGCTTGTGTCTTTCTTCACTTTGGAAAGATTTGTGTTAGACACATCTGCCCAGTAAATACTATACTGGGTTACTGAAAAACTTGTAATGACTCTTTGTTGCCTGTTGTTCCAATGGGAGTGCACCCTGGCCCCTCTGCCTAGCATCAAAGACATGCCATTAACTATGGGAGAAATAATGTCTTACCTTTAATGCTAAAATAAGACAGTATAAAAAGAGGCATTATTGGTGCTCTGCCCAGATCTTTTCAGATCTCTCAGGTTCCATTCTCTCTCCCAGTTTCTGTGTGATTTTGTTTCTAAGAGCCATGCACCTGTGACTCTTTTTGGAGGATTACTCCAGGGCTACTGGAACTGCTTCACCCAGGTTCAGAAACTAGTTGCTTATGTCCCCTTAGAGCAGTACTTAGCCCATCTTAAGTACTTAACCAATTTGACAGCTGTGGAAACATGAAAGCCCAGCTTCCTTGCCTTGAGATAAACTCTGAGGTATAATTTAAACTCCAGGCAGGCTGAGCCCAGGACTTTGCCTGAAATTATAGCCTTTCTTGGCTTCATCTTCTCCTCTGTCCTGCTCTTCAAACTCCTTTTATGGATTCTCCTAGGAACACTTCCTTAATAAATCACTTGCCCACAGTCCTTGACTCAGGGTCTACTTCTGGGGAACCTATCCTGAAACAGTTCCCAATTATTCACTACCAAACAGGTTGCCATGTGACTTGCAGTGTCTGGGAGGAGGAGGAGGAATCTATTCCTCAGCCCCAACTGAGTCAAGCTCGGCCATGTGATGTGCTTTCAACAATGGAATGTGATAAAAAAATACTGTATGTCATACATTACTTGACTCCTCAGATTCATCACCTGCTACTGGAATTGGTCTTTTCTCTGGGGAAATACCATGATAGGGGCTGTTCCTTCAGCCTGGGTCTCAGAACAAGACAGGTCAAGCATAACCACAGCTGACACACTAATATGAACAAGGACAAACCTTTATTATTTTAAGACACAGATTTTGGGGTTGTTTCTGCAGCCTAACCTAAAAGATATAATACAGGTAGCATAGCGTAGTAGTCAAGAGCATGCACCCTGGAGTTACATAGCTTGGGGTCAAAGCCAAGCTCTACTACTTACTAGCTGTATAACCTTGGCCAAGTTACCTGAGCCTCAGTTTCTCCATTTGTAAAATGGGGATATGAATGATATCCACCTCATAAGGTTATTGTGGTGATCAAATGAGTTAACATATATAAAGTGCTTCAAATTGTGCCTGGTATATGTTTAATAAATATTAACCAAAGTGCTACAGTTATGAACTGACATGGTTCATTCCCAAATTTCCAATGTTTTCTCCTGCAACCACTGAACTTGTTGGTTGCCTCCTGTAATGGGTTGAATATTTGTGTCCTCCCAAACATTCATATGTTGAAATCCTAACCCCTAATGTGATAGTGTAAGGAGGTGGGGAGGTTGGGCCTTTGGGAGGTAATAAAGTCACGAGGAAGGAGCCCTCATGAATGGGATTAATGCCCTTATAAAAGGGATCCCAGGGAACTCTTGGACTCTCTCTTTCTTTCATATGAGGATATAACAAGACTGCAACCCAGAAGAGGGCCCTCGGCAGAACCCAACCATGCTGGCACCCCCATCTTGGACTTGCAGTCCCCAGAACTATGAGAAATACATTTCTGTTGCTTATAAGTCACTCAATCTATGGTACTTTGTTATAGCAGCCTGAATCGATTAAGACACCTCCCCAGCATCCCTTCCACTCTTCCCACAACTCTCAATTTGTACTTGGGGATTTATGTGGTTCTGAGGAAACTGATTTCATTGAGCCTTAATGTGGCCTCATATGAGCCAAACAACCAGTAGTGTGCTGGTAAACCAGCTCCCAGGAGGATGGGGAGGGAAGCCCAAGTTTCCATGCTGTAAATACTCCCTCATGGACAATGTCAAGCTACCAGTGGTTTAACAACTGGCTGGGCAAAGTTCCCAAATATTTAACAATTGCCTGGTGAGCCAGTACTAGCAGGCTCCAGCACACCACATGCCACCCCTCTAGCCGTGAGTAAGTGCAAACTGCTCCAATCAGTGTGATGCTCAGGACTTTTGCAACTCTCATCAAACACAAACAATTCCCCTGCATGTTTCATTTGCATGCAGATGCATTTGTGCCATGTTTTACGCATGCTCCGTGTGCGGCCAGCAAGATGTGACGGGGTGTGCAGTGGTGTGTGGGCTTTGTTGGGCGTGGAGAGATGAGTGTCATTTGTGTGTTGTGTGTGGAGGTGAGTGCTCGTGTATCTAAAAAGAGCTTTCAATATGCATTAGGTTGGACAAATGAAATTTCAAGTATTTGATCAGCTTTGATCTACATAAAGGGCAATTTCATACGATTCAACCTAATAGATCAAATACACATGAAAATATGTCAGAAGGAGGAAGGATGGAAGGAAGAAGGTAGAGGTGGAGGAGGAGGTAGATCCTACCAGAAGCAAATCCGAAGTATGAGCATTTGGAGTTTTAAAAGCGATGTTAATCCCTCAATCCAAAAAAAGTATTAATTTTGGACAATTCACTACTTTACTGTCCTAACTCAACTACATACCTCTTGGAAGCATCATATTATACCTTACAAGCTTACCTAACACCCTCATTCTTCCAGCCTTGGTGAGAAATTCAGAAAGGTCTCTGGGGAAAGATTTCTGCGAGCACCTTTTGACAGGTTTTGGGGGGACCCTCAGGGTCCCGCTATCCAGGGAGCTCGGTTTCCCCTCAGTGTTTTTCTCCTGTCAATTCGCGGGCAACCAGCGGGGTGTTCGAGACCCTGGTGGGGCGGGCTCCCTCACTTCCGGGACCCCCGGGGAACTCAGCGGTGCGGGGGGGATAACGACTACCATCTAGGTGGGCTGAGAGGATGAAACGAGGAAATACACCGACGACAGGAGCGACAATCTTTTTTTTTTAGACTGAGTTTCATTCTTGTTGCCCAGCTGGAGCGCAATGGCGCAATCTCAGCTCACTGCAACCTCTGCCTCCCAGGTTCAAGCGATTTTCCTGCCTCAGCCTCCCGAGTAGCTGGGATTACAGGCGCCCGCCACTACACCCAGCTACTTTTTTGTATTTTTAGTAGAGACGAGGTTTCACCATGTTGGCCAGGCTGGTCTTGAACTCCTGACCTCATGACTTACCCGCCTCGGCCTCCTATAGTTCTGGGATTACAGGCGTGAGCCACCGCGCCCGGCCTCATGTCTTCATTTTTATTCCCAATAGTTCCCTGCTTGGTTAGGAGTCACTATTAAGTAGTAAGAGGTAAACAGCGGCCGGAGCTCAGGAGGCAGGCAGCGACCTTAGCGTCGCCGCGGCGGGGTCCCCGAGCCCCTGCCTCCCCCTCGGTGGGCGTGGCCGCTTCCCAGAATGCCCCGCCTCCCGCGGCGCGCTAGCTCCGGCGCTGGACTCCCTCCAGGTCACACCGCCTGAGGTCACACCGTCTGGGCCCCAGCCGCGCCTCCGCCCTCAGCGTCTCGCTGCGCAACCCACACACGTGCGTAGCGTGCAGACTCGGACACCTCACGCCCGGCACAGATACACTAGCACTCACCTCCACACACAACACGCAAATGACACAAGTCTCTCTGAGCCCAACAAAGGCCACGCACCACTGCACACCCCGACATCTTGCTGGCGGCACACACAGCATGCGCAAAGCGTCGCACAAACGCATCTGCACGCAAATGACACACACATCTCAGCCTCCACACCAAACACAACTCACAATATATACACAACACTCAACTCTGCTCACCAATGACCTGAATATGTCCCTTGACACACCAAACACAGCACACACAATACACACATTAGTGCTTATACATGCACACACTACAAACACCTGCATTTAGGCAAGAGACTACACGAGTCACTAGCACCCACATAGCGAGTTTCACACCAGACACATATACACCACAGGCATTCTTCCCTCCTCACACGAACGACATGTACATTCCACACTACACCAAATACAAAACATACATTTACACCACTGGCATTCTTCCCTCCTCACACGAACGACATGTACATTCCACACTACACCAAATACAAAACATACATTTACACCACTACTGAAAAAACACATTCATTGCACACAAATGGCATGCGTACGAAGGTTACCCATATACGCTAAATCCAACACACTATATATACAAGCCCTAACGCATGCATGCATCTTACAAGCAACATGGACACATACATAGCAACGTAAACCCAGCACACAAATCCAAATGTGCCACCAGATCCACACTAAGCCCTCTATGCCAAACATGAATAATCACATGTGTAACCACACCTCAGCACACACTACTTATATGTACCACGCCAAACGAAATCACACCCACATCTGACCTACACACCCCTACGTACACCTAGAATGACCAACCGTCCCTGTGTGCCCAGGACTGGCTCGGTTTTAGCATTGAAAGTCCTGTGTCCTTGGAAGCCCCTCAATTCTGCGCTATCCCGAACAGTTAGTCACCCTATGCATTGTTTAGATGAATTATGCCTGGGACCTCAGTAAACACCAGTTATAAAACCTGAGCTGCTGCCAGGCGCAGTGGCTCATGCCTGTAATCCCAGCATTTTGGGAGGCTGAGGCGGGTGGATCACCCGAGGTCAGGACTTTGAGACCAGCCTGGCCAACATACTAAAACCTCATCTCTACCAAAAATACAAAAATTAGCTGGGCATGGTGGTGCAGGCCTGGAATCCCATCTACTCGGGGGGCTGAGGCAGGAGAATCGCTTGAACCTGGGAGGGGGAGGTTGCAGTGAGCCGAGATCGCACCATTGCACTCCAGCCTGGGCCACAGAACAGGACTCTGTCTCAAAAAACACAAAACCTGAGCTGCTGTGGGGGAATAGAGACGGAAGCTGCAGTGGCCCAGAGCTAAGGGAACCCAGGTGTGCCTCACTGAGCACCAAGACCCCCACCTCCTGTCTAGAAGGTGAAATGTGTTTCAGGGAGGAAACGCCTTAAGAACAATGAGGAGCTGTCAACACCTTCCAAAAAAAGGAAAGAAGCAGAGAGGCCTAACCACACCTGACTTAGGGGTTTTACCCTTGGCAAAGCACTTTTACTGAACTTATCTCATCTGATCCTTACAAAAACATGTGAGCATAGGTGCTGTTATGACAGCGATGCCGGAGAAGTCCAGGTCAGACAGATCAGGTCTGGGGGGAGTCGCATCCCCCTGCTTCCCCTACCCAGATTCCTCCTCTCTTGTCAGCTGTCTGCACAACCCCCTTTATTCCCCATCCTGGCTGAGACACCGTGGTTGGAATCAAGAAGCCACCCGTCTTGAGCTACCACCTTCAAAAGCCTTTCATTCCCTCCTAATGGGGCAAGGCGCCAAGGCTGCCCCACCCTAGGGGTGGATTAGGTCTCCGCCTCCCTGTTGGGGTTTAAGGTACATCAAAAGAGCTCCCTGCACCAAAATAGCACTTGCAAGCCCTGCCTGGTAGCCTGAAATGATACCAGGAGAGTCCCCTTTTAGATTAAGGCTTCGTACCTCAAAGACATGTTCAAAGTGCACCTGTGTCCCTGGGAAGGACTCCCACGCTGCAGCCTCCAGCACCTTCACTGGCATTGTCTTGCCTGTCACTCCGTGCATTGCAACAGACATTGCCTAATGCCAGCTTGCTGATGGAATTAGATTGTCTCTAGCAAGACCTGTGGGAATGGGGCACAGGATAGAATAGTTCTGAGCCTGGGTGAGGGAGGGTGTGAGAAGGGTCAGTGACTTAGCGAGGGGGAAACATGATAGAAGAGGTAGAGGGTGTTGAGAAGGATGGGACATGTCCTTGGCAGGAGTGGAGGAGACCCTGAGTCTAAGAAGGAAGGCAGAAGGATTACACGAGCTTTCCAGAGATGACAGGAAGTAAAAAAGGGCTGAGCGTATAGGATGAGCATATTCTGGGGAGTAGGGGTCTGTGCCTGAGGAGGGGGCTATTTGTGGGGGACATTCTGGTTTGTAGGCAATCACAGAGCACTCCTCTGTGGAAGCTGAAGGAAAAAAATGTCATGGCATGGGAAAATGTTTGTGATCTGTTGATGAGTGAAGAAAAAACAGAACATAGAGTAGGATCCCTATTTTGTAACAATAGCTGGAAAGACATCAAAACATTAGTGGTGCTTATCCCCGCTGTATCAAGGGTGACTTGCATTTCTTCGTGGAGCCTTTCTATAGTTTTCAGATTTTCTTCAATGAACTTGGAATATGATTTTTTTAATATCATGAAAAGGATTGTTTCAGAGGAGGATTCATTGATTATTTATTGAGTGCTTATTAAATTCTCCAGTGTTGACACCACATGTGATGTGGAGGCTGGAAGCCATAGTCATTGTTGCTCTTAGCTCTAGTCATGGCACAGAGGTACAGTTCAGTGCAGAAGGACATGGACTCTGGAACTAGACTGCCTGGTTTCAAATCCTTCTTCTGTACCTGTGTGGCCTGGGCAAATGGCTTGACCTTTCTGTGTTTTAGTTGCCTCATCTGTAAAATGGGGGTAATAACAGTACCTGTAAGGATTAGTTGAGCTGATACATGTGAACACTCAGAAGAGCAACTGGTATAAGATAATCACAACCTGAGTGTCAGTGGTTATTGTCATTAGTGGTTAAGAGCTTTGCCTCTGGAGCCAGCCTGTCTGGGTTCAAATCCTTGCTCTGTTTCTGTCTGGCTTGAGAAGTGGTTTCATCTCTATCTCTACCTCAGTTTCCTAATCTGTAAAATGGGGATAAAAGTAATGGTGCCTCATTCCTGAAATGAGTAATGGTGAAAATTAACCAAGTAACTATGGATCAAGTACTTAGAACCGGGCCTCTGTAAGTATGAACTACTTTCATTTTTATTATTACTCTTTCTTTTTTTTTTTTTTTTGATGCAGAGTCTTGCTCTGTCGCCCAGACTGGAGTGTAGTGGCACGATCCCAGCTCACTGCAACCTCTGCCTCCGGAGTCCAAGCGATTGTCCTGTCTCAGCCTCCCGAGTAGCTGGGATTACAGGTGCCCACCACTACGCCCAGCTAGTTTTTGTATTTTTAGTAGAGACAGGGTTTCGCCTTGTTGGCCAGGCTGGTCTTGGACTCCTGACCTCAAGTGATCCGCCTGCCTCGGCCTCCCAAAGTGGTGGGATTACAGGCGTGAGCCACCACGCCCAGCCTATTACTCTTGGTGGAGGCAGAGAATGAGGGTGAGGAATCACACAGCACCCTGTATAGTGCCAGCCTGGGGTCCAGGATGCATAGACGGTTGTGGTGGGCACTGCAGGATGGCCCCATTCTCTCTCTATCTTGCCTCTCCTGTGTCCTCCTTCAGCTCGGGTTATTCTGGTCCTTCAAGTTTTAGAACTGTGGCCCCCCAGGTGTCACATCTGCCCCCCAGAGACCGCTACTTCCCTGATCTTTATTCAGCCACACACACAGGTGGGTTGATGGTGAAACCGATGAAAGGAGGCTTCTAGGACTCTCATTTGCATAGGGGTGCCTAGTATTATAATTGCCTTCTTTATCGTGAAGAAGGCCTCTATCATTGCATAAACTTCAGCCCCACCACACATGGATGGATCTTCTCTTGGTTTTAGGAAGGGGGCTCCCAATTCAGATTTCCACGGCCCCATCAGCTGAAATCTAGCCCCTTTCATTAACTGGATCTGGTCACCAGAGACCCACCCTGGGTGGTATTTTTTGCCCACATGAGCCTGTATATAGATATATAGATAGTCTCTGACTTATGATGGTTCAGCTTATAATTTTTTTACTTTATCATAAAATTGAGGAACATTATCTATCTATCTATCTATCTATCTATCTATCTATCTATCTATCTATCATCTATCTATGTCTATATCTATCTGAATATATTCTTGTATTGGTTCTGTTTCTCTGGAGAACCCCGACTAATACAGTAGGTCTGAATGTAAGTTGTCTTCTTGTTTGGAAAAATCATTCTGAATGGGAGTGACTCTTCGTGATGTAGGTGGATGGGCGGGGCAGCTGGTCTGGGAGACCTCAGTAGGTCTTGTTTCTGCCCCGCAACTTCTGAGCAGGCTTGGACATAAACTTTCAGTCATAAACAAACATTAGGAATGAAGATCCCTGGCTGGGTACAGTGGCTCATGCCTGTAATCCCAGCACTTTGGGAGGCTGAGGCGGGTGGATCACCTGAGGTCAGGAGTTCGAGACCAGCCTGTCCAACATGGTGAAACTCCATTTCTACTAAAAATATAAAAACTTTAGCTGGGTGTGATAGCAGACACCTGTAATCCCAGCTACTCGGGAGGCTGAGGCAGGAGAATTGCTTGAGCCTGGGAGGTGGAGGCTGCAGTGAGCCAAGTTCGCACCACTACACTCCAGCCTGAGCAACAGAGTGAGACTCCATCTCCAATAAAAAAAAAAAAAGAATGATTCCATTCCTCCTCTGCCCCCTCCCCATGTTGTTAGCTGCTTGTAAAACTATGTGTGTTTGTAATAACAGAAAACTAGAGACATCCTAAATGTTCACCCGTGTGTTGAAGTCCAATGCAGCAGTAAAAAGGAAAGGGCAGGATTTCTATGTACTGATGTGGAAAGCCACTAAGATAAATTGAGTGCAAAAACAATGTGCCCAACACTGTGTTTCCATTCAAGCAGATTAAAAATATATATGTATATTGTGTATAGGTCCCCAGCCCCTCATCCACAATTCCCAAATCCAAAAGGCTCTGGAAACCAAAACTTTTTTCTTTGGTTTGTGGCAAATTTATTTGGTAGCAAAACCAGAGCTAAAAGGATGTGAAGCCATTTGCAGTTTTTAATTGTCCCTGTTAGTGTGAATACATTACAGCCCACAGCTAGCAGGACCTACTGTCTTGGTTTGCCTGGGATTGAAGGGGTTCCCTGGACATGGAACTGGAACAGTCTGGGGCAAACTGGCTGACTGCTCACCCTGGGCGGAGCCCGCTGGTGTTGTGGAATACAGGCTGTATGCACTTTATTACCTGTCTAAAATGGGAAAAGTTCTAGATTCTGCAACCCATCTGTGCCCAAGGGTTTCAGCTGAAGGACCTGGATGTTCTTAGACTATCTGTGGGAAGGGGACACAAGCCACCAGCCACAGCCTCTGGGAAGAAAATGGGTAGCTGGAGGGTAGGGGTAGGAGGGAGAGTTTTCACTGAATAGCCTTTTGCATCTTTTGACTGTGGACCATGTGAATGTATTATCTACTGAAAAAATAAATACAGGAAACTATGGACAAACAAAACGCTCTGCACTTTTGACTAAACTACAAATAGAATTTTAAAGATTTTGGAAAAAATAAATTACTGTGATGCTGTCAAAGCAATGCTTGTCTTTTGGATTCTGCTGATTCCAGTGTATCCTGTTCTCAGAGCCACTTGTCTATTGAACCCTAGTCTGGGAGTCTGGCTTTTTGTTTTCTGAGCTCAGGGGGCTGTGTAGGTCTCTCCTAGAGCAGCAGGTAGACTAAAGCTCCTACTTCAGCAGCACGCTCCACAGTCAGGGGTGATTTTTTTTTTTCCTGGTTGGTAGTTATTATTATTTTGAAAAATCCAGAACAATCATGCAAAGCAAGTAGAAACAGGCTGGGCCAGCTGAGAGTGACCATATGCCCTGGGTCTCTTGGTGATATAATTAGCTGTTTTCTTCCAGTGGTGAGTGGGTGGCTCACTCTTCTGGCACCCTGCAAGGCCGCATGATGATGCAACAATGCAACAAAAGACAAGCCCGGGCAAGGCCAGCGGGAGCTCTGCCGGCCAGAGTTGCTGATGCGAGGCGATGCACGGGTGTGGGGAGGGTGTTTCAGGGCTGCAGGGAAGTGGGAGGCCCCAACTGCCCAGGAGGCAAAACTGGCCTCCTGCTCACTCAGCCATGAGCTTTTCTACCCCAAACCCTGGCTCACTCCTTCCTTCCCTCCTCCCTGTTCAGTGGCAGAATCTATTCCTAGTTCACTCAGTCTCCCAGGGGTTAAAGGGTCCGTTGAGACTTCTAGAAGTGAGATAGAGGGGCCTGTGCAAGGAGAGACTAAATCAGGCTTCCCAAGCCTTGAGGATGGAGGGTGGGGAGCTTTCAATTACCTGGGGAGATTTTTTCAAAATATCTGTACACTTGTGCAGCCGGCAGACCCTTATCCAATTTTAATTCAGTGGGTTGAGATAGGGCTGGCACTTGGAATATGTATTTTAATTGTGTTAATTATTATCTAAGATGGTATTAACGATTTAAAAATATATATTAAGAAGAATAAGCCTACTTTACACCCCAAGACAGACAGGCTGTGCACAGCACAACTCCACTGGTGGGTGCTGTCCACCCAGGCTTCCTAATGGTGCCCTGGAGGGGGTAACACAATGGACCTGCTCCTCTCTCCAGAGGCAGCCATTGCCACTGTTTCCTGTGTCTCTCCTTTTTTTTTTTTTTTTTTTTTTTTGAGACAGGGTCTCACTCTGCTGCCCAGACTGGAGTGCAGTGGCACAATCTTGGCTCACTGCAGTCTCGACCTCCTGGGCTCCTACCTTAGCCTCCCCAGTAGCTGGGACCACAGGCGTGTACCACCACACCTGGCTAATTTTTGTATTTTTTTGTAGAGACAGGTTTTCACCATGTTGCCCAGGCTGGTCTCTAACTCCTGGGCTCAAGTGATCCCTGTGCCTCGGCCTCTCAAAGTGCTGGGATTACAGGAGTGAGGCAGTGTGTGGCCCCAGACTTTGATGTTGACTAGTTTAAAAAGAAAAAGGAAAAGCTGTGTACCAGAAGGAGGAAATTGGGTCCTGCTGTGTAACTTTAGGCTAGTCTCACTGTCTCTTTGTGGCCTGGTTTCCTCCTTTGGGAACTGAAGAGGATCATGCCTACCTCATTTTTCTCAGTCTCTCCGGAGAATGGTAAGATTATAGCTATGAAAGCACCCATTTTAGACATGAAGATATTGAGGTCCAAGTTCATGTTCTGCACAGGTGGCATTCTTCTTATTCTTGTGGCTGCGTCCAGAGACTCAGTAGGAAAAGACCCTCTTACCGGAAGATGGGGGAGAGGAAGGAGTCCTGTCTGCCATGCTCCCAGCTTTGATGGAGATGGCTAGTGGGTCATCACAAATCTGTGCGGCCCTCTGGGGACTACATTGACCTGTGCATCCGGGGGTGCATCCAAGTTCTCACCAATGGAACGTGGGTGGGAGATGATGCCAGTCCCTTCTGAGCCTGGTGTGAAGAAATGCACGTGGCTTCTTTGGCACTTTCCCCTACCTCCAGCTGCAGTCAGAGATCATGAGGCCCCAGGGAATGGTGGAGCCACATGGTGGAAAGAACCTAAGAACCTGAATCACCACACGGAGGGCAGCCACCGGCCCACCAGAACACCTCTATTGGATTCATATGTGAGTGAGAAATAAACTTGTATTTGGCTTGTCACTGAAATGTGAGAGTTTATTTATTACAGGAGCTAGTGTCGTCCTATCACTCACCCTGACTTTTCTTCATAAGTCCAGTCCTAAGCTGCTAGGATGGGCGTAGGAGGAGACATCAGCAATGATTCCTCCCAGCAGATACAGGGTTGTTAGAAACCACTGAGGATAGGGAAGAGGGAGTGACATCTCCTCCCTGGCTCTGAACTTGGCTCTAGTGTGGCCACTAGCATTTGGGGCTTGGGGGTTGCAGCTGTCGCATTCCACAGTGGCCCCGATGGCATTACAATTACAGATGACACTTAGAGCCACCCTAGGGAAGCAAAGGCAAGGACAAGCAGCTGATGGGAGGGGGAGCAGAAGGGCTGCGGCCACAGCCAGAGCCCCGGATCTGCCCTGACCCTGGTCTGTGTCCCCTTAGCCGAAGCCAGCACTTCCTAGGGTCTCCATTTCTCTGTCTGTATAAGCGTCTAATACCCCTGCCCTGGTTGGGGGAGGGAGGAGCATGTGGATGGTGAGGAGTGAGAGAATGGATCTGAAACCTGATGTCCCTGAGATTCCACACTGCTGTGCAATCAGAGGCCCCGAACCCAAGCCCCTCAGCCTATGCTGAGGCTTTTTCTTGGGAGGGGTTTAAAAAATATGTTAGGGAAGAAAAAAAAATCAAAGTGCCCAATTCCTATTATTTTGGGATCATCCAGAAGGCTGTTGTGAGCTAAGGGACCTGGAGGGGGTGTCTTGGGAGCTTTGAAGGCAGCTCACAGGACTGAATTCAGAATCTGTGGGCAGCTCCCTTTGCTGCCAAATGTCTATTCTCAGGTGTCACAATCGTTGAAATTCTTCCATTAGGGCTTCATTCCTTTGGATTACTTTTTGTTTCTATACAAAAATGCAAGCAATGATAATCCCCAATATGTGTTCAGGGCTTTAGACTTGTTCCAATAATCCTAAAAGACACAGACAGACAGTGAGGCCCAGATACCTGGTGTGGCTACTTCTTCAATCATGCTTCTCCTGACAGAGTGATTATCGGGCAACTCGACTCCTAGGTATATAGCCAGAAACTCTTGCACATGTGCCCTAGAAACACGGATAAAAATACTTATAGTAGCCCTATGTGTAATAACAAAAATTGGCGATAACCCAAACCCATTGATAGGAGAAGGAATAATTGGATATTTAAAAAACTGAAAATGGGCCGGGCATGGTGGCTCATGCCTGTAATCCCAAGACTTTGGGAGGTTGAGGCTGAAGTTTGAGCTCAGGTGTTTGAGACCGCCTGGGTAACATAGGGAGACACCACCTCTATTTAAAAAAAAAAAATTAGCCAGGCTTCGTGGTGTGCACATGTGGTTCCAGCTACTTGGGAGCTGAGGTAGGAGGATTGCTTGAGGCTGGGAGGTCAAGGCTGCAGTGAGCCATGATCACACCACTGTACTCCAGCCTGGGCGGCAGATTGAGGCCCTGTCTCAAAATAAATAAGTAAATAACATAGAAACCGGAAAACGATTGAATCATGTTTAAGTTACGCATTGCTGCCTAAAAAATCATGTTAAAACACAGTGGCAACCACGATCATTTGTTTGCTCACATTCTATAATTCAGTCGGGGTTTACTGGGGATGGCTTGTCTCTACTTCATGTGGCTCCACCTGGGGAGGTTCAACTGGAGCTGGGGGATCAACTCTCAAAATGGTCCTCCTATGGCTGGCAAGTTGATGCTGACTGTTTGCTGGGAGGTCTGCTGGAACTCTTAGCTAGTGGGCCTTGGTTATCCTGCGTGTGACCTCTCCACAAGACTTCTCACAGCATGATGGTCTCAGAGTAATCAAACTTCTTACATGGTGGCTTAAGGTCTCTAAGAATACAAAAGCAGTAGAAGTTACTATACCTTTTTAAGGCTTAGGTCTGGAATGGGCACAGGGTTACTTCTGTCCCATTCTATTGGCTAAAAGAGTCACAAGCCAGAAATGTTCAAGGGGAGGCAACTACAAAACAGTGTGAATACCCAGAGGTATACCTCACTGGGAGACATTGACTTCCACAAACCACAACTACCCACAACTACATGGATAAATATTAGGTTAGGTTATGCTTCAGTATCAAATAACCTCTACATTTCAGTGACTTCACACACAAATGGTTACTTTTTTCTTATATACCTATCCCATAGAAGTTGGTGGGGCACTCTGCTCCACGCATTCACTCAGGGATCCAGGCTGATGGAGGCTCCACCATGTTGGAGTGGCACCATTGCACCACCTGGGACATGAGACCTCACCTTTGCCACAACTGTGAAGGACAGAAAGGCTCGAGAATTTCACCTGGCCTCAGCTCTAAAGAGACAAATGTCACTTATGCTCACATTTCATCAGCTAGGACTAGTCGCATGATCCCATCTACACTGTAAGTGGGGCTGGAAAATGTTGGAGAACACCTGGAAAAATGGCTGAGCATTACTGTCTTGGCCACATGTGATAGAACTATTTAAAACAAAAAAAGTTTTACATAAGATGCAAGGTAGTGTTCACTTTGGGGTAGGGGTGGAACACACAAGAAAGTGTCAGTGATTTGTAATATTCTAGTTTTTGGTTTGAGCAGTGAGTGTTAATTATTTTTTAAAACAAATGAATGAATGAATGGACAAATGAATAAATAAAAGAGAGGGCTCGAGGCAGCAGCACTGAAGCCTAACCTCACAGTACAGGCCAAAAATGACCCTTCAATAAACATTCACTGAGTTCCCAGCTGAAGCTGGTAGGCCTCTCCAAGGTACAAAGATGAATAAAATATGGGCTCAGCCCCTCTAAGTGCCCAGCTCAGAGGATTCAGTAGACACATAAACCAAGCAGGAGGGCAAAGTACAGTGGAGAGTCTTGCTCAGTGGGAGCTCTGGGAGTAGAGGGAGCCCCGAGTAGGCCTCACCCCAAGTCACATGTGTTGGGTTATGAAGAATCAATAGGAATTCAAAGGTGAAGAATGGAGTGGAGGTGGGGCAAGTTGGTCAGGGACACTCATTTTACCAAGAGAGGAAGATTTGTGCAAAGGCACAAAGAGGCCTTCACCCCTCAGGTGGCCTGTGTTCACAGCATTTCCTCACTGCCTTCTAGTCCCTAAATGATCTGATCAACTTACTCCCTCTGTACTGTACCACCCAGAAGCTTCTGCAAGAGCCAGGCACTTGTCCTCCACAATGGCTGCCATGAGTGTTGGTTGCCGATGGTTACAGCCAAGTCGTTCCTTGGCCTTAGAGGAGGAAGCTCTCTTGCCCGAGGGCATGCACTCCCCTACTGCAGGGGCAGCCACGTTTAGATGACTGTTTGGAAACCCAGGGTGTAAGGGCCTAGCTCTCATGCTTCAATTCAGCGAACTCTGCAGGACCATCCCAGCTCCAGGGCTCCTGGTGGGATCAGCCAAGTCCTCTGTGGGCCTCCAGCCTCCATCAGTTCCCGGTTCTTCTCTCTGCCCAATTCCGTTTCTTTTATATCCAGACAAGTGTTGATTGTGAATGCACTCCCCAATAAACTCCCTTCAAGCAAAACTCTATGTCAGAATGTGATTTCTGGGAAACCTACCTAAGATACCCACTAAAATATAGATAATTACTAAATTCCAAGGGATGCCTTTCCTGGGGATGTTTGTACAGCAATTATCATCATAACTAATATTCATGGAGTGATTTCTATGTGCCAAGCTAAGCACTTTGCTTTTAAGATCATATTTAATGAAGAACAGAGCCTCACAGTAAGAATACATGTCTTTTCTTTTAATTATTTATTTATTTATTTTGAGACAGAGTTTTGCTCTTGTTGCCCAGGCTGGAGTGCAATGGCGCAATCTCAGCTTACTGCAACCTCCGCCTCCCGAGTTCAAGTGATTCTCCTGCCTCAGCCTCCCAAGTAGCTGGGATTACAGGCATGCACCACCATGTCCAGCTAATTTTGTATTTTTAGTTGTAGATTTCTTTGCTCCTTCTCCACTCCCACTGCTTCATTTAACTAGCCTTAAAAAAATTATTAAAAATAAAAATAAATAGGCCTGGCCAGGCGTGGTGGTTCGTGCCTGTAATCCCAGCACTTGGGAGGCTGAGGCAGGCGGATCACCTGAGTTCTGGACTTTGAGACCAGCCTGGCCAACATGGTGAAACCCGTCTGTACTAAAAACTATTAAAAAATTAGCCAGGCATAGTGGCAGGAGCCTGTAATCCCAGCTACTTGGGAGGCTGGGGCAGGAGAATTGCTTGAACCTGGGAGGTGGAGGTTGCAGTGAACTGATATCGCACCATTGCATTCCGGCCTGGGCGACAGAGTGAAACTCCATCTCGAAAATAAATAAATAAATAAATAAATAAATAAATAGGCCTGGCATGGTGGCTCACACCTGTAATCTCAGCACTTTGGGAGGCTGAGGCAGCCAGATAATTTAAGGTCAGGAGTTCAAGACCAGCTTGGCTAACATGATGAAACATGACGAAACCCCCGTCTCTGCTAAAAATTCAAAAATTAGCCAGTCATGGTTGTACATGCCTGTAATCCCAGCTACTCGGGAGGCTGAGGCAGGAAAATCGCTTGAACCTAGAAAGTGGAGGTTGCAGTGAGCTGAGATCACGCCACTGCACTCCAGCTTGGGCAACAGAGCAAGATTCCATCTCAAAAAATATATAAAAAATAAAAATAGGCTGGGCGCAGTGGCTCACGCCTGTAATCTCAGCACTTTGGGAGACCGAGGCAGACAGATCAACTGAGGTCGAGGTTTGAGACCAGCCTGACCAACATAGAGAAACCCTCTCTCTACTAAAATACAAACATTGGGTGGGGCGAGTCATCGTCTGACGTCTGGCCGTGAGATGTTTCGGGAGCCGGGGTCTCTCCGCTGCAGACATGACGAAGGGCCTTGTTTTAGGAATCTATTCCAAAGAAAAAGAAGATGATGTGCCACAGTTCACAAGTGCAGGAGAGAATCTTGATAAATTGATAGCTGGAAAGCTGAGAGAGACTTTGAACATATCTGGACCACCTCTGAAGGCAGGCAAGACTCGAAACTTTTATGGTCTGCATCAGGACTTCCCCAGCGTGGTGCTAGTTGGCCTCGGCAAAAAGGCAGCCAGAATCGACGAACAGGAAAACTGGCAGGAAGGCAAAGAAAACATCAGAGCTGCTGTTGCAGCAGGATGCAGGCAGATTCAAGACCTGGAGCTCTCTTCCGTGGAGGTGGATCCCTGTAGAGATGCTCAGGCTGCTGAGGAGGGCGCGGTGCTTGGTCTCTATGAATACGATGACCTAAAGCAAAAAAAGAAGATGGCTATGTCGGTGAAGCTCTATGGAACTGGGGATCAGGAGGCCTGGCAGAAAGGAGTCCTGTTTGCTTCTGGGCAGAACTTGGCATGATGGAGACGCCAGCCAGCGAGATGATGCCAACCAGATTTGCCGAAATTATTGAGAAGAATCTCAAAAGCGCTAGTAGTAAACCGAGTTTCATATCAGACCCAGGTCTTGGATTGAGGAACAGGCAATGGGATCATTCCTCAGTGTGGCCAAAGGATCTGACGAGCCCTCAGTCTTCTTGGAAATTCACTACATAGGCAGCCCCAATGCAGACAAACCACCCCTTGTTTGTTGGGAAAGGAATTACCTTTGACAGTGGTGGTATCTCCATCAAGGCTTCTGCAAATATGGACCTCATGAGGGCCGACATGGGAGGAGCTACAACTATATGCTCAGCCATTGTGTCTGCTGCAAATCTCAGTTTGCCCATTAATATTATAGGTCTGGCCCCTCTGTGAAAACATGCCCAGCGGCAAGGCCAACAAGCTGGGGGATGTTGTTAGAGCCAGGAACAGGAAGACCATCCAGGTTGGTAACACTGATGCTGAGGGGAGGCTCATACTGGCTGATGCGCTCTGTTACGTGCACACATTTAACCCGAAGGTCATCCTCAATGCCACCACCTTAACAGGTGTCATAGATGTAGCTTTGGGGTCAGGTGCCACTGGGGTCTTTACCAATTCATCCTGGCTCTGGAACAAGCTCTTCGAGGCCAGCATTGAAACAGGGGACCGTGTCTGGAGGATGCCTCTCTTCAAACATTGTACAAGACAGGTTGTAGATTGCCAGCTGGCTGATGTTAACAACATTGGAAAATATAGATCTGCGGGAGCATGTACATCTGCGGCATTCCTGAAAGAATTCGTGACTCATCCTAAGTGGGCACATTTAGACATAGCAGGTGTGATGACCAACAAAGATGAGGTTCCCTATCTATGGAAAGGCATGACCGGGAGGCCCACAAGGACTCTCATAGAGTTCTTACTTCGTTTCAGTCAAGACAATGCTTAGTTCAGATACTCAAAAATGTCTTCACTCTATCTTAAATTGGACAGTTGAAGTTAAAAGGTTTTTGAATGAATGGATGAAAATATTTTAAAGGAGGCAATTTATATTTAAAAATGTAGAACACAATGAAATTTTTATGCCTTGATTTTTTTTTCATTTTACACAAAGATTTATATATTTTTTTTTTGAGACGGAGTCTCACTCTGTCACCCAGGCTGGAGTGCAGGTGGCATGATCTCAGCTCACTGCAACCTCCGCCTCCTAGGTTCAAGCG
This sequence comes from Homo sapiens, assembly GCF_000001405.40. Classification (NCBI taxonomy): domain Eukaryota; kingdom Metazoa; phylum Chordata; class Mammalia; order Primates; family Hominidae; genus Homo; species Homo sapiens. Next base: position 36,675,543 of record NC_000006.12, read on the forward strand.
ATTCTCCCACCTCAGCCACCTGAATACCTGGGACTACAGGTGCCCACCACCATGCCCGGCTGATTTTTGTATTTTTAATGGAGACGGGGTTTCACCATATTGGCCAGGCTGGTCTCAAAACTCCTGACCCTGTGATCTGCCCGCCTCGGCCTCCCAAAGTGCTGGGATTACAGGCGTAAGCCACCACGCCCGGCCAGTATATATTTTTAATTGAGAAGCAAAATTGTACTTCAGATTTGTGATGCTAGGAACATGAGCAAACTGAAAATTACTAACCACTTGTCAGAAACAATAAATCCAACTTTTTGTGCAAAAAAAAAAATACAAATATTAGCTGGGCATGGTGGTGCATGCCTGTAATCCCAGCTACTCGGGAGGCTGAGGCAGAATTGCTTGAACCTGGGAGGCGGAGACTGCAGTGAGCTGAGATTGTGCCACTGCTGACTTTGTCTCAAAAAACAAAACAAAACAAAAAAACAAAATGAAAACAAAAAGCCAGGGCTGCCTCTGCTCAATAATGTTCTATCTTTGTTCCGCCTCTTCTCTGGGGTCTCACTTCTTGGGAGCCTGTGTGAAGGTGAATTCCTCTGAAAGCTGACTGCCCCTATTTGGGACTCCCCAGTCTCTTTCTGAGAAATGGTGACATTGTTCCCAGCACTTCCTCTCCCTTCCTAGGCAGCTTCTGCAGCCACCACTGAGCCTTCCTCACATCCTCCTTCTTCAGGCTTGGGCTTTCCACCTTTCACCATTCCCCTACCCCATGCTGCTCCACCGCACTCTGGGGAGGGGGCTGGACTGGGCACTCTTGTCCCCCAGGCTGAGCCTCCCTCCATCCCTATGCTGCCTGCTTCCCAGGAACATGCTTGGGCAGCAGGCTGTGGCTCTGATTGGCTTTCTGGCCGTCAGGAACATGTCCCAACATGTTGAGCTCTGGCATAGAAGAGGCTGGTGGCTATTTTGTCCTTGGGCTGCCTGTTTTCAGGTGAGGAAGGGGATGGTAGGAGACAGGAGACCTCTAAAGACCCCAGGTAAACCTTAGCCTGTTACTCTGAACAGGGTATGTGATCTGCCAGCAGATCCTTGCGACAGGGCTGGGATCTGATGCATGTGTGCTTGTGTGAGTGTGTGCTGGGAGTCAGATTCTGTGTGTGACTTTTAACAGCCTGCTCCCTTGCCTTTTTCAGGGCAGAAGTCCTCCCTTAGAGTGTGTCTGGGTACACATTCAAGTGCATGGTTGCAAACTTTTTTTTTTAAAGCACTGAATAGTACTAGACACTTAGTAGGTACTTAAGAAATATTGAATGTCGTGGTGGTGGTGAGCTAGAAGTTATAAAAAAAATTCTTTCCCAAAAACAACAACAAAAAGAATTATTTCATTGTGAAGCTCAGTACCACAAAAATTTAAATAATTCATTACAAGCCTTTATTAAAAAAAATTTTCTCCCCAAAGTAAACAGACAGACAATGTCTAGTCTATTTGAAATGCCTGAAAGCAGAGGGGCTTCAAGGCAGTGGGAGAAGGTGCCTGTCCTCTGCTGGACATTTGACAACCAGCCCTTTGGATGGTTTGGATGTATAGGAGCGAAGGTGCAGACAGCAGTGGGGCTTAGAGTGGGGTCCTGAGGCTGTGCCGTGGCCTTTCTGGGGTTTAGCCACAATCCTGGCCTGACTCCAGGGCGAGGCAGGCCAAGGGGGTCTGCTACTGTGTCCTCCCACCCCTACCTGGGCTCCCATCCCCACAGCAGAGGAGAAAGAAGCCTGTCCTCCCCGAGGTCAGCTGCGTTAGAGGAAGAAGACTGGGCATGTCTGGGCAGAGATTTCCAGACTCTGAGCAGCCTGAGATGTCAGTAATTGTAGCTGCTCCAAGCCTGGGTTCTGTTTTTTAGTGGGATTTCTGTTCAGATGAACAATCCATCCTCTGCAATTTTTTAAAAGCAAAACTGCAAATGTTTCAGGCACAGAAAGGAGGCAAAGGTGAAGTCCAGGGGAGGTCAGGGGTGTGAGGTAGATGGGAGCGGATAGACACATCACTCATTTCTGTGTCTGTCAGAAGAACCAGTAGACACTTCCAGAATTGTCCTTTATTTATGTCATCTCCATAAACCATCTGCAAATGAGGGTTATTTGGCATTTTTGTCATTTTGGAGCCACAGAAATAAAGGATGACAAGCAGAGAGCCCCGGGCAGGAGGCAAAAGTCCTGTGTTCCAACTATAGTCATTTCTTTGCTGCATGATCTGAGTTAGGTCACCAGACTTCTCTGAGCCCCAGTTTCCCCAGCAGTGTATACGGGCTATGTGGGGAGTATTCAGGAGACAGACAACTCACTCGTCAAATCCTCCCCTTCCTGGCCAACAAAGCTGCTGCAACCACAGGGATTTCTTCTGTTCAGGTGAGTGTAGGGTGTAGGGAGATTGGTTCAATGTCCAATTCTTCTGTTTCCCTGGAGATCAGGTTGCCCTTTTTTGGTAGTCTCTCCAATTCCCTCCTTCCCGGAAGCATGTGACAATCAACAACTTTGTATACTTAAGTTCAGTGGACCTCAATTTCCTCATCTGTGAAATAAACGGGACTGAAAAATCATTCTGGCCTCAAGATGCTTTGTTGGGGTGTCTAGGTGCTCCAGGTGCTTCTGGGAGAGGTGACCTAGTGAGGGATCAGTGGGAATAGAGGTGATATTGTGGGGCTTTTCTGGAAATTGCAGAGAGGTGCATCGTTTTTATAATTTATGAATTTTTATGTATTAATGTCATCCTCCTGATCTTTTCAGCTGCATTGGGTAAATCCTTGCCTGCCAGAGTGGGTCAGCGGTGAGCCAGAAAGGGGGCTCATTCTAACAGTGCTGTGTCCTCCTGGAGAGTGCCAACTCATTCTCCAAGTAAAAAAAGCCAGATTTGTGGCTCACTTCGTGGGGAAATGTGTCCAGCGCACCAACGCAGGCGAGGGACTGGGGGAGGAGGGAAGTGCCCTCCTGCAGCACGCGAGGTTCCGGGACCGGCTGGCCTGCTGGAACTCGGCCAGGCTCAGCTGGCTCGGCGCTGGGCAGCCAGGAGCCTGGGCCCCGGGGAGGGCGGTCCCGGGCGGCGCGGTGGGCCGAGCGCGGGTCCCGCCTCCTTGAGGCGGGCCCGGGCGGGGCGGTTGTATATCAGGGCCGCGCTGAGCTGCGCCAGCTGAGGTGTGAGCAGCTGCCGAAGTCAGTTCCTTGTGGAGCCGGAGCTGGGCGCGGATTCGCCGAGGCACCGAGGCACTCAGAGGAGGTGAGAGAGCGGCGGCAGACAACAGGGGACCCCGGGCCGGCGGCCCAGAGCCGAGCCAAGCGTGCCCGCGTGTGTCCCTGCGTGTCCGCGAGGATGCGTGTTCGCGGGTGTGTGCTGCGTTCACAGGTGTTTCTGCGGCAGGTGAATGACGGGCGTGGGTCGGTGCGCGCTCGGCTTGCGCACACGGTGTCTCTAAGTGCGCGGGTGACGAGAGTCGGGATGTGCCGGAGACCCCGGGGCGGAGAGCGGGATTACAAGTACAGGAATCCCTGGTCACGCTCCCCGCCCCTGGAAACCCAGCTGGGGCGAGGGAGGGCGTGGACGGGACCGTTCTGGGAGCTCGCCTTTGGCTGCGGTTGGCTCCAGGCCCCAGGCGCAGTTTGCTCGCGGCGTGGGGATGAAGTCCGTGTCCCTGGAGGGGCCCAGGAAGGGCGAGGAAAGCGGAGTGGAGTAAGTTCGTCTAGGATCGGTCCCGGGTGGCTCTGGGATCCAATCTGCGCCGCCCTGGCCCAGGTCCCAGGTTCAGGTCCTTTACGCCACTGTGTCCACCACCTGGCTGAGCGCTGAGGTCAGCGCGGGCTGTTTCCTGGCCCTTGGGAATGTGCCAGGACCCGTCCCCTAAGGACTAGCGAGGAGGTGACTCACTGTGACAAGGAGACCCCAGGGAACGGACTGTATGAGGTCAGAACCCCGCCCGGGATGGGGTACAGCGGGACTCCAGAAGCCCTCTCCCCTGCCCCTTCGCGGTCTCCGTCCTCCCATCGGCACAGTGACCTATTTGGCTGGAACAGTTTGTTCCCAAGGAAGCCGGGCACTGGAGGTCCGGGACACCGCGTCGGGTCCCCGCTCCGCGGCGCGCTGTAGGGGTCGGGGAGTCACGGCCCTGCTCTGGGCGGGCTCTAACCAGCCTGTCAGTCGGGGAAGGGCAAGGGTCTCCTCTACCTCTTTCCCACCGCGGCCGGGAGAATCGCGGCCCAGCCTGTCCTCGGGTCGGGGCGCTGGACTCCGGGGCGGGAGCGGAGCCCACGCCTGGATGGGAGGCGGGGAGGGTTCATGTCTTTGAGGGGTGGGGGGTCTGGGGGGCACGACGCTGCTCAGGGCCTCTATCAGCTGCCTCGGGGGCTCAGGGCTTCCCGACCTAGCCCAGATTCCCTCTCCGAAAGCTACAGGGCTGAGCGGAGCAGGGGGGCGAGTCGCCCCCTGGGGCGCCGCCGCCTGGCGCGGACCACAGCGCGTCCTCTCCGTCCCAAACCCCTGGGGGACACTTGCGCCCTCTTCGTGAGGAAAAGCATCTTGGAGCTGGGTTAGGAACTTGGGGCGCCCAGGCAGCTTCCCCTCTCCTTGCCTCCCTCCACGTCGCGTTTCTGGGAGGACTTGCGAGCGGTTTTGTTTTCGTTGCTCCCGTCTATTTTTATTTTCCAGGGATCTGACTCATCCCGTGCTTTGGGCGTGGAGATAAGGTGGAGGGGCCGGCTCCCGGCGCGCGCGCGCGTGCGTGTCTGCGCGGGCGTGTGTGTGTGTGTGTGTGTGTGTGTGTGTGTGTGTGTCTGTGTCAGAGACGGCACAAGAGCGCGCGGTTTCCCAACAGCGGCGGGAGTTTCGGAAGCCTGGCCGGCTCAGCGTGACGTGTTCGCGGCCCCCCGGTCCCCTCCCATTCTCCCCCTCCCCACCCCAGGGTGACGCGCAGCCGGAGTGGAAGCAGTTTTGGCGGGCGAGCAGCGCCTTGCAGGAAACTGACTCATCACTACTCCCTCCAGCGGTCCGAGGCTCTGCCCACGCACCTCCCACTCCGCGCGTGATTTCCTGGAGGCCGGCGCCCCCTCCCGGCCCTGGCGGGAATAGCACACAGGCTTTCCCGCGGAGTGGGGCTGGCCGGCGCGAACCGCCGCGGCTACTCCTGGGCTCATCCGAGATCAACCCCTATGCCATTACCACCCCTTCAAAGGAGCACTCCTTAGGTTCAACAGTATTCACTGAGCTCTTACTGGAAATTAAAATATGGCTGAAGTCTAAGGCAGGAAGGCCAATAAAGGAGGCTATTTTTAATTGTTTCTAAAACAAGGGTTTGCGTTTCTGAGTTTTCTTTGGGCTGAAAGTTATTATGAGCATGAGAGCAGATTTTGATGGGGGAGGAGAGGCCTATGAGAGCCATAAGAGAAGGAGGGGTGGTAGAAGAGGAGAGGGTGCCTGCCTAGATCCTAGTCCTGTCTTGAACTCCCGAGAGCCAGGGAATATCCAGCACCTTGATGAAGCCCTAGGCGGGCGCCTCCTCCTTGTGCCTATGATGTATTGAGACCCAGAATGTCCATTTCAAACATACCAGTGTGTCTCCGCTTGGCTGGCAACCCAAGAGTGCCCATCTGAGGAATTGTGCCAAACACTTGCTTGAATCTTCAATCTGGATTAAGTTGGTCTCGGGAGGCAGGGCCTCAGCAATCTATATTTTGAAAAAACTCCCTAGGTGCTTTTCTTTCTTTCTTTTTTTCTTTCTTTCTTTCTTTCTTTCTTTCTTTCTTTCTTTCTTTCTTTCTTTCTTTTTCTTTCTTTCTTTCTTTTTCTTTCTTTTCTTTCTTTCTTTCTTTCTTTCTTTCTTTCTTTCTTTCTTTCTTCCTTTCTCTTTCTCTCTTTCTTTCTCTTTCTCTCTTTCTTTCTTTTCTTTCGACAGAGTTGCACTCTGTCACCCAGGCTGGAGTGCAATGGCACCATCCTGGACTCAAGTAGTCCTCCTGTTTCAGCCTCCCAAGTAACCGGGACCACAGGCGTGATCCCCCCGCCCCCATGCCCAGATTTTTTTTTTTTTTTTTTTTTTTTTGAGATGCGGTCTCGCTCTGTCACCCAGGCTGGAGTGCAGTGGCGTGATCTCGGCTCACTGCAAGCTCCGCCTCCCGGGTTCACGCCATTCTCCTGCCTCAGCCTCCCGAGTAGCTGGGACTACAGGTGCTGCCATCATGCCCGGCTAATTTTTTTTTGTATTTTTAGTAGAGACGGGGTTTCACCGTGTTAGCCAGGATGGTCTCAATCTCCTGACCTCGTGCTCCGCCCTCCTCGGCCTCCCAAAGTGCTGGGATTACAGGTGTGAGACACTGCACCCAACCACCCAGCTAATTTTTATTTATTTTTATTTTTAGTAGAGACAGGGTCTCAGCTAGTTGCCCAGGCTAGTCTTGGACCCTTGGGCTCAAATGATTCTCCCACCTCTGCCTCCCAGAGTATTAGGATTACAGGCATAAGCCACTGCCCCTGGCCTCCCCAAGTGATTGTGATGGGCCTCTCTGGTTAAGAAACCTCAAAATTAGAGAGGGAGTGGGGTTCAATACTACAGCACAGGACTCAGGGCAAACAGGCCTGGGTTCAGATCCTGGCTGTGCCACTTATGAACTGTGTGATGTTAGGCAAGTTACTTAACTTATCTGAGCCTTGGTTGCCTCTTCTGTAAAAAGGGAGCTAATAGATATCCACTTTTTAGGAGGATTGATATTTTTAAACTGCTTAGAACAGCCCCCAAACATAAAAATATATAAATAAATCCCAACTCATGCCTAGCAGAGGGTGGATAGAGGTTATTTGAGGGCTCTGTCCACTGTACTGGGTGACCCCTTTATGGGGCAGTGGCCTTTGGCCTTTTTAGCTGTATGACTCAGGGGCAAGTCTCATATCTCTTCCATCTCCTGCCCTTTAAACTTGGTGTGAAGTTACCAAGAGCCTCCTCTCCCAACCAGCTGGGACGTGAAACTGTGGGCTCCACTGATCACAAGCAGTGGGGTGAGGTGGGGTGGAGCAGATGTGGCATGTGTCCCGGGCTTCCTGCCTCATGAGGACTCAGCAGAGCTTTCACCCCCAGAAACTGCAAGTTGGGACTTGTCCCTAGGAAAATCCAGTTGCTGCCAAGGTCGTGCAGTCACTCAGCCCTGGAGTCAAGCCAGAGCAGGCAGGTAGGTGCCAGGGCTCCCTCATGGGCAAACTCACTCTCCGTTTTCCCTCTCCTGAAGGGGGAGGAGAGGAGCCAGGTAGACCAGCCACCTTTAATTTTCTTTTTGCCTGCAAAACGGTTTCCTTGGACACAGGCAACACGAGGCAGGGGCTGCCAGGTGTCTAGACTTCAGATCACCTGATGTGCCTGGCAGGATGTGGCTCAGCCTGGGAGAAATCATCCCTTGCGCTGCCCCGCCCGGCCCCTCCTTACCCCTAGGCCACCCGCCTGACGACATCCTTGGGAAAGGCCCTCAGCCTACAGCACCTGTCAGCTGCTGTCTGAAGGAGGTAGTTGGCAGGGGGAAGTGATAGGGGGGAGGCTCAGTAAAACTGAAGGCAGAGAGGAATAATCATACTTCTGTTTTCAATGCACTTCTCTATACGAAGTGCTGCTGGCACGTTACCTACATTAACTCAGTTAATTCTCATGTCTATCCTCTGAGACAGTCACTATTACTATCCCCATTTTATAGATGAGGAAACTAGAGCTCAGACAAGTTAAGTTGCTTGCCCAGGGTCACCTAGTAAAACCTGGACTCCAGCCCAGGTGATCTGGCTCCAGAGCCCTCCTGCTTAACCACCAGGATACAGCCTTTCATTCAGCTCTGTTCTGTCTGCCTTGCTGCATGGACTCTGTGATCAATTTCTTGAGTATGTGTCTGTAGCCATGCTCTTTAAACTTGTACATGGCCCCATTTATGGATGAGGAAACTGAGACCTAGAGACATTAAGTGGCTTTTTAAAGCTTACGTAGTAACTGGCAGAGCTAGGACCACAACCCGGGTGCTTTTTGCCCCAAAGTCCCGGGTACTTTTACTTGGCAGAGCAGGGTTACCCTACTTGGGGATCTGGGTCGGGGGACTTAGGAGGCTGGAGGAACTGTCAGACTGTTTCTTCTTTTGGGAATTGACCTTCTGGCCAGGGCTGCGATTAGGAAACTGCTGGACTCTGGCAATTCACACATATTTGGGGGGCATTCACACCCATGAGGGACACCTCTGGGGGGAAAACAAATTGATTTTAGCTGATAATACCTGGTGGCAAACAGGACCCTGGTCCTTGCTCTTGCAATAGACTTGCCTTTGTTGACATTAGCTTGCCCTTCAGTTGCCTGCTCTCCCAGTGACCTTGGTGTGCCAGGCTGGCTGAGCTCTGCTGGTGGGGGTCAGGCCTCCTGTGGGAAGGAAGCAGGAAGACCAGCTGGAAGGAGTGAGAGAGACCCTCTGGTAGGAAGACGTCACCTGAGGTGACACAGCAAAGCCCGGCCAGGTAACATAGTGTCTAATCTCCGCCGTGACCAGGGCCTTCCTTGTATCTCTGCTGCAGGCGCCATGTCAGAACCGGCTGGGGATGTCCGTCAGAACCCATGCGGCAGCAAGGCCTGCCGCCGCCTCTTCGGCCCAGTGGACAGCGAGCAGCTGAGCCGCGACTGTGATGCGCTAATGGCGGGCTGCATCCAGGAGGCCCGTGAGCGATGGAACTTCGACTTTGTCACCGAGACACCACTGGAGGGTGACTTCGCCTGGGAGCGTGTGCGGGGCCTTGGCCTGCCCAAGCTCTACCTTCCCACGGGGCCCCGGCGAGGCCGGGATGAGTTGGGAGGAGGCAGGCGGCCTGGCACCTCACCTGCTCTGCTGCAGGGGACAGCAGAGGAAGACCATGTGGACCTGTCACTGTCTTGTACCCTTGTGCCTCGCTCAGGGGAGCAGGCTGAAGGGTCCCCAGGTGGACCTGGAGACTCTCAGGGTCGAAAACGGCGGCAGACCAGCATGACAGGTGCGGACATGTGCACGGAAGGACTTTGTAAGGGACCAGGATTCTCAGAATCCATGGTCCAAGGGCTGACCTGTCTGGTCCTGGTCCAGCATGCTCCAGGTAGAAGGAAACAGGCCCAGAGAGGGGAAGCAACCTCCCTGAGGTCACACAGCAAGTAGGCAGCAAAGACCAACTAGCTAACATTTATTGGGAATGTTCATTATGCCAGGCCCTTTGCCAAGCTTCTAAGGTAGATTTATTTAGTCCTTATAGCAATGTTATAACATAAGACATTCTTGTCACCCTGCCCGCCTTTCTTTTTGAGACAGGTGTCTTAACTCTGTTGGCCAGACTGGAGTGCAGTGATACGATCATGGCTCACTGCAGCTTCAAACTCCTGGGCTCAAGCGATCTTCCTACCTCAGCCTCCTGGGTAGCTGGGAAGCTGGGACTATAGTTGTACACCACTACGCCCGGTTAATTTTTTGAGTTTTTGTAGAGACAAGGTCTCACCATGTTGCCCGGGCTGGTCTTGAACTCCTGAGCTCAAGCAGTCCTCCTGCCTCAGCCTCCCAAAGTGTTGTGATTACAGGCGTGAGCCACCATGCCCAGCCCCTTGCCATCCTTTTAGGGCAAGGAAACCAGGCTCAGAGAGGTAGAGTGATTTATCTAAGGTCTCAAAGTGAATTTGCCGTTGGGTCAAGACTAATTATAATAACAACAACTACTGACGTTTATATGGGCCCGGCATTGTGCTGAACACTTTCATGGATTTTGTAACAGAATCCCTAGATCAGCACTGTCCAGTAACTCTGCAGGGATGGGAGTGTCCGGTACAGGGGCCACGAGCCACATACGGCTGTTGTGCATTTGACACACAGCTCATGTGACTGAGGAACTGAATTGTTCATTTTATTTGATTGTAGTCTGTTTAAACAAGCACACAGAGCTAGTAGTGGTTCCTCTGCTGGGCAGCTTGACTTAGAGCAGACCCATGGGTGCGGGTGCGGTGATGGATAAAATCACATCTGTGAAGCATGGTGGGACACTCCATAATACCCCTCAAGAGACAGAGTGGACGTTCCCCGAGTTCTTCCTGTTCTCAGCAGTCGGCCCCATTGGCCCCAGGGAAGGGTGTCCTGGCCCCCCACTGTCTTCCTCAGTTGGGCAGCTCCGCCGCGTCCTCTTCTTCTTGGCCTGGCTGACTTCTGCTGTCTCTCCTCAGATTTCTACCACTCCAAACGCCGGCTGATCTTCTCCAAGAGGAAGCCCTAATCCGCCCACAGGAAGCCTGCAGTCCTGGAAGCGCGAGGGCCTCAAAGGCCCGCTCTACATCTTCTGCCTTAGTCTCAGTTTGTGTGTCTTAATTATTATTTGTGTTTTAATTTAAACACCTCCTCATGTACATACCCTGGCCGCCCCCTGCCCCCCAGCCTCTGGCATTAGAATTATTTAAACAAAAACTAGGCGGTTGAATGAGAGGTTCCTAAGAGTGCTGGGCATTTTTATTTTATGAAATACTATTTAAAGCCTCCTCATCCCGTGTTCTCCTTTTCCTCTCTCCCGGAGGTTGGGTGGGCCGGCTTCATGCCAGCTACTTCCTCCTCCCCACTTGTCCGCTGGGTGGTACCCTCTGGAGGGGTGTGGCTCCTTCCCATCGCTGTCACAGGCGGTTATGAAATTCACCCCCTTTCCTGGACACTCAGACCTGAATTCTTTTTCATTTGAGAAGTAAACAGATGGCACTTTGAAGGGGCCTCACCGAGTGGGGGCATCATCAAAAACTTTGGAGTCCCCTCACCTCCTCTAAGGTTGGGCAGGGTGACCCTGAAGTGAGCACAGCCTAGGGCTGAGCTGGGGACCTGGTACCCTCCTGGCTCTTGATACCCCCCTCTGTCTTGTGAAGGCAGGGGGAAGGTGGGGTCCTGGAGCAGACCACCCCGCCTGCCCTCATGGCCCCTCTGACCTGCACTGGGGAGCCCGTCTCAGTGTTGAGCCTTTTCCCTCTTTGGCTCCCCTGTACCTTTTGAGGAGCCCCAGCTACCCTTTTTCTCCAGCTGGGCTCTGCAATTCCCCTCTGCTGCTGTCCCTCCCCCTTGTCCTTTCCCTTCAGTACCCTCTCAGCTCCAGGTGGCTCTGAGGTGCCTGTCCCACCCCCACCCCCAGCTCAATGGACTGGAAGGGGAAGGGACACACAAGAAGAAGGGCACCCTAGTTCTACCTCAGGCAGCTCAAGCAGCGACCGCCCCCTCCTCTAGCTGTGGGGGTGAGGGTCCCATGTGGTGGCACAGGCCCCCTTGAGTGGGGTTATCTCTGTGTTAGGGGTATATGATGGGGGAGTAGATCTTTCTAGGAGGGAGACACTGGCCCCTCAAATCGTCCAGCGACCTTCCTCATCCACCCCATCCCTCCCCAGTTCATTGCACTTTGATTAGCAGCGGAACAAGGAGTCAGACATTTTAAGATGGTGGCAGTAGAGGCTATGGACAGGGCATGCCACGTGGGCTCATATGGGGCTGGGAGTAGTTGTCTTTCCTGGCACTAACGTTGAGCCCCTGGAGGCACTGAAGTGCTTAGTGTACTTGGAGTATTGGGGTCTGACCCCAAACACCTTCCAGCTCCTGTAACATACTGGCCTGGACTGTTTTCTCTCGGCTCCCCATGTGTCCTGGTTCCCGTTTCTCCACCTAGACTGTAAACCTCTCGAGGGCAGGGACCACACCCTGTACTGTTCTGTGTCTTTCACAGCTCCTCCCACAATGCTGAATATACAGCAGGTGCTCAATAAATGATTCTTAGTGACTTTACTTGTAATATTACTATTGTGGTTATTATACCTTATAAGAACAAATAAATGGGCTTTTGGGAAGGATTTCATAATTAAATAATTTTAAAAATTAAGCATTTAAATTTAGAGAATGCAGAAAACTTAGCAAACAGAAAGACTGCTGCAAAAAACAACAGCAAAACAAAAACTACTGTCACACCTCTGCAAAGATCACCAATGTCAATATTTTGGTTTGTTGTGTAATCTTTTTGTAAAGAATATATTATAGCTTAACATCATTATTCATCAGATAAATGCAAATTAAGATACCACAATAAGATACCACCATACACTTACCAGAATGATTAAAAAAGACTGACAGTGCCAAGCATTGGCAAGGTTATGGAGCAACTGGATCTCTTATTTAAAAAAACTGTTTGGGCCGGGCGCAGTGGCTCACACCTAGAATCCCAGTGCTTCGGGAGGCTGAGGCAGGAGATCACTTGAGGCCAAGGGTTCAAGACCAGCCTGGCCAACATGGTGAAATCTCTACTAAAAATACAAAAATTAGCTGGGCATGGTGGTGCACGCTTGTAATCCCAGCTACTTGGAAGGCTGAGGTGGGAGGATCACTTGAACCCAGGAGGCAGAGGTTGCAGTCAGCTGAGATCATACCACTGTACTCCAGCCTCTTCCAGGGTGACAGTGAGATTCATCTCAAATAAATACATAAATAAAAAACTGTTTGGTAATATCTTCTAAAGATGCCTACCTTCATGGCTACCTCATGACCCAGTAATTCTATTCCTGGACATGTTCTCGAGAGAAATGAGTTCATATTTCCACTGAAAAAGGCATAAGAATGTTCTACACAGTGGCTCACACCTATAATCCCAGCACTTTGGGAGGCTAAGGCAGGAGGACGGCTTGAGCCCAAGAGTGTGAGACCAGTTTGGGCAACATAGCGAGACTCTTATCTCTACAAAAAAAAAAAAAAAAAAAATAGCCAGGCGTGGTGGAGCGTGCCTGTAGTCCCAGCTACCTGGGAGGCTGAGGTGGGAGGATCACTTGAGGAGCTTGGGAAGTCGAGGCTGCAGTGAGCCCTGACTGCACCACTGCACTCCAGCCTGGGCAACAGAGTGAGACCTTGTCTGTCTCCCTCAAAAAGAAAAAAACCAAAAGAATGCTTCCAGCAGCATTATTATTAACAGACCCAAGCTAGAAATAACTGAAATGTCCATAACAGAATAGATATGCAAATTGTGGTATATTTATATAGTGGAAAGTTATCCAACATTACAAAAAACAAGGTGCTGTTGCATGCATCTTCTGGTTGTCTATTCATAATTAACCACCCCAAGACTGAGTGGCTTAAAACAATAATCATTTATTTGCTCCCAACACTGCAATTTGGCCCAGAACTACTTTTCAAATGTGGAATAATTCTCTACTGCACAGGGCAGAGCTTTCTACTAGAATCATAGAGTTCTGAAACGAGACTCTCCCCGCCAGAGGGGACTTCCAGGGACTTCACAACTGTCTACTTATCCACAGATAAAAGTCCAGGACCAGGGAATACACTGGGGCGTGTGACCCAAGTGCTTGTCCCATAGCCTGCACCTGTTTCAGAGCCCTCTCTTGCTCCGGCCGCTGCTTAAACATGGCAGCTTACTAAATCATCCAATAAATGGGCTGGAGTGATCTTTAGTACACTGCCTCTGAAACCCAAATTAAAAAGTGGTAAGAGGGGGGTGGGGGCCTGGGGGAGGGATAGCATTAGGAGAAATACCTAATGTAAATGATGAGTTGATGGGTGCAGCAAACCAACATGGCACATGTATACCTATGTATCAAACCTGCACATTGTGCTCATGTACCCTAGAACTTAAAGTATAATTTAAAAAAAAGAAAAAAAAATGGTAAGAGGTGCAAGATATACTAAGTTGTCCTTTACCACAGAGGGAATGACCCAGCATGCCCCAGTTTATTTGACCACTTAAAACTTTAATGATTTGATAGATCTCTAAATTGTTGTAGGGAAAGTGGATGTGAACCACTTTTGATCCCCTTTCCTGATACGGATTGAAAAGAACACACTTGTCATAGTATTGGCTTCTTACCATCAGAGGCTGTGTAGACTATTCTAGTAAGGATACGGTATCTGATCATGGCTGTGATTAGGGCTGCCCCGTGGATAATCATCAATCACCATGCTTCAGTGGGTTTTTACAGGGGCAGTATGTGGTGGATCCTATGGAGATACTATAGGGACCACCTCAGTATCCTTTAAGTCTCTGAGGGAATCACTAATTTCTACCCACCTGGGATATGCTATTGCTTCTGATTTACTACCTTGACCAGCGGGATAATTTTAGAGACTTCTACTTGGTCTTTCTTTCTATAATGGCTCTTATTCTACAGATGACAGAGAACGTGAGAATGTGGCAGAATGTGAGAGTTCTACTATCTGTGAAGCTATGCATCCCAATTTGTACTCAAGGGCTAGGAAATAACCATAGAGTAGGTCCACAGACTCACTGGGAGATGAGCTTGGCTAGGACTCTATTACCATCTGGCCTTCTATGTCCCCCTCTCTGAAAGGAGGCTATAATGGTGTTTTGGGTCATCTAGAAGCAGTGAAAGCTCAAACCCTTTATCTAACAGACCTCAAATGATCTGGTTATTCCCAGTTCCACACTGTACAGCTATTCCGGTAAATAGCCAGAGGGTGCTTTCGGGAAGAATCAAGGAAACGTTTATTTTATATGTTTATAGTGGCATTACGGATCTTTCTCTTCCATCAGTGCGTCCTGGGTCAGAACTGGCTCAAAGCTGGAAACTAGGTAAGAGATTGCGATTTTCTGTCTCGGCAGCTGACATCAGCCTCTGCTCACTCACCTTGATCTTTTGTGGTTAAGTCAAGCAAGACTCTCATTAAATGCTCACCTCTCTTGCCCTAAGGACACCACTGCTGCAGAGCCCTGCAGACCAAAGACCCCTGGTTAACATTCAGGCCTTGCTGCCTGTCATTATAATTGTGTCCACCTTGCCTCTGATGATTAAGTGGCCCTATGTGGTCTCTGCTCTTCCAGAACCTTAATGTCTCCATCGACAGTGGCCATGGCATTCCATGGGAGTATCTCCTCTGTCAACCTGGGCTATGGAGGACACCCAGCACTGAGCTCCTTTCACTAGGCACTTCTTTATTGCTTTGCAAAGGGAAGGCCTTTTGGGCCCTCGTCTCTGAGCCTTCTAATCCGTCATTAGTACTCTTCCAAGGCTGTTTCAGCATTGCCACCTCACTGTCAGCCATCACTGTGTCTAAACCTTAAGGACCAATTCAGCAGTGTGTTAAGACCAGTTCCAGTGGTCTCGCCAGGATGTTAAATTCTGAGTCAAAGGAAGGGTCCCTCCATAAAACCCTCTTTATCTAGCTTTGTATTCCTCAGCTCCTCCCAGCCCCAGTCCCACATCCTCAAGATCTCCTCCTATATGTGTTTTCCTGTTCCTACTAATATTTGTCAGCCAGACCTGTAGCTTTTTTTTGTGAATAAGCTATTTCCTCCAGCAATGGGGACTATATACTTTCCTGCTTGGGCAATGGTAAGACCTGACCCTAATTACTGGTCTAGAGCAGGGGTAGGCAAACCATAGTTCCATGCACCAGCTGCCTGTTTTTGTATAGAAAGTTTTATTGGAATGCACGCACACTTATTTGTTTACCTGTTGCCCATGGTTGTTTTTGCACTGTCGTTTTAAGTGCAAAAGTAGAATCGAATAGTTGCAACAGAGACCACATGGCCTGCATATCTAAAATATTTACTCTCTTGCCCTTTAAGAAAATGTTTTTTGACCCTGGTCTAGAGGCAGTGAGGAAAGGAGGGAAGGATCTTTAGGAAGATAAGCATCACCTTGTGAGACATCCACCTCAGGTGAGTCATTAGTGTGGTCTTCAGGTTATGGGTGATTGTTCTCTAGTAACGGAAGGAGCCCTTCTGCAGGCCTAGAAGGCTCAAGGAAGCTGAGGGTACAAGCTTCTCAAGTGCGTCTATCCAAATATCTCCATTCAGGTCCTAATGCCCCATTCTTTCCCTATCAGAATTCTGACCCTAGGGTAGTAGGTCTGCTGAGGCTGTGCCTTTAGTCTCTCTTGAAGCTTCACCCCTTTTACAATCAGATCCTGGGCCTGATTTTCAGCACAGCCTACTCTTGGGCCATGAGAGATAAGTGTCATTTAGAATGCTGTTATGGAGTTCTGTCTTCACAACATACCCTGAGTTTTCTTCAAGGTTTCTAGGGCAATTAACAAAAGCCAACCAACCCCATAATCCTTATCATTACTATTGCCCTGTATCTTTCAAGTATTAGACTTACAGTGTAAGTCAGTGTTGCCCCTGAAATTTTACCTGTGCCTCATCCCAATCCACTACACACATTGTGGACACTGTGATGCTGTAGTCTGCCAAGAGTTATCACCACCTTACTCACTACCAGCATTTGGGTCCGCGTTGTCACTTCACTGGTGAGGGATCTGTTTTCAGAAGCCCATCCTGCTTCTGCCATTTCTGGTAACTGTCTTAGTCACCCCCAACCCCCACTCCCCAAACAACTTGAGACAAGGACTTGTGTGCAGGTGGAATGCCTGGGAGGTAGTCCCTGGAGGCACAGCAGGAAAGTAGAGAATGTGAGAAAGAAAAGGAGAAGGCCAATAAAGGTGTCAGTGAACAAGTTCCACTGTGTGCAACTGGGGCTTAAACCTGCTAGGGAGCCTCAAGGAAACCGTGTGGAACACACCCTACAATTTTCTCTCTGGAGTACTCACCTGGCTATCTAGGCTACTTATCTAAGGACACTGTCCATCACTGATAGGGCTGCCTCTAGGGCCTAGTCCAGATTGCTCCTCATGGGGTGGAAGAAATTCCTGTAATGGTGAAGAAAACCAGAGGGATGAAGACATTTGAGGTGGGAAATCATTAGCCTGCCAGGAACTATCTACCAAAGGTTTAGGTGAACACAGATATGGGCCAGATAGTGCCTGAGCTCACGCCCCTAGGAAGTGGTGAGGGGCCAGGATGTCCACGCTGATGACTCCAGATCACACTGCCTGCTCAATACACCAGAAAGGGGAAGTGCCTCACCCAGGGCCACTGCTGCCGTGACAATTCTAAGAGGAGGCTTGCAGGGACCCACCTCTTTCTGTGCACCTCCTCAGTCTTTGATGTAACTTAGGTTTTCTCAATCTTATGTAAAATGCTACCCAAATGCAGCTTTGAAGCAAGCTCCCTGACCCTGGTTTTCTGTGGGATTGCCCACCTGCCTAAGCTCCTTGAGCTATTTTGGAGTCAGTAGCTGGAGGCAGGGAGGCTCAGGTCCTAGCTTGCACATCAGCTCACACTGCAGGGCCCTAGAATGGAGAGTTTGTTGCTTCAGGATTTAACAAGCTGTGAAGAGCTTTCAAGCATCTGTAAGGAATTAAAAATTAGTGAGTGTGAAAACTTTCCTAATTGTAAAACAGTTTCACTGCCCTTGATCCTTGTCCATTGATTCTATTTTTGCAAAACCTAGTTCCGAGCACAGTGTTTTTAAGTTCAGCAACATCGTATTTTTCAGTTAGCTCCATCGTTTCCAAACGTGCCTGGATCTAATTTTTCTCCTAGCGCTTGGTGTGTCCTGGCAGGTTTTTTCCCTGGGGCTGGTGCCAAGGACAAGGCCAGGCTGAGCTCTCAGCACCCGCAGGACTCCTTGGCACTCCGGCTCCACCCGCGAGGGTGTGACCACTCTTGCCTTCCCCATGTCCCTTTTATTTCCATGGTGGGGAGCAGGGCCGGTGAGGGTTGGGGGGCAAATAAACTGAGGATGCCTTGAGATCCTGAGGGCTGGGCCTTAAAAATCCAACCCCACTCTGTTCTCAGAGGAGTGGAGAGAGTCCTTTGCTGCAAAGAAGGTCCTGGACTTGTTGCATTTGCCCAGATAGAGCAGCAAGCCCCGCTGGCCCTATTTTCAGTACATATCCCGAGTCCAGCCACCTTTCATCACCTCCACCACTGCCCTCCGCGGCCAAGCCACTGCCTCTTGTCTGGATTATGTTAACTCCTCATGGGTCTCCCTGCTGCTGCTTTTGCCTAGTACAGCCTCTTCTCCAGAATGAAAGCAGCGGGGGGATCCCTTTCAAACCTAAGTCGGTTCATGTCGCCCTCCAAATGGGCCCATATGGTCTCCGGGTCCTGCCTGTTTCCTCTGTCTCCATCTCCGCCCATCCTTCCCTCTCCCGCGTGCTCCCACCATGGAGCTCTCCTCGTTGTTTCTCTTGCACACAAAGCGTGCTCCTGCCTCGGGGCCTCGGCACTCACCGTTCCCTCCCCCTCGAACCTCTTCTTCCAGATCTTCTTTCTCACATGTCCTTTCCAACATCACCTCCTCAGGCCTCCCCTGAGCACCTCATCTAAAATACACCTCACACCACCATTCTAGCCCTTCAGTCTACTTTGCTTTTCTTCAAAACAATTACCACTGTTTGGCATTATATTACATATGGCTTTTTTTACCCTACATTTTTCTACATTTTCATATTCTATATTTTCTATATTTTGTATTTCGTAGCACAGTGTCCAGCACCTAGAAGTGCTTAATAAACATTTGTTGAATAAATAAGCCGGGTGCGGTGGCTAGTGCCTGTAATCCCAGCACTTTGGGAGGCCGAGGCAGGTGGATCACTTGAGTCCAGGAGTTCCAGACCAGCCTGGACAACATGGTGAAACCCCTATCTCTACGAAAAATACAATAATTAGCTGGGTGTGTTGGTGCATGCCTATAATCCCAGCTACTTGGGAGGCTGAGGTGTAAGGATCTCTTAAGCCCGGGAGGCTGTAGTGAGCTATGATTGTGCCATTGCACTCCAGCCTAAGCAACAGAGTGAGGCCCTGTCTCAAAAATAATAATAATAATAAATAAATGAGTACCTTATTTAGTTCAATAAAGCCTCAGAAACTCTCTGAGTATCAATTTCCTCAGATAGTTGGTTGTGAGAATATTCATTTATTTAGAAATTAAATTTAATAATTTTTAAAACTTTTTGTTTTGAAATAATCTTATACATCCAGAGAAGTTGCAAATATAGTAAAATAATCCCCATATACCCTTTACCATTGTTCCTAAATGTTAACATTTTACCATGTTTCCTTCATCAGTCTCTCTTTGTATATGTACATACTATTGTTAAGTTTCTTTTTGAATAGGTAATGTATACAGATAGTACACAACATAAAATACATTAAAAGTAAACAGTGAAACATAAATCTGCCCCCTCCTCCATCCCAACACTTCTATCCAGCCCAAATCTGACTAGTTTCTTGTATATCCTGTCAGAAATGTTCTATGCATTTACAATCATATATGAATGTGTGTGCTTATCTATTTTTTTCTTTTTTTGAGACAGGGCCTCATTCTGCCGCCCAGGCTGGAGTGCAGTGGTACAATCACGGCTCACTGCAGCCTTGACCTCCAGGGCTCAGGCGATCCTCCCACCTTAGCTTCCCGAGTAGCTGGTACTACAGACATGCGCCACCACGCCTGGCTAATTTTGTTTATTTTTTATAGAGACAAGGTTTCACCTTGTTGCCCAGGCTGGTCTTTAACTCCTGGGCTCAAGCAATCTGCCTGTCTCAGCCTCCAAAAGTGCTAGGATTACAGGTGTGAGCCACCTCACCTGGCCTGTATTAGTCCATTTTCACACTGCTATAGAGAAATACCGGAAACTGGGTAATTTACAAAGGAAAGAGATTTAATTGACTCACAGTTCCATATGGCTGGGGAGGCCTCAGGAGACTTACAATCATGGCGGAAGGTGAGGGGAAGCAAGGACCTTCTTCACATGGCAGCAGGGGAGGAAAGTATATAAGCACAGGAAAAACTGCCATTTATAAAACCATCAGCTCTCTTGAGAATTCACTCACTGTTACGAGAACAGCATGGGGGAAACTGCCCCCATAATCCAATCACTTCCTTCCTTTGACACATAGGGAGTATAATTCAAGATGAGATTTGGGTGAGGACATAAAACTTAACTATATCACGGCCCTTATCTATTGCATATATTTCATACACACACATACACTTTTTTCTTCATAAAAAGCACACTATCCTCACTGTTCTGCACCTTACTTTTTTCATATGACACAATATCTTGAAGGTCATTCCATATCACTCCACCTGGATCTTTCTCATTTTCTTCACGGTGCAGAGTATGCCAATGTTCGGATGTATCAGAGCTCATTTAACCAGCTCCCTACTGATGGAAATTTAGATCATTTCCAATCCTTTGCTACCACAGACAATACTGTAATGAGTATCCTTCCATACTGTCATATTGTATATCATCTGTGGAATCAATGACTGAAAGTGAAATTGCTGGGTAGAAAGATTTTTGCATTTTAAATGTTGACAGATATTATACACTTCTTTTCATAAAAGTTGTACCAGTTTATATTCCTGCCAATAATGTGTGAATGTGTTTCCTACATCCTTTATGACATAATATATCACTTTTTGGATCTTACTAATTGAATAGCTGAAAATGATGTCTCGGTGTAGTTTTATTTTTTATTTTTACCCTCATCTTCTTTGTGATGGTACGTAGTTTTATCTTTTATTTCTCTTATTATATTTTTATAAACAGAAATGTTTACTTTTATAAATATTTTTCATATGTTTAAATCCATTGATATTTATTTTTCCATGAATTGTTTATTCACATATGGTGCCAATTTCTCTAATGCATTATTGGTCTTTCATTGATCTGCAGGAGTTCTTTACAGAGGGAGGAAATTAACTTATTTTCTATGATACGTAAGTATTTTTTCAGAGTTTGCCTTTTGACTTATCAGTGGTGACCTTTTTTTGCCATTCAGTTTTATTTATTTTTAAAAAGTTTCCGTATGGTTGAATGGCTCAATATTTTCTTTTGTGGCTTCTAATGCTTTGTGATATATCTGGAAAGGCCTTGCCTAATCCAAGATTATTTAAAAATTATCCCATGATCTCTTTCTTCCTTTTTTTCTTCTTTCTCTTCTTCTTCTTCTTCTTCCTCCTCCTCCTCCTTCTTCTTCTCCTTCTTTATTATTATTATTTTTTAATGGAGACGGGGTCTCACTATGTTGTCCAGACTGGTCTTGAATTCCTGGGCTCAGGCGATCCTCCTGCCTCAGCCTCTCAGAGTGCTGGGATTACAGGCATGAGCCACCACACCCAGCCTATCCCATGACAGATCTATCTTTCCTTCCTTCCTTCCTCTTTTTTTCTTTCTTTCTTTCTTTCTTTCTTTCTTTCTTTCTTTCTTTCTTTCTTTCTTTCTTTCTTTCTCTTTCTTTCTTTCTTTCTTAGTTTCTTTCTTCTTTCTTTCTTTTTTCTTTCTTCTCTTTCTCTCTCTTTCTTTCTCTCTCTTCTTTCTCTTTCTCTTTCTCTCTCTTCCTTCTTCCTTCCTTCCTCCCTCCCTCCCTCCCTCCCTTCCTTCCCTCCTTCCTTCCTTTTCTTTCCTTCCTTCTTCTGCAACCATGGCAAATGAACTATGCCATGATTTCTTATGGCATTTGTTCAAACATACAGAAAAGCAGAAGAACATAATGAGCCTGCAGTACCCTCATTAACTCCAGCAGGGATCAGAACAGGTCCAGAGCCAGTCTTGTTTCATCTATGTCCTACCTATTCTCCACACTCTTCAATAATTTTGAAGTAAATCCCAAACAACATATAATTATGTGATTTTGATTTTTAAAATGCTTATGTCTTTTATCCATCTGGAATGCTTTTAGAGTTAGAGCTCTTTGTTTTTTGCAGATACCTAGCCCATTCTCCCAACATAGTTTATTGAATAAACCATCTCTTCTCCAATGATTTGAAGTGGTGCCTTTATGATACACTAAATCCCCACAAATATTTGAGTCTATTCCTGTCCCACAAATATTTGAGTCTATTTCATTATTCTGTTCCACTGATTCATCTGTCTATAGTCATGCTCCAATTCCACACTGTTCTGATGGTTGTAGCTCTACAGTGTATTTTGGTATCAGACTAGATTGTTCCCTAAAAGGTGGTTTAGATATAAAGCCTCCCCTGAGGCTCAAAGACACTGTCTGAGAGTGAGGGCCTGAAGTGAGGCAGGATGGGCAGTTCTCCCGGGGCATCCCATACACTTAGCTTCAGCCACGGCTGTGCCCATCAACCTGCTGCTGTCTGGGATAAGGCATTGCCTTGGCAACCAGAGACTGAGGCCCAGTCCTGGCTGTGCCACTAAGGGCTGGGTGATCTTGAGCAGTCCATCTCACTCTTTGGAGCCTCTGCTTAGGAGGGCCTCCCTGCCAGCTCCAGCATTCTCCACTTCAAGACACCAATCAGGGCAGGGATGCCTGGGGGTGCCAGGCAAAATTGTGAAAGGGCCGCCAGTGGTCGCTTCCACAGGAAGTCCTGTAGATGAGCACAGGAGATTGGCTCGCTGGGGAACGGAAAGGGAGATTAAGCAAGACAAGACTGTTAACAGTTCTAGAGCTCGTGGGCTCCGCAGGGCAGCAGTCACCCTACCACCAGGTCCCAGAGCCCAGGGCTGTGTGTTCCACTGGGAGCCTTTGAGAGGTAGGAGCCATCCCAAGGTTGCAATGCTTCTTTTTCTTTGGAAGGATGAGGATGGGGGAGGGAGCTGGGGTCCCTGTTTAACTTCTATGTCAAGGGTGCAAAAGGCAGAGCCCTCTTTTCTCCTGCATTTGGAGCTCTCTGCATGGTCTAAGGGAGGGGATGGGAAAGCACTTGGGCAAGAGGCTGGGGTACATCACTACCCGTAAATGGCTGTGTGACCTAGGGCAAGTCACCTGGTTTCTCAGAGCCTCAGTTTCTCTGTTAGTTAGGAGAGGAGGAGTGAGGATAAGTAGACTGGAACAAGACACTAGGTGGTCTCTCAGGCCCACTGACTTGGACCACTGGGGTTTAGCGACTGTGGCTATTATTTACAGCTATTGAAGCCAGCCAAGTGGAGAGCAGACCCAGTTCTGAGCGCCCTTTGGTGAGACAGTGATGGATACCCGGAGGCCCCAGGCAGGGCCCATGCCAGGTTGTAATCTGCTGCTGCCTGCTGCCCCACCCCACTCTTCTTCTCTGGCTTCCACTTCCTGGTGGGCAGCCTGTGGTGCCTGCTGCCTAACAGAATACCACGGTGGTAGTGGATTCCCGCAGGTGCTTGGGAGTGGGATTCATTTGCTCTCATGTTTGGCTTCAAGTTTTATGCGATTTCTTAGGTGAGGGATGTGGGGAGAGGTGGTCATGCTGAGGGGCTATATGTGTGTCCTAGCCATGAAGGGGTCCCCCACTCTTAAGGACGTGAGGCATGAGGATGCACTAAGGGGAAAGTGGTGGAGGAGAAGGGCGCTGGCAGGGTGGCCCTGCCAGCTGACTCGGAGGGATGTGTGTGCTGGGCGACGGCATTTGCACATGCAGAATGGAATGATGGAATGGCCGTGAGGGGTGCTGTGTCTGACTGAGAGGCTGATGGTGAGGGATTGGAGGGTGAGGATGATGGCCAAGGAGGGTGTGTGTGCGTGCACGTTTGCACGTGTACATTTGTGGATTGACTGAAGGATGTCCTTGCTGTCTCTGAGGGACCAGGCCTGGCCTAGAAGGGACACAGACTGTTTTTAGGTTGTGCTGTCAGGCCGTGGGGGTGCTGTCAGGGATCTGAATGTGAAGGCACGAGGGGTGAGTGCACCATCCCACCTGATGGTGACAAGTGACTGATTTTGAGGTGGCGATGGCTGGAGGGCACCTGCTGCCTTCCTGCCCCAGGCCACCTGTCAGGCAAGGAGCGGGTGGCTGAGTACCCCTCCTGGGAGAGAAGGATTGACTGGCAGAGAGGGCAGATGCTGAGGTGGGGCAGGCGAGGTGTCTGGAAGGTGCTATTTTCTTAAAAAATGCCAGGGGACTGCTGGAAATGGGCTGTGGAGGTGTAGCTTGGCTAGGAACTCCCAGAAAGGAAAGTCAGGAATGCCACATGTCCTAGGATGTGGCTGCAGGGAATTTCTTCCAGGATTCTAACATCCTACACCTGTGGGAGCCCGGCAGGCTGCGATGTGACACTCACATCACAGTGGACTTTGCTTCTGGAGGCTTCTGCACAGGGAATCTTATCTTGCTCCCTTGGCCGTGTTAGCTCCATTGCCGGAAGTACATGAGACATTGGGCGTCACCACAGGAGCCAAGCCTGTCAACGCCCACCCCGTTCCAAAGCCCTTGTCCCACTCAGGGCTACTCCACTGGGTGTTTGTCATCCCCAGAGGGGCCTTCTGCCCAGGGAAGAGCCACCTCTGTAGCCTTGGGGAAGTCCATCCCATGACCAACCAGAAGAGCAGAGTCTGGTGTAGTTCTACCACTGACATCATGGCTGGGGCAGGTCACTCTGCCTCTTGGAACCTCCCTCAGTTTCCTCATCTGTCAAATGGGATCAATTGTATCTGCATGGAACCTGGCTTTTATGTGCCTCAAATAGAATTCACCTTTATCAATATCATCACCACTGTTGTCATTGCTACCTTTACCTGGTAGTCACTGATACCAAGCGCACTCCTAAGTGGCTTTATGTGGATCATATATTCAGCAAATATTTGCAGAGTACCAACTGTGTGCCAAGCGCTGTTCTAGGCTCTTGGGATAGAACAGTGAACAGAATGGTCATCTCCCTACTCACGTGAGGCCTCTATTTCAGCATGAGGAGAAGGAAAATTTACAACAAAAACGAGCAAAAGGCTCTCTATTCTGGGAAGGTGACAAGTGCTAAGAGAAAGTGAAGCTGGAAAGGGAGGTGGGCCATGCTGGGGAATGGGAACTGATGTTTCAACTTTAATTATCTTGCTTAATCCTCGCAGCATCCCCGTGGGAGAGATATTAGTCCTAAGTTTCCAGTGAGGAAACTCAGGCACAGAGATGCTGATTGACTTCCCTAAGGTTGCACAGCCCATGGGCAGCAGAGCTGGGAGAAGCAGAGGTCTGTCTGACTTCACAGCAATGGGACTGGAAGTCACTTTCTCTTGTGAGCCTCCTTTTCTGCATCTCCAGGTCACGAGAGTGGGACTGACCCTCATAGTTCTGAGGCTCAGTGAGTCTTTCTTTTAATTTTACTTTTTTATTTTTTTGAGACAGAATCTCACTCTGTCGCCCAGGCTGGAGTGCAGTGGTGAATCATAGCTCACTGCAGTTTTGACCTCCTGGGCTCAAGTGATCCTCCCATCTCAGCCTCCCAAGTAGCTAGGACTACAGGCACCCCACCATGCCCAGCTAGTTTTATTTTATTTTGTAGAGACAGGGTCTCGCTATGTTGCCCAGGCTGGTCCTGAACTCCTGGGCTCAAGTGATCCTCTCGCCTCAGCCTCCCAAAGTACTGGGATTACAGGCCACCACGCCCAGCTTATTTTGTTGTTGTTGTTTTGTTTATTAATCCCCTTCTATGCTACAGGGAGTCTTTCTTTGAGTGTAACCTGCAAGGCTGGAACTGCCAGGCCAAACCCCATTAGCCACTGAAGAAGGGTCATAGGCCCATGGAGGGAGGGGGCTCCCCTCTTAGGGGGGATGGGGAATGGAGATAGATGGTGTCTTTCTAGGTGTGGAAGGCCTCTAGGCCCAAGAAGGGGTATCTATGTGGTCACTGTTTCCATGGAGCAACATGGGATGAATTAGGGGTGAGAGATACCGCGTGAAGGCCAGTTAGATTAGCATGGGGACTTCCCTATTCTAACCCGTAGAATCTTATTCCTCATTCTTGGCTTTTTTGCCTCCCTGCTTTTTATTAGAAAGACTTTTTTTCTGAGACAGTGTCTCACTCTGTTGCCTAGGCTAGAGTGCAGTGGTGCAATCTTGGCTCACTGCAACCTCTGCCTCTTGGGTTCAAGTGATTGTCCCACCTCAATCTCCCTAATAGCTAGAACTTCAAGCACACGCCACCATGCCTGGCTAATTTTTTGTTTTTGATAGAGATGGAGTTTCATCATGTTGCCCAGGCTGGTCTCAAACTCCTGGCTTCAAGTAATCCACCCCGTTGGCCTCCCAAAGTGTTAGGATTAGAGGTGTGAGCCACTGTGTCTGGCCGTGATATTTTCTGAGTCTCTTCAGTTGTCTGTTAGAACATTCCACATTCTAGGGGACCATGAATCAGCAGAGGAAGTGGGTTGAGAGCCCAGTACATATCCTAAGCAAGGTTGGGCACTATGAGGGCATCAGGGTTAAGTATAATCTCTCCTGCCCTGGAGCTCACTGCTAAGCTATGTCACCTCCCCCAGGAAGCCCTCTCTGACACCCTGATCAGTGAGTTGCTCCTTTTTCAGTGCTCTCCCAGCACCTGACACACAGGTATGCTGCCCCTTCTGTGCTGCACTGTAATTATGTTTGTGTCTCCTGCATGAGGCTGTGAGGACCCCTAGGGGAGAACAGGAGTTAGTCACACCTCTACCTGCAGGGCCAGGGACTCTGCTGGGGTGTACAAGGTGTGTCCTGCACAAGGATGCCCAGCCAAGGGGGTGCATGGGGACTGGAATCCAGCCCACATTCCACTTGTCAAACCATGAGCCCTGGCACTGGGCTGTGTCTGCCAGCAGGAAGTACCTTTTCCTAATTCACTTAAAGGAAACATATGGATTGCAGCGGGCCTGCTTAGCACTGTACCGGCATTCAGTTGGCGCTCGGTAAATGGTTGTTGCTTATGTGCATGATAGAGGGTGGGAAGGGTTGGGGCAGATGAAAGTCTTCAGAAGAGGTGTGCTGGTGACTATTCTTTGGTGGGGGCAGGAGACCTGATTCATGGCATTTGCTGATTCCCATGGTGCCAATACTCCCACAGTGGCTGATGCCAAGCTGCTGGGATAGGAAGGGGTGTGCACAGTCAGCCCTCACAAGCCCCTAATAGTGGACTCCAGCTCACCACTGCGGTTTTACATTTATGATCTTAAAACTTCATCTGAAACAGACTTCGAAGGGGGAGAGAGAGAGAGAGAGAGAGAGAGAGAGAGAGAGAGAGAGAGAGAATGTACTTCTGTTTGAAGTTTGGGGCCTCCTAAGGATGAGAGATTGCTTCATCCAGTTCTGTGCAACCTGTGCCGTTCCCCTTGGGAAGCTTGCCCAAGGGGAGGCCGTGGAATGACCCCCTGGAATGAGCCCATGAGGCCTAAAGCAGAGCCCTCTAACCACTCCACCCAGCCTGTCTGTGGCCTTCGGCCTCAACAGAGAATGCCCAGGGGAGATATCTATTCCATCTCCTGGGCATGAGCCTTACTATTCTGCCTCGATTCCTTCACACACACTGTTTACTGCTTCCAAATCCTACATGCCTCCTGCAGAACCTGCACAAGCCCCACCACTTGCAGGAAGCTGCCCTGTCTGTCTGGACATCAAGTCCTTCTCATCCCATAGCTTTATGGGCCCCAGACTTGTTCCCGCAAAGCAGGCTCAGACTTTATCCCTTTCAAACCACAGCCTCTCTTTTCCTCACCCCAGGGGCCTCACCTGGATGAATCCCCAACCATCAAAATCCTTATCAATTGACTGAACTAAGACATTCAGTGACAGGTGAATGAACAATGAATTTGACACCCCTTACTTGAGCACTTGACATGTGCTAAGGGGGCGGGGAGCAGTATGGACCTAGATAAACAGTGATATCCACAGCTGGGGCAGCATGGGGCCTGCCTTAGTCTGTTTTGTACTACCGCAGATACCATAGAATGGGAAATTTACATAGAGCAGAAATTTATTTCCTCATCCTTCTGGAGGCTAGAAAGTTCAAGATTAAGGAGGTAGAATCTGGCGTGGGCCTTCTTGTGGTGTCTTCCCATGGTGGAAGGCAGAAGGACGACAGGGAGCACGAGGGTCTGAGTCCATCTTTTAACAAGGAACTCATTTTTACAATAATGGCATTCATCCATTCATGAGGACGGTGCCCCCATGACCCAAACAATTCCCATCAGGCCCCATCGCCCAACACTGCTTCACTGGGGATCAAGTTTCCAACACATGAACTTTGGGGAACACATTCAAACCATAGCAGGGTTGCAGACAAGGGGGCACTGAGCCCAGCTTGAATGCAGGGGTGACTGCAGGGAAGGCTTCTTGGAGGAGGCAGCCTGTAAGGTGAGGAAGCAAAAGGTATTAACTATGTAAGGGAGTGAGAGAGTTGAGGAGTTTGGGGCAAAGGGAGCAGGGTGGGAGGGAATCAGGAATTCCAGGAACCATGAGTGGTTCAGTGGTGTTGCCATGGACCCCAAGGGCACAGGGGTGGGGTGGATGAAGCTGAGGCCATGTCACGTGGGGCCCTAAGAGCCGCATAGGGGTGCTACTGATTCCATGCTGCGTGTGTCGAAGGACTAGAGACATGGTGCTGGAGAGAAAAGGCTGGAGGAGAGGTGAGGCTGACAGGGGAGGAGGTGTCGGTGGAGGGATCCCTGACGCAGCTGAGATGAGTTAATGAGCAAGAAGAGTCATCAGAGAGATGGCTCAGAAGCTGCTTATGGCCCTTCAGACAGCTAGATCCTGGAAAACCCTGTGTAACCACCCTCCAGGTCAAAACACGAGATAGATTCTGCGTGCGGTGAATAGGATATATTCTCTAATGGTCGGAGAAGACTTTGATAGTTGAGTAGTAGCCTGAAGAGATGAGGGCAGGTGGGTAGCTTGGAGAAGGGCATTCCAGGTAGAGGGAACTTAGAAAGGGCAAAGGCGTTGAGCAGAATGGACGAGAGGCCATGAGGCGGCTGGGCGACGAGGTCAGAGGACCCGGCGGGACACCATCAGGCCGGGCTTTGGCAGCCACAGTGGATTTTCTTCCAAGGGTGATGGGAGCCAGGGGAGGGTTTTGAGCCATGAGAGGGCGTGACTGTCCAGCAGCCCGGTGCCCCTCACTCCTCTGTCCCCAGGGCCAACGCACCATGGAGACTGGACAGAGAACATCTCGAAAAGTCCGGAAGCTGGGCTCCAACCGGCGGCGGCAGACAAGAGAGCCAGCTGATGGTGAAGGCGCTGCAGTGGCCCCAGAGCCAGAGTCTTGGTCCTCTCAGGCAGCGGCAGAACTGCAGGCCTTCTTCCAGGACTGTGGTGCCAAGGAGAGGGGCTTTGTCACCCGCGAGGACCTGGCGGTGAGCCCAAGACCCCCATTTGAATGCTGAATCCCTTTTCCGCAGCTCCTGACACCCCCTCTCCCCCATCACAGGAAGGCAGGGCTTGCTACCCCTGCCCCTTTCTCTCATTTAGAGCTCTCAGAAAACGCTAGGGATGTGTTTATACTAATGTGAAAATGACAGGTAAGGCTTTATGTGTTGCCCTTTTCCAGAAACATTTGTCATTTAACCAGCGAAAGTACTTTAAGCCAAAGAAGTAATTTGCAAATGGTATAATTTTAGACTCATTAAGCAAGGACATTTATCTTGGGAAGCAGTCAGAGCCCTGGAAGTCAAACCATGTCAATGACTGTAAACTTCAATGAAATATAAGATCAGCCATGGTTGTGTGTCCCCATAAAGAGTCTTAGGGTGGCCAGGTGTTGTGGTTCATGCCTGTAATCCCAGCACTTTGGGAGGCCGAGGCGGGCGGATCACTTGAGGTCAGGAGTTCGAGACCAGCCTGGCCAACATGGTGAAACCCCGTCTCTACTAAAAATACAAAAATTAGCCAGGCATGGTGGTAGGTGCCTGTAATCCCAGCTACTTGGGAGGCTGAAGCATGAGAATTGCTTGAGCCTGAGGAAGTGGAGGTTGCAGTGAGCCAAGATCACACCACTACACTCCAGCCTGGGTGACTCCATCTCAAAAAAAAAAAAAAAAAGAAGAATGAGGGAACCAGTAAGATGTTATGACTGGTTCAAAGAGCGTTTGAGAAGCCAGCAATTTGACAGAAAACTATTAGGATAAAATTACGGAGTTCAATTCTTAAAATGGCTAATATCTAACAGGCCATCAATCTTTCAGGCTATCTGTTCTACTAGTAACTTCAGTAATTTTGGGGATTTTCATGAAAGGTAAACAATGTGTTGTGCTAGCATTCTTTTTGCCTCATATCCAAGTTCCAAGTTTCAGATTTCCTCCCTCCCTCCCTCCCTCCCTCCCTTCCTTCCTTCCTTCTCAGCTCGATCTCAGAGGCACGATCTCAGCTCACTGCAAACCTCTGCCTCCCAGGTTCAAGCGATTCTCCTGCTTCAGCCTCCCAAGTAGCTGGGATTACCTGCACCCACTACCACGCCTGGCTAGTTTTTGTATGTTTAGTAGAGACGGGGTTTCACCATGTTGGTCAGGCTGGTCTCGAGCTCCTGACTTCAGGTGATCCACCTGCCTCAGCCTCCCAAAGTGCTGGGATTACAGGCATGAGCCACCGCGCCCGGCCAGATAATTTTTCTGTGATCATAGATAATCTCCAAAATTTTCTTGATGTATAAAAGGCTGCTGTCATTACATTGGCTTATTTCCATAGGAGCAACAAGGATGTAATTAAATGTGAGTCTCTGAATTTGCCCTACAAACAGAGACAGTATTGAGACATTTTAGCTTCTGTCTGGACGCTTTCATACAGAATCTTATGTATGAAATTTGGATTTATGTTGGATTTTTTTTTTTTTTAAGAGATAGGATCTCACTCTGTTACCCAGGATGGAGTGCAGTGGTGCAATCATAGCTCACTGCAACCTCAAGCTCCTGGGCTGAAGCGATTCTCTCACCTCAGGCTCCCAAGTAGCTAGGACTAAAGGCACAGGCCACTACGCCTGGCTGATTCTTAAATTTTTTATAAAGATGAGGTCTTGCTATGTTGCCCAAGCTGTTGTCTAACTTCTGGCCTCAAGCAATCCCCCCACCTCAGGTTTCACACCTGCTGAGATTACAGGTGTGAGCTGCCATGCCCAGGCTGGTTGGACTTTTAAAAATCTGTAGTTTGTTCTATTGAGTGACCAACTGCTCCAGTTTTCCAAGGACTAATGGGGTACCTGGGATGTGGGACTTCGAGTGCTAAAATTGGAAAGTCCTGGGCAAACTAGGATGAGTTGGTTACCCAACTTCTGTCCTAAGGCTAGAAAAGGAATCCCAAGATATTCTCTTCACCAGATGTCACCTGCATCACCTGTAAATTTAAATGGCTTCCTGTCTTCTTGAGGTCCCTGATTTTTCTAAGGTCCCTCTTCTGCCAGGAAGCAATCCCTGTCGTTCCAGGCCAGCTTCCTGGTAGGGTTTTGTAGGAAGTAGCTCCATGAGCATTCCTTATAGTAGGCTTGTCACACCTGATTAAATGAGGACATCCCATAAAAAGACACTCCAGGTAAGGCCTTGATTGCACAATTGATTTATCCAATTATATCTTGATAAAAAAGGAGGACAGATTCTGTTGAACCTGTGCAAATAATTATATTGCCATAGAAAGTAAGGAGAGTCTGTAAAAGTAATTTTTTTTTTTTTTGAGACAGGGTCTTGCTCTTTCACCTAGGCTGGAGTGCAGTGGTGCGATCTTGGCTCATTGCAACCTCCGCCTCCTGGGTTCAAGTGATCCTCTCGCCTCAGCCTCTTGAGTAGCTGGGACTACAGGCCTGCGCCACCATGCCCAGCTGATGTTTTGTATTTTTTATAGAGGCAGGGTTGCGGGTTTCTCCATGTTGCCCGGGCTTAAAATTATTGGTTTCTGAATTGTGAGGGGGTCAGTGAGATTCAGATACCACTTGAAATGTTGAATATCAGTTTACAAAAGTATAATCTGGCAGGGCATGGTGGCTCACGCCTGTAATCTCAGCATTTTGGGAGGCTGAGGTGGGCAGATCACCTGAGATTAGGAGTTCCTGACTAGCCTGACCAACATGGTGAAACCCCGTCTCTACTAAAAATACAAAAATTAGCCAGGCGTGGTGGCTATTTTCTGTATTCCTAGCTACTTGGGAGGCTGTAATGTGTGTCTGTAATCCTAGCTACTTGGGAGGCTGAGGCAGGAAAATCACTTCAACGTGGGAGGCGGAGGCTGCAGTAAGCCGAGATCAAGCCACTGCACTCCAGCCTGGGTGACAGCAGAGTGAGGCTCTGTCTCAAAAAAAAAAAAAAGTATAATCTACTAAACTGAGGGTTAGAGACAGCTCAAGAAGACCAGGAAAGAGCTTCCTTACAGATCTATTAAAGTAGAACAATAAAAAATAATATCAACTATATTGCCCACAAAGAGCCATAACTAGATTTCCTTTGGCTGTTCAATCAACACCATGTAATCAATTATTGTTCTGCCGGATCTTGGGTAAGCTGTCTGCTTTTGGACTCAAAAGAGTTGTAGGAATCCTCAGTCTACTAGCTCAGTCAAAAGGACATCCAGTGTCAGCTTGGAAGCCTACACCCAAGTGAAGCATAAATAGTTCATCGAACCTGGTACAGTCCTTTTTCTCTAGACTTTGAGTGTGTTTTTCTTTGTTGAAGATGCAGTCTGTGGCCTGCAGCTTATAGCAGAGGCTTCAGGCAGGCATTGGAAAGGAGAAACATGTCCAGTAATGACACTGAAAGGCTGTGGTTATGTATTACACTACCTAATAATATCAGAACGGAGGACAGTGGAATTCTCTCCTGGGGTACAATGCACAACTATTTCATAATGGTTTGATCAGTTTTTCCCCTGAAGATAAAAACATACTGCCTGTAATACCAGGACTTTGGGAGGCTGAGGCAGGAGGATCACTTGAGCCCAGAAATTCAAGACCAGTCTGGACAATATGGAGAGATTCCATCCTATAAAAAGGTTTAAAAAATTAGCCAGGTGTGGTGGTGTGCACCTGCAGTCCCAGCTACTTGGGAGGCTAAGGTGGGAAGATTGCTTGAGCCTGGGAGGTCAAGGCTGCAGTGAGCCATGATCACGCCACTGCACACCAGCCTGGGAGGCAGAGTGAGAACCTGTCTCAAGAAAGAAAAAAAAAAAAGAACATATTATAAATAGCAAAATCATTGAAAAATCTCCAGGGCCTTCACATAAAGCATGCAATTTCTGAAATATTGATATTAATAGCATTTTACCTATGAAAATTTAGCCTAGGAAAGCCTGAACATCTCTTCTGATTTGATTGCTCTTCCCATGATGATCTTGTAATAGTGTTGAAGTATTTAAAACATATAGAGAAAGATATCTTAAAATTTTTATTGTATTTTTTTCTAAATTTAGGATCTGATCTTGGGAAGGCAAAATCAAAAGAACGGTTAGAGAAGATTTAGGCACTAGATTAAGACGTCATGGGAGACCAAGAAATATTACTTTGTTATCTATTTAATCGAAGTAATAATAAAATAAAATATTTTGAAATAAACATAGAAGAAGGTAATATGATTACAAGAGTAGATAGCTTTTTTATAAGGGAGATACCTTTGCTTTTTGTTTTTTAAAATAAGATATAATAAGTTCAAAACAAAGCAGAGGAAATGATTCTGGGGAGATAGATAGGGAATCTCTGTTATCTGGGAGGCTTACACAGAAGCTAAACAGTAGCCTCTTTTTAACCCTTGCTAAGAGCTCTAAGACCAATTTATTATTTTAGTAGAGATAAAGATAAATTCTAGTTTTGCTTTAATAGAATATGTGGCCATAAAATTTTCATGAGTTTTTATTATTTCTTTTTACTTATTTTTATTTATTTATTTTTATTTTTATTATTATCATTTGAGACAGTTTCACTCTTGTTGCCCAGGCTGGAGTGCAATGGCGTGATCTTGGCTCACTGCAACCTCTGCCTCCTGGGTTCAAGCGATTCCCCTGCCTCAGCCTCCTGAGTAGCTGGGATTACAGGCGCCTGCCACCACCTCTGGCTATTTTTTTTTATTTTTATTTTTAGTAGAGACGGGTTTCACTATGTTGACCAGGCTGGTCTTGAACTCCTAACCTCAGGTGATCCACCCGCCTCGGCCTCCCAAAGTGCTGGGATTACAGGCATGAGCCACTGTGCCAAGCCTATTTATCATCAATTTTTAAGCCCATTAAAACTGGGCCAAATTTGGCAAAATGTTAATACATTTCATAGCTTATTTTCAGACTCAGGCATTATAAATCAAGGCAAATAAAATTCTCTTTCAGTAAACTTTCTACGACATTCTATATCCATTCAAGTTTTGCCTTTTTATCCTTTTTCATGTTGTAGAATAACCAGACAATTTCACACAACAGTGCATCCCATTTTCCTTGCAGACAAAGTTTTGTTTGTCTGTCGCTATAGCTCCTAGTAAAGCCTCAAGCATCTGTAGTTAATTGAACTGTTGTTGTTGTTGCCGTTGTTTTGAGACAGGGTCTTGCTCTGTTGTCCGGGCTGTAGTGCAGTGGCGCAATCTCAGCTCACTGCAACCTCCGCCTTCTGGGTTCAAGCTATTCTCATGCCTCAGCCACCCAATTAGCTGGAATTACAGACGCCCGCCACCATGCCAGGAGGATTTTTTCTGTTTTTAGTAGAGACAGGGTTTCACCATGTTGGCCAAGCTGGTCTCGAACTCCTGACCTCAAGTGATCCACCTGCCTAGGCCTCCCAAAGTGCTGGGATTACAGGTGTGAGCCACCATGCCCAGCCTGTATTAATTGCACTTTTAACCAGTGTAATTAACCTCTTTCACAGAAAGAACTAAGGGTAAATAATTGAGAACTGTCTTATACAAGCATTTTAGCAGACAAGCAAAGCTCACAAATACACATAAGCCAACTTTCTACAGCCTTGCATATCCCTAACACAACTTTTAAAAAAAGTGGTCAAATATGCAATGCATAACAGAAAATTTATCATTTTAACTATTTTTAAATGTACCATTCAGTGGCATTAAGTACATTCACGATGTTGTACCACCATTTCCCCAGCCATCTCCAAAGCTTCTTTCATCTTGCCAAACTGAAATTCTGCACCCATCGAACAGTAACTCCCATACTTCCCTCTCCCCAACCCCTGGCTATCCCTAGTCTACTTTCTGTCTCTATAACTTTGATTACTCTAGATACCTCATAGAAATGGAATCATACAGTATTTGTCTTTTAGTTACTGGTGTATTTCACATAGCAGAATGTCCTCAAGGTTTATCTGTATCGTAGCATGTGTCCAAATGTTCTTTTTAAAGACCAAATGATATTCCGTTGTACATATACGTCACATTTTGTCTACCCTCTTATCTGTCAGTGAACACTTGGGTTGATTCTTTTGGTGATTGTAAATAATGCTGCTATGAATATGGGCATACAAATATCTGGGTCTTTGCCGCTTTCTTTTGTACAACTTTTTTTTTTTTTTAATTGAGATGGAGTCTCACTCTGTCGTCCAGGCTGGAGTGCAGTGGCATGATCTTGGCTCACTGCAACCTCCGCCTCCTGGGAGTCTCACTCTGTCATCCAGGCTGGAGTGCAGTGGCATGATCTTGGCTCACCGCAACCTCCGCCTCCTGGGATCAAGTGATTCTCCTGCCTCAGCCTCCTGAGTAGAGTAGCTGGGATTACAGGCATGCACCATCACGTGTGGCTAAGTTTTGTGTTTTTAGTAGAGACAGGGTTTCACCATGTTGGCTAGGCTGGTCTTGAACTCCTGACCTCAGGTGATCCACTTGCCTTGGTCTCCCAAAGTGCTAGGATTACAGGCGTGAGTCACCTCGCCCAGACTGCACAACTTTTTAAAGCAGAAAAAAATGAATTCATTTAACATTACCTAAAGATATAGCTACTTTCCAGCATGTGAAAATAAGAAGTAAAAAATATATCAACTTAAAAATATGCCTAGCAATCAATGTTTCAGTATTAAATTTGTTTTAGAAATTATCCAGATAGCCAAAAATTATTTATTAATTGATGTACTTCAATATTAATTCAAAATTTTAAAGTTACCTAAGAATCTTGGAAACTGTGTTTAAGGTGACACACTGGAAGTTATAATTACTGTTGATACAAAATTTATTTGTTAGAGTAATTAATCAATTTAGTGGGGCACAAATTTACATGTTTATAATCTCAAACATATGTAAAGATAAAGTTGACTTATTTGATCCGAAAGTCGAAATGAGAAGTATAGGAAATCTAGATTAACTCGTTTCTTCACAGAAAACAAATATAGATCTTATGAAAAACAGAATGTATACTTGAATTATACTTAACATAAAGCACAGAAAAGACAGATAGCTATTATATGTGTTTTATCAAAACAATTATTAAACCAGTCTAATTTGTTCAAAGAATCATGTTAATTATATGGACCTGGCTCCTGAAAAATTTTCTGAGCTAGCGATTTCTAAGAAGAATTGTTTTAAGTCTAAGTCATTTAAAGCATTCAAATTTCAGTTATTTTCTGTTATTTTTAGGAGAATTAGAGTTATATAATCACTTATTTGTCTCTATAAACCAATCAACACAGAACTCCTTTAAGAGACATAGTACGCTAAGTTATTAATACCTTCCAGATGTACAAAAGTATTTCACACTGACATAAGAGTTAAAGACCTTTCGGGCGTGGTGGTACATTCCTGTAATCCCAGCTACTCGGGAGGCTGAGGCAGGAGAATCACTTGAACCCAGGAAGTGGAGGTTGCAGTGAGCCAAGATTGCGCCACTGCATTCCAGCTTGAGTGACAGAGTAAGACTCCATCTCAAAAAAAAAAAAAAGAGTTAAAGGCCTGTCTATTACAGACATATAGATACACAGACACACAGAGAATGTCTTGCTTCATTTCTACAGTTCCAGCCACAGATCAAAAGTAAACACAGCAGGCTGGGCGTGGTGGCTCATGCCTGTAATCCCAGTACTTTGGGAGGCTGAGGCAGGTGGATCACCTGAGGTCAGGGGTTCGAGACCAGCTTGGCCAACATGGTGAAACCCCATCTCTACTAAAAATACAAAAACTAGCCAGGTGTGGTGGCAGGCACAGGTAATCCCAGCTACTCAAGAGGCTGAGGCAGGAGAATTAGTTGAACTCGGGAGGTGGAGGTTGCAGTGAGCCAAGATTGTGCCACTGCATTCCAGCCTGAATGACAGTAAACACAACAACATGAAACATGAAAACTCACCAATCCAGATCTCAAAGAGCTGTTCTCCTTCCCAGTCCCAGTGGATATGAAATTATTTTTCTTTGAGATACAGTCTCATTCTGTTGCCCAGGCTAGAGTGCAGTGGTGCGATCTCGGCTCACTGCAACCTCCTTCTCCCGGTTTCAAGTGATTCCCCTGCTTCAGCCTCCTGAGTAGCTGGGATTACAGGCGCCCACCACAATGCCCGGCTAGTTTTTGTATTTTTAGTAGAGACGGAGTTTCACCATGTTGGCCAGGCTGGTCTCGAACTCCTGACCTCAAGTGATCTGCCCGCCTCGGCCTCTCAAAGTGCTGGGATTACAGGTGTGAGCCACTGCACCCGGCCTGGAATTCTTAACTAATTTGAGATCACAAATAGAAAAACAAACAACAACAGCAACAACAAAACGATTAGCAAACCAGTTTTTCTGTTATTTTTCAACCAATAGGCATTAAGTCTCCATGATGCATCCCCCAGAGATCACCAAATAGAACATAAAGACCATCACTGGTTTAGACCAGACCATCACTGCTGCCACCAATGGGGAATAACTTATCAGTCATGTGCGGCCTCAGATAAAAACACGAAATTCACAGAAAGGAAAAAAAGTAACTAGAGAAACAGAGAATCAGCAAACTCAAAGTTCTATTATGCTTGGGGATTCCCTCTCTGAGAGCCAAAGTGTGTGGGCTTAAAGAGCCCATGACGTGCACTTGTGCAGCCACGCAGGCTGCTTGATTCTGCCAGAGGAGCCCACTGGGCCATCTCCTAGACCTTAGTCCAAAACTTGTTATAATTTTCAAAAAGGTAAAATCATGACCTGTAGGCCATGATATATAAAATGAACTCTTATAGGAGATTTAACTCATTGACTTTTTTATTTTTATTTTTTTGAAACGGAGTTTCACTCTTGTCACCCAGGCTGGAGTGCAATGGCACCATCTTGGCTCACTGCAACTTCTGCCTCCTGGGTTCAAGTGATTCTCCTGCCTCAGTCTCCCAAGTAGCTGGGACTACAGTCGCTTGCCACCATGCCTGGCTAATTTTTGTATTTTTAGTAGAGACGGGGTTTCACTATGTTGTCCAGGCTGGTCTTGAACTCCTGGCCTCAGGTGATCCACCCACCTCGACCTCCCAAACTATTGGGATTACAGGCTTGAGCCACCGCGCCTGGCCTCAGGTAATTTTTGGACACTGATCACCACATTCTGGGGAGGATTGGCTGCTGTCCTTTATCAAGTTCCTAAAGACATGGGACTTAGGACACGTACGTTTTGATTTTGGATGGAGAGAGTGAAAAGAGCTGGAGCCAGTTCAGGGCCCTGCTGGGAGGGCTGCCTTGGGTGGGGTTGGGAATGTCAAGCTTAGGCCCTGGGTCAGGTTACTGGAGGGACTCTGACATTGGGGTGAGGTGAGGTAGGGGTGGCTGAAGACAAACATCTCTCCGTTTTGGAGGGTGAGAGCCTTCCCCGGTGGGAACACCTGCCCAACTTGCCCATTCCTTCCAGGTGGCCAAGTTCAGCTTCCTGGGCAGCAAGGAAGAGTCAGAGATGATCTTCGACTGGGTGGATGTGGAGCGGAAGGGACACCTGTCCCTTGAAGAATTCAGCTCTGGACTCAGTATGTCTGTCTTTGGAGGGCCTCTGGGCACCCAGGTGTTCCGTGCAGTGTGCCCTGCATGGGGCTAGGCTGGGTCGTTAGAAAGGCAACCCTTTTCCCAGGGACTTTCACCCCCCATCCCCGGCTGCCACAGTGGTCCGGGGCCCTCCCCTGTGCATCCCCTCTGCCCCTCCAGGGAGGCCTCCGGGCTTGCTTTCTGACTCCTATGTCTTCTCCCCAGTAAAAGGCTTCTCCTGAGCCAGAGGTCTTGACACCACAGATTTGTTTCCGCCTGAGGAGAGTAACATTGTGGCTTTGGTTAAGGGAATTCCATGGGCCAGGGAGCAGCAGAGGGTGATATCTAGGGGTGGGGGCTTTCCAGGTGCTGAGCCCCCACTG
This sequence comes from Homo sapiens, assembly GCF_000001405.40. Classification (NCBI taxonomy): domain Eukaryota; kingdom Metazoa; phylum Chordata; class Mammalia; order Primates; family Hominidae; genus Homo; species Homo sapiens. The sequence goes on from NC_000006.12 coordinate 36,714,318, forward strand.
GGCAGGGCTGCCCCAGCACCTGCCTCTCTAGATGGGCTGACAAGACTTAGGGAGCCCATGGCCAGCAGGGCACAATCCTCCCGCTAATCCTCTCCCTGGGAAGACCTTCCAGCCCAGGCAATGGAAGGTGTGGTGTCCTCACAGAGCCCCTGCAAGACACAGATCAGCCTTCAGTGTCCACAAAGCCCCCCAGAGTTCTCAGGTCAGCTGAGTCTCCAAAAGCCTGGAGACCAGCAGAGAAGGGGGCCAGGAATCTGCATTTGCGCTTGGGCCCACTCCAGGAGGAGGCTGCTCCAGTTCTGGCAATGGAGAAGCTGAGAGTGGGGAGGAGAACTCAGGGGCTGGGCAGGAGGAACTGCCGGTGGGGCGCAGAGGGAGCATTGCTGTCCACGCAGCCTTGGGGCCGTCTTCATTCCTGAATCGAATCATGCCCGCCACGCCAGGAACTTCCCAGTGCCTGTGGGACAAACTGGAAGCCCCTTCCTGGGGCCTGCAAGGCCTGCACCATCCAGACGCTGCCAACCTCTCTGGCTCACTCAGTGCCATTCACCTCGTCCATCTTGCTAGCCTGGCTCCTGCCTCAGGGCCCCTGCAGTGCTGTTCTCTTTGCCGGGGACACACTTCTCTGGAGTCCACATGGTTTGCTCCTTCTTGTAATTCACATCTCAGTTCCAATGTCACCTCCTTAGGACACTGCTAGCCACCTCATCTAAGTCGATCCTCCCAGTCTCTCAGTGGAAATTACCCTGCATATTCCTTTGGCTCACTTAGCAAGTTGGCTTAAAATATATATATATATATTCTTTTCAACTCGCACTAGAATGTCATCTCCATGTTAGGGATTTTGGTTAATTTTGTCATGTAGATGCTCAATACATATCCATTGATTGAGTGCATGAAGAATTTGTTCACCACCTTGGAGGTGTGGTGTGATTTCCAGCAAGTCTTTTGGCGTCTCTGGGCCTCAGGTACTCATCTGTAAAATGGGTACCTTAAATAGACTCCTAAGGTTGATATGAGAAATATGTGAATGTAGCCTTGTGTAAATGTGACTGGCACAGGTAGAATTACTTCCCTGAGGGCTGGACCAGGGCTGGGTGGGAGGCCAGGCGTCTGGGCCCAACACCACTGTGCTCCCCTCTGTCCACTTCTGTCCCACAGAAAACATCTTTGGCTCCAGCCAGAGCCCCCACAGGCTCCGCAGAAGGAAGCCACTGCCCTCTAAGCGGGTATCTGCTACCACCAGCTTCCCAGCTCTGGAGGAGGCGGATGCTGAGGAGAAGGAGGCGTTCCTTGCCTTCATGGAGCAGCTGGGGACTGGACACTTACTTCCCAAGTAAGGCCAGGGCGGCATGTGCATGGGGAGAGGCTCTGCCAGCCATTGACGGCAGGGGCTTTCCTGGACACAGCAGGGGTCAAGGGGGCAGGCGCCAGGTAGAGCCAAGTGCAAATTCTGGCTTGGCCATTGGCTAGCTGTGTGACCACAGGGATGGCTTGACTTCTGACCTCTGTTTCCTGGGCTGCAGAATGAGCCTAAAAGTTGTTGTGGGGTTAAAACCACGTGCAGAGGATGCCTGCTCATGGGGAGTCCTTCCCACCCCTGCACCTCCCGGCCCTGTCCTGCCCTGTAGGGTCACTCTCCAGGAGGACTAGCGATTGGGCTCAGCTTCCCAAGGCACATGAATTCTTAAAACCATGGGGGTCCCTGCAGGTGCCTTTCTTCACTCAGTGAAGGTTCCTGGAGTTGGGGGCGATTTCAGGCATTTTGTGCCCTGGGTTGAACGGGTTTGGAGACAGAAGTGCATTTCCTCCCATCCATCTCAGGCTCTAGGTGTCAGGGGTTTGCCTTTGCTTAGAGAAAGGGAGCCCTGGCCGGGCACGGTGGCTCATGCCTGTAATCCCAGCACTTTGGGAGGCTGAGGCGGGTGGATCACCTGAGGTCGGGGGTTCCAGACCAGCCTGGCCAACATGATGAAACCCCATCTCTACTAAAAATACAAAAATTAGCCGGGCGTGGTGGCACATGCCTGTAATCCCAGCTACTCAGGAGGCTGAGGCAGGAGAATTGCTTGAACCTGGGAGGCGGATGTTGCAGTGAGCTGAGATCGCGCCACTGCACTCCAGCCTGGGTGACAGAGCAAGACTCTGTCTCAAAAAAAAAAAAAAAAAAAGAGAGAGATAGAAAGGGAGCCCTGCCTGCTAACGTCCCCTCCTAGGACCCCCGGGTCTGTTAGAACCAGTGAGGGAATTGCCCTCACCCACTGGCCCAGGTTTGCTTGCCCCACCCATGGGGTTCTGTGAGGACAAGATTCCTCACGCTTGGCTCCCGGAGGGTGGGGCCAGGTGTTGTGAGGCAGGCAGGGTAGGACTTAGGGTGTAGACTGGTGGGGCAAGGGGGTGGGGAGCTTTGTATTCATTTGGCATCTTGGCCTAGGCTCAGCCCTCTGGCATCCATCCTCATGACTTAATTAAATCCATGTGAAAGCAGCCTTTATTGGGCACCAACCGTGTGGCAGGCCCTGAGCTGGTGCTTTCATCAGGTGTTTCTCATTCCCCAGTGACCTTGCTTGGCAGGTATCAGCCCCCACCCCATTTTACAAATGAGCCCAGAGAGGGCTTGGGACTTGCTGGAGGTCACACAGCCTCAGAGTGAGAGAAGAGAGAGGGCAGATGGAAGCTCTGGGCCATCAGGCTCCCAAATCCCCCCATCCCACTATTACGGAATCATAGAGAGACACAGTGTGGCGGGGGTTCGAGAAGGGAGAGGGCACATCTGGGAATGGTTCCTGGAGGAGGTGGCGTTTTAGTTGCATCTTGTAGGGTGTCAATAGATTTGGCCCAGGTGCCAAAGTCTCTTGGAGCGCTGCAGTGAAAACTGAGGAGTGGGGCTCCCCTTGCTTCTCCATCCCACCTTGTGTCTGACCCTCCCATCTCTGGCTGTCTTCCCCTCCCCAGGCAGATGGAAATCTGGCAACTGTGGGGGCAGCTGCGGCAGGAGGAGCCCCAGCTGGCAGGCAACCTGGCAGGCTTTCTGGCCAAGATGACCAGCCGCCTGCAGGAGGCCCAGGCGGACAAGGAGGCCCTGGAGCTGACCCTGAGGAAGTGAGTGGGGGGCCTGGCCGGGTGTCTGATACGAAGTAGGTGCTCTTCACATTCCAGTGGAATCTGGTTGAATTTCCCCAGCTCCTCCTGCAGCTGGGCCTGTGAGCTGGATAGGGCAGAGCTGCGCTGGAGGAAGAGGTGGCTCAGGGGACCGGGTGGGGAGGACAGAGTTGGTAATGGCAGGAGTGGGAAGGGCAGGGTGTGTCTTGGTACAGGACCCACTGTGACGCCCAACTCCAGGGGGCCTGCTCCCGTAGACTGTAATGCATGTGGTGACCCTGGAGTTGGGTTATAAGGGCAGGAGGACGGTGAAAGAGGGAGTGGGGACTGAGTGATGGGGTGATGGGGACAATGAGACCCTGGCCAGGGGAACTGGTGACGGTTACAAGGGTCGGCGTGGTAGGATCAGCAGGACCAATGTCAAAGTTGTATGGGTCAGGGGGTTGTTACTGGGATGGCTGTTCTCAGGGTGACAGAGGTCAGTGACTGCTGGCAGAGTGAGGAAAGCAATAGGATGGATTCCAAACCCAAGCCCAGACTGCCCCTGCCAGCAGCAGGCTCCCAGAGGTGCTGATGGGCTGCCTGGCCCCAACTCCTGCTCCTCCCAGGCGTGACTCTGACCACCACCGCGAGGTCCAGCAGCTCTATGAGGAGATGGAGCAGCAGATCCGCCAGGAGAAGCAGCAGCTGCAGGCTGAGGTGGGCTCCCGCCGGCAGCCTGCCTCCTTCCCACTGCCCGGGACACCTCTGCTGGCTAAGGAATGGGGCCAGTGACTGGCCAGGGTGGGGAACAGGAGGCTGCTGTAGTGAATCCTCTCCCTGCCCTGAGCAGCTGGTGTTCCCCAGAGAGACGAGGTGGGGAGTGTCGAGCCTGGGCCCCCTTCCCATCTCTGCCAAGTCTCCTTGTTGCCACAATCTAGGCTGGAACTGGAGGAGTTGTCCTGAGAACCCTCCCTGCTGGGGCATCCTGGCCCAGGCACCCCAGGTGGTGGAGGTGGAGTGTGAGAAGGGCTGGCCTGCCTGGCTAGCTCTTAGAGTCTGCAGGGTGAGGGCTGAATCTACCTACTCCACAGAGCGACTCTCGGGGCCTGGCCCTCACCTCCCAGATGCAGGACGTCCTAGAGGCCAAGGAGCGCGAGGTGCAGCGACTAGCTGAGGGCCAGAGGGAGGTGAGTAATAGGGTTTCCCAGAAACCTACTTCCGAACAGGTCTTTAATATCTATGAACCTCAGTTTCCTATCAGAGACATGGAAATCAGAACTCCTGCCTTAGAAGGTACTGTGATGATTAGAGATACTACATGTGAGGGCCTGAGACAGTGCCTGGCACGTAGTAGGTGCTTTGTGCCTCAGTTGTTCCATCTCTGAAACTGACCTAGCTTCCTGCTTAGGGTCAGGTTACTTGCTGCTGCCCGGACACTGCAGGTCTTATAGCCTGTAGTCACTTCCAGGTGGCACTGTGGTTGAGTGTTTGGGTCTGAGACCCTGCCCCATTTTTTTTTTTTTGACACGGAATCATGCTGTCACCCAGGCTGGAGTGCAGTGGCGCAGTCTTGGCTCACTGCAAGCTCCGCCTCAGTTCACCTCAGGAGAATGGTTCACGCCATTCTCCTGCCTCAGCCTCCCGAGTAGCTGGGACTACAGGCGCCCATCACTGCGCCCAGCTAATTTTTTGTATTTTTAGTAGAGATGGGGTTTCACCGTGGTCTCAATCTCCTGACCTTGTGATCAGCGCCCCATTATCTCTTCCTTTCTCAACTTGAAGACCACTGACCTTGGTAAAATTGTGCTCTGCTGTAACCAGGACAAGAAGCATCCCTTCAGCCCGGGACAAGATTCCTCGAGCCGTCCTCACCACGGCCTGGGCTGGCCCTGTTACCAGGTTGATTTCCCAGGTGCCTCTGCTGCTGCTCCTTGGAAATCGAGGCAGGCCCCTCCTGCCAAGTGAAGAGATAGGGCTTTACACATGGGGCCATTTCGTCCTGTCCCCTGTGGATGTGAAGCTTCTCCCCTCCAATCATTTATTCCTTCACCCCACAGCTACTTATCCAGCACCAACTATGTGCCAGACACTGTTCCAGGTCCTGAGGATCATGACAGACACAAACCTCTGCCCACAGAGTTACCATCTAGTCAGGGAGACAGGTGACATAATAACATAGGAAATGGTGATCAGTGCTAAGGAGAATAAAGTAAAACAGGGAAGGGGGATAGAAGAGTCGTAGGAGTTGAAATCGTAGTCAAAGTAAGTTGAGAAGGGAGTCAAGGAAGGCCTGGCTGAGATGATGACATTGGAGCGAAGACCTGGAGAAGTGTGATATGTGGGGGAAGGGCATCCAGGCAGAGGGAACAGCAGGTGCGAAGGCCCTGAGCGGGCATGAGCTGTGGAAGTTCACAGAACAGTAAGCAGAGCTGTGGACTGGAACAGACTGAGGCAACAGCCATAGGAAAGGAGGTGAGGGTCATGAGGGGAGGTGAGGAGGCTGCAGGAGACTGTGCAGTGTCCCGGAGGCCATTGCAAGAGCTTTGCCTTTCCCTTCACTTGGCCAAGCAATGCTCCCTCTCTGGGTCATGAGATTTGCTGTTGGATCAGGAGCCCCCTGTAGACCAGACAGGCTCAGGGGCCAGCAGCCACTGTAGGGCGCTGAGTAGAGGAGGGTGGGATTTGGCTTGGGTGTGGGGCCTTTGTGGCGCTGGTGGTTTTTGTTTCTCACACAGTCTCCCTGCCCTCCCCACCCTAGGATTTCCAGTGCCCCTCCTAGATAGGAGCTAATGGAGCTAGTTAGGCCAAGGAGGGATAACCGCCCACCACTACTCTGATTTAAGCTGGGTCTCCAGGAGCCTGGACAGGGGGTGGGGGTCTGTGTCCCACAATGGCCTTGGGAGGCTTTTTGCGCCCTGGAGGGCATCTGGGCTTCTCTCCGCCTCACCCTCCACCCTGCAGCTGGAGGCCCAGCTCTCCCACCTCAGGAGCACACATCAGGAGGCTGCCTCAGAGAACCAGCAGCTGCAGGAGGCCAAGCGTGACCTGGCTGGGCGGCTGGAGGAGGTGCGGGGGCAGCTGCAGGTGACCAGGGGGCGCCTGGACGCCGCCAGGGGCCGGGTGTCCTGGCAGGTGGAGGAGAAACTGAGGCAAGTGGCTGCTATCCCTGGACTGGGGTGGACTCTAAGGGCCTCCTGGAACCAGTGGGGAACTCTGAGTTCTCTAAGGATCTAGCTAGCACACAGTGCACACATAGACTCCTTCCTTAAACCCCACCCTCTGCCAAGCTGGAACTATCACAACCATTTCTCAGATGAGGAAACTGGGGCACAAAAAAGGGAAACACCTGTGCCCAAGGCCACATGGCTAGAAGTAAAACATGCACATGTGTGCATGTACGTGTACACACATACACACACACATACACACACACACATGTCCTAGTGCAGTGCTAGATCCCTAGCAGGCACTCACTCTACTTGTTATAGCTCAGAGAAGTGGGATGGGCCAGAATGATCAAGGAAGGCTTCCTGGAGGAGGTGAGGCTTCATGTGGGTCTTGAGGATGGACAGGATTGGATGAGGAGGAGGAATGGGGAGCACATACCAGGTGAGAAAGATTGCCTGAGCAAGGACTGGGAGGAGACCTGGCCATGGGGAGAGCAAGGGATGGTGAGGGCTGCAGGTGGGATGGGTGTGACACCACCTACCTGCCCCTCCCCGATCTTTGCTTCCCTGCTTCATTTCCAGTTTTCCTGGAGCGGGTGAGAAGACCCCAGACCCTCAGGCTGCCTCCCCTGAGGAGGCCCCCCTGCCTGGGCTATTTGGGGACAACGATGACTGGGACCAGCTACTGAGCAACTTTGGCAGCCCTCCGCACGGAGCCCTGCAGCTCTGCTGGAGCCCGCCCCCGACCCCAAGAGCCACCTCAGGCCCCCAGACACCCCGTGTGGTCAGGCAGATCTCCATCTCGGAGCCACAGGCTTTTCTATTTGGTCAGGAGCCATCTTCAGATCCAGATGGGGCTCCAAGGACCCCACCTGGGGTGACTTTCAGCGCCAAGGACAATAAAGGAGTGGACCCACATGAGCAGGACATTAGAGCAGAGCAGCCTGTTGAACCGCACGACCCGGACCCCAACCAGGAGCCAGGGTCCACACCCGAGGGCCGCCTCCTCTGGGGTCTCTCAGGAAGCCTGGTGGCACCTGCATTCAAAGTGCTCATTCCTTTGGAGGATGGGCCCCCTCCCCCTGCGAACTCTCCCCCTCCCCAGGCCCCAGCTGGGTCCAGCAAACAGATCCAGGCCTCAGACCCAGATGACAAGGGCCCTGGGTCTTGGGCTCCTCCCAGCGGGGCTCAGCCTGGGGCTGGAGCAGGACCCCAGGAACCCACACAAACCCCTCCCACCATGACTGAGCGGGAAACCCAGCCCGGACCCTCACCCACAACTGCCCTCACAGGAGTGGGCCCAGCCAAGCCGCCCAGGCAGAGAGATGCCCTCCAGCAGGACCTGCATGCCACTGGCTCTGAGCCAAGACTGGGGACCCAGAGGGCTAGAGCCCTCACCCTGGGGCCAGCTGAGCCCTTCCAGGGCCTGGAATTTGTGGGTCCGGTGCCCACAGAGAGGCTGGAGCAGGGCCAGGCGGGCCCAGCGGTGCAGGAGGGCCTTCCTGAGGGGCTAAGAGAAGCTCATGGCCAGGTCCTTGGGCTGGGTGAGCTGTCTGCCTTCCCCCACCAGGAGCTGGAAGAGGAACCCAGGTCTGAGGAAGGAAAACAAGAGGGCAGAGGTGGGCAGGACCTCAGTTCAGAGCAGTCAGAGCAGTCGGTTGAGGCTCACGGCCTAGAAACTGCGCATTCGGAACTCCCCCAGCAAGACTCTCTGCTTGTTTCTCTCCCATCTGCCACACCACAGGCTCAGGTGGAAGCAGAAGGCCCCACTCCTGGAAAATCGGCACCTCCAAGGGGCTCTCCTCCCAGGGGGGCTCAGCCTGGGGCTGGAGCAGGACCCCAGGAACCCACGCAAACCCCTCCCACCATGGCTGAGCAGGAAGCCCAACCCAGGCCATCCCTCACGACTGCTCACGCAGAAGAACAAGGCCCGCCTCACTCCAGGGAACCAAGGGCAGAGAGCAGGCTTGAAGATCCAGGAATGGACTCCAGGGAAGCTGGGCTGACCCCATCCCCGGGAGACCCCATGGCTGGAGGGGGACCCCAGGCCAACCCTGATTACCTCTTCCATGTCATCTTTCTGGGAGACTCCAACGTGGGCAAAACATCCTTCCTGCACCTGCTGCACCAGAATTCTTTCGCCACCGGATTGACAGCTACCGTGGGTAAGGGCATTGGGGAGGGCGGCAGGGAGCAAGGAGAGACGCAGGGGCCAGGGCCAACGAGTGAGAGCGGGCCCAGACCAAGCCCTCCCTGAGGAAGCTGCAGGTTCTGCCCTGGCCACGGGCCCTGCATTAGACATTGTTTTATATGGGCATAACCTTACTATTTCACTAATCGTCTCTAATTACAGGTAATTTGTTTTTTCTGCATTGATCTGATTAGCTTATAAGGTGCCACATCAACAATGCACCCTGCAATTTAGGTGCCTGCGAGAGTTGATGGTGAAAACAAGCAAGTATCCACTCATGTGGCCCATGGGCAGGCCAGAGCAGGTTCTGTGCTGGTTGGATTTGCTCATGACTAGCTCCAGGCTGGGCAGCCATGGTCTGGCAAGAAGTCACCTTGGGCAAGTTGGATATTTTACACAGAATGTATTTGTAGAGTGTGGTAAATTAGGAAGCCAGGTGCCTGAGTTCAAATCTTAGCCCTGCCACTTATTAGGGTCTGAATTTGGACAAATGATTTAACCCTTTTGAACCCCCAAATCCTCATCTGCATAATGGGGACAACAGTAGTGCTGCCTTCCTAGAGTGGTTGAGGACTAGTTAATATGTCAAGATCTTAGAATCATAACTGACATGTAGTGAGTACTCAGTAAGTATTAGTTATTATGGTTGTTATTATTATTATAAGTAAATATTTGATCATGTCTAACTCAGTGGCTCCTGCAAGAAATGGCCGAAAGCAGAGAGCCTTCCCTCCCTAAAAGTATCAGGATATGTGGCCACTGAACCCTGTACAGAGCTACAGAAAAGCAAACCCAGCCGGGCGCAGTGGCTCACACCTGTAATCCCAACACTTTGGGAGGCTGAGGCGGGCGGATCACAAGGTCAGGAGATCGAGACCATCCCGGCTAACGCAGTGAAACCCTGTCTTTACTAAAAATACAAAAAATTAGCCGGGCATGGTGGCGGTTGCTTGTAGTCCCAGCTACTCGGGAGGCTGAGGCAGGAGAATGACGTGAACCCAGGAGGCGGTGCTTGCAGTGAGTCGAGATCGCACCACTGCACTCCAGCCTGGGCGACAGAGCAAGATTCCGTCTCCCAAAAAAAAAAAAAAAAAAGCAAACCCGAGGGAATGGAGGGGAGACCCACCTAGGGACAAAGAAGTCACGCCTGTCTTTGTATTAGACCAGGGCACATGCCGACTGGGGATCAGAGCCAGACCAGTCGGTAAATGACAGCCCCCCACAAGAGAGGCCTGGGGCAGGTTCTCAAACTTTTCTTGCCCAAGAAGCCTCACCTGGGAGCTAGTTAGAAATGCAGTTCCCTCGGGAAGAGGAAACCTATAGCAGGCTGGCCTGATGTTGAGTGGGGTCACAGGTTCTACAACACTACCATTATTTTATTTTATTTATTTATTTATTTATTTATTTATTTATTTATTTATTTTTTGAGATGGAGTCTCGCCCTGTCACCCAGGCTCCAGTGCAGTGGCACGATTTCTGCTTACTGCAACCTCTGCTTCCTGGGTTCAAGTGATTCTCCTGCCTCAGCCTCCCAAGTAGCTGAGACTACAGGTGTGTGCCACTTCACCTGGCTTATTTTTGTACTTTTAGTAGAGATGAAGTTTCACCACGTTGGCCAGGCTGGTGACCTCAGGTGATCTGCCCGCCTCAGCCTCCCAAAGTGCTGGGATTACAGGCGTGAGCCACTGTGCCTGGCCAAGGCTACCATTATTAGTCACCTAAGCTACTGTTTACTGACCACCTCCCATGCACTAGGCATCTTCCATACATGTCTTATTCCTTACAACAGCCTTCCTTAGAATGGAGCCTCCTCCTTTATTATGTGGTAAGAAGTTCTCACAAAATTCAATCAAGAAAAACACAGCTGCATAATCGTGAAACCAACCAACCAATCAACCAACCAACCAACCAACCAACCAACCAACCAACCAACCAACCAGGCAAGCCGGCATGCACTGCTAGCCTGCTGGGAGTACCTGAGATCCAAGTGCTTGGTCCAGATCTGTCCCAATCCCAAGCTATGGTTTGCTGCCCCCCGGTGGCTATCGTCTTTTCTGGTTTAAATACCACAGGAAATGATCCTGCCTTCATAGGTCAATATTTCCCTACCTAGTGTCACCTTCCCTCCATTCCTGCTCCCCCACCTCACAAAATAAGAACTCTACCCTGCCTGCATTTGAGGACGGGACCAGATAGAGAATCAGAGCCAACGGAGTTATATTTGAATGTACATTTTCCATATCTATCCCCATTTTACAGATGAGGAAAGCAGAGAATTGAAGACCTGGTTCAGTTTCTTGCCCTAGCTGGGCCCCCAAAGTTAAGGCCACCTACCTTAAAAGCCCTGCCTCCACACCAGAAGTTTTATCCTCTTTTCAGTTCAGAATTGCATGCTCTCTGGGTCACTTAAAACAGCATTTTTTTTTTTGAGATGGAGTTTCACTCTCGTTGCCCAGGCAACAAGATTGTGCAGCTGCGCGATCTCGGCTCATTGTAACCTCCGCCTCCCGGGTTCAAGTGATTCTCTTGCCTCAGCCTCCTGAGTAGCTGGGATTACAGGCATGTGTCACCACGCCTTTTAAAACAGCATTTTAATCCTCCAGCCACTCTGCAGTGTAGGTCTTTCTAATTTGCCACTTTGCAGACAAGGAAAGAGAGGCTCACAGAGGTGAAGTGACTTGCCTGAGGTCCTGTAACCAGTGTAACAGTTGCCTGAAGCCAGCATTCCTTCTGCCCCTCTGGGCTCCTTGTCTCCCCTGCTGTCTCGTTAAGAGAGGAAAGTGCATGCAATAATTAGGGAATGGAACAAAGAGTACTGTAAAAATAAAATAATGAAACTTATATTCTGGGTGGCCTAAGGAATGAACAACATAGACAAGGTGCCCTGTGTTGGCACAACTTGCGGCAGGGAGGTCTGGGAAGGCTTCTTGGAGGAAGTGGGTCCTCGAGTATGGATGGGATGCAGAGCCGAGGGGAAGCCCGGCAGCCAAGGGCTCCATCGCACCGCAGCTGGTACAGGGGACAGGTGTATACTGGGGTAGGCCTTGGCTAGGAGTCCTGGATGGTAACTTAGTAGGCTTCACCCCTCTCTATGTGTCCTAGGAGTAGATTTTCGGGTCAAAACCTTGCTGGTGGACAACAAGTGCTTTGTGCTGCAGCTCTGGGACACAGCTGGCCAAGAGAGGTAACAGGCACTGTATATCAGTGTGTCAGGAACCTAGGCTGAGCGTAGGGGTGCAGAGGGACAGGGAGCAGCCCTAATAACACAGGCAGGAGGCAACTGCCCCCCAAGGATTCAGGAGGTCAGGGAAGGAGAGATGAGTCAAGCCCAAGGCAGGGGAGAGAGGGCAGCAGAGCCAGAGGTCCCTCAGCCTGGCAGGGCATATATTAGGGCTTCCCAACATGGTCATTAGGGGACAGCCACCCAATCACCTGTCCTTCTAAAAATGCTGGTCTTCTACTTTCAACCTAGGCAGTAGTGATCAAAAATTTTTTTTTCTTCTTGAGATGGAGTCTCGCTGTATTGCTCAGGCTGGAGTACAGTGGCGTGATCTGGGCTCACTGCAACCTCCACTTACCGGGTTCAAGCGATTCTCCTGCTTCAGCCTCTGAGTAGCTGGGACTACAGGTGCCCACCACCACATCCAGCTAATTTTTGTATTTTTAGTAGAGATGGGGTTTCATCATATTGGCCAGGCTGGTCTCGAACTCCTGACCTCGTGATCTACCTGCCTCGGCCTCCCAAAGTGCTGGGATTACAGGCATGAGCCACGGCACCTGGCAGTGATAAAAACTTAAAAGGCATATCTTATTTGATTCTGCAGTTCCACTTCTAGAAATTCATTCTATAAATAGACTCATATGACTATAATAACAAAGGGACCAGGACCAGTCATAGTATTCTCAC